>NC_000023.11:94962542-95587542 GCF_000001405.40 Homo sapiens
TTTATATGACATTACTAAATCACAGCCAAAGCTTGTTCCCTCAAAATATGGAGCATCGCAATGTTAATCATCAGAGTGGCAGGCATAGATATTAGGCTGATAATGCTATATTTTGTAAAACATATAATCCCTAGTTGAAATGGGAGAAAGAAGAAAGGTTATTATTGTTTGAGTATTTTTTTAAGAAAAACTATCACTAAAGTAGATGGCCGGTTTTACAATGCAGGTAAAGACACATTTCAGTCGCTCTAGAGTAACAGCCTGGAAAATGTCAGAGAAAACTGTTCCACGTTATGTTTCTAATGTTTCAAGGCCTTTCTTGAAAACATTTCATTTTGACCACAGGGACTTCTTTTCTTTAGTTGTTGAGACCAAATAAAGTCAGTAAATAGCTTTGTTTTTAGAGGTGCAAATATTCTAAGAACTGTATTGAAAAGTTCAATTCACATTAATTAAACATCCTTTCTTAAAATAGTTTCACAAGTACTGGAGATACAAAGGAGGTTATGACAATTTCCCCTAGAGCCTTCACTTATTCAACATAATTTTAAATGAATATTTATTGACTGCCCCTCATGTCACCCACTTTTATAAGCATCAGAGATAAGGCAATGAATGAAGTAGTCAAAACTTCTGTTATCAGAAGCTCATACACTTACGGTAGGAAAGTAGGTATTATTTACTGTGGCAGTGTTCTCAGTACTTTATATGCTTTTATTCATTTAATTATCACAGCAATTCTATGAGAAAATAATATTATTTTTAGGAACTCTCTTAACATTAGCTCTATTAATGATTACATAAAATACAATAGGATTAAGTGGTTTAAATGCAGTAGTACAATGTCTTCAGCAATTGGAGGGTTTTTATTATTCTAGCATTATTACAAGTGCTTTGTTAATTTTTTAAAAATTCAGGTTTATTTTTGAAATACATGCAATTTTTTAAATTATTTTTTTCTTGATTTTTTTCTAATTTTTTTATTTTCCTTATGTAGGATTAGTTGTAGCATAGCTCACACATATAAATGCACTTAACATATTGGCTTTATATCGACACTCATTAAGGTCTGTTATGTTTTATTTATGGTTCTATGTACTATTGCTACTTTTTCCCCCTACCGAAAATGAAATGTTTACAATGCAAACATTATCAAGCTACTGAAAAAAGGAAATGCCAAGTAAAAGTATCTCATTATGAAATTTATTTCTGACCTTATAAAATCAGTAACTATAAGGTTGACAATAGTGACCACATATTAGATACAAACTGAGGAAATAGAGATGTTATCACAGATGTACACATAAAAATAAATGCAACTTGCTACAGATGGAATTTCACATTAAGAAAAGTAATTCATCACATATTTTACAAGTTAGATCTGAGAAAAGTGTTCCAGAAAAAAACTGTGGCACCTCCTATAAGCATGTTTTAGAATGAAGATTATTTCTGAATTTTCTGTGATTTTAATTTATTTTAAATTTAGATATAATACATGCCATAAAATTCACATTTTAGTGTGTAAAATTCAAAGCTTTTTAGTATGTTCTCTAGCTTGTTAAAAAATAATCCCTATGTAATTCCATAATATTTTCAGCACCCTTAAAATTAAAAAAATTAAAAAAAAATGCCTGTTGCTGTAAATCCCCAAATACCCTACTCCCAGTCCCTGAAAACACTAATATACATTCTGTCTCTATGGATTTGTCTATCATGGAATTTCTTTTCATCTATTATTGTTAAGTTACATCATCTTTGTATACCCTTATTAATTATTCTAATAGAAATAATAATAGAAATTTTTCTAATTTTCCTGTATTATTTTTATTTTAACTTCTATTAAAATATTAGATTTTTTTTGTTACTGATTTCTAAGAGCTCATTTATGATTAAGGATGTTGCCATTATATCAAGTATTGCAAATGAAATACCATGTTACTTCTCATTTATTTTACCATGATGTTTTATTTTTTGGTTGTATAAAAGTTGTATATTAAAATATAATCTTGTTATGTCTTATGATTTTTGAGTTTTGTGGGTTTTTTAAAAATTGTTTACATTACTATCATCCAATTATTTGTGTTGTGCTCTATTATTCATCAATTATTATTTTTGATTAATCATTACTGTGGTGTTATTCCATTAAATATTTAAAATGCTCACATTGACATGTACAGCTACCATTTATTTTAAGTTCTACCATAATCATAAAGAAAGGATCCACATGAAGAAAAAATGTAATCACACTTTCTGTGTTTTTTTGTGTATGATTAATTTCATTTAACATAATATTCTTAAGGTTCATCCATGCTGAAGCATATATCAGTACTTCCTTCCTTTTTATGGCTGCATAATATTTCAGTCTATTTGTATATCACATTTGGTTTATTCATGAATTAGTTGAATGGATATTTGGGCTGTTTGCACCTTTTAGCTATTATGAATAATGCTGCTATGAGTATTCATGTACATGTTTTTGTAGACATATATGTTTTAAATTTTCTTGAGTATATGCCTAGTACTGGAATTGCTGAATACTATGGTAACTGTATGTTTAACTATTTATGGAATGACAAGCTGTTGTCTAAAGGGACTGAACTATTTTACATTTTTACCAGCAAGATGATACAATTTTCCTACTTTCTTCTGATTCCCTCCATGCCATTGTCAACATGCACAAAGATCTCCAAGACTACATGCAGCAGTAAAGGAGCCCAGCTTCTTTATGGCTTTTCTTTATGGTTGGGCACAGAGTTCTCATTTACCTAAAAGGACCTACAAAATAGGAACAAAAAAAAGGATGGGGAATCATTTCATTGCTAGGATGCTCCAGATGAAAGTCACTGCAAGGTCCTGAAGACAAAGACATAAGCCAACCCAAGACCACAGGCGCAGGAAAACAAATTACCTGTAGGACTGAGATGAAGGCTGGTCCAGGGTACATGCACAGAACAGGGTACCATGATAACAGATAGGAAGGCAAGGTTCACGGTACGCAGTAAGACGGATTTATTCTGAAATCCCAGAGATAAATAGAGGGCTTTTTCTTATTCCCGTATCTACTCTGTTCTCAAGTGGATAATCACACCTCTATAATATGTGGAACCAAGGTTAGGGTATCCAGTGGGATAATCACACCTCCATAATATGTGGAACCAAGGTTAGGGTATCCTTTATCCCAAGGATGAATGGGAGATGTCTTCTTCATGGATGGTAGGTAAATAAGAGGGGACACCTTCTTTTTCATTTCTCTCCTCTGTTCTCACTTCATGGATGAGTAATCATATCTCCATACGACAGGACATATCCTTGGATATATCCTCAAGAACTGGGAAAAGTTTGACTCCCAAACCCTAAAAAGGAGAAGGCTAATATTTTTCTTTAACACAGCCTGGGTTCAATACAAGCTCCAGGACCAGGAATCTTGGCCCCTAAATGAAAGCATAAATTTTAATATGATCCATCAGTGAGATTTGTTTTGCCACCAGCAGGAAAATGGACACAGATTCCTTTTCAGTCTTTCATGGCCCTGAAAGACAACCCTGACCTTTATCAGGCTTATTAAATGTATCCACCAATAGCAGCAGTCACACTCAGGCAAGCTCCTCCAGTTAGTCTAGGAGACCCATTATCAAGCTTGCCCAAAGCTCAAACCCCAGAGGAGCAAAAGGCAGAACCTAACTCAAACCCCACTGCTCCTTCTACCCACATTATATCCAAGTTTTCCAGTCTCAGAGCCTTCCCATCCCTACCCAGGGCTATCCTCAGAACACGAGCCCCTTAAGTTATGTTTCCTTCGAAAGGTTGGCAACCCTAGTGGGCCCACTAGGTTTCAGACTTCATTCCCTATGCAAGACCTGAGCCAGGTTAGAACAGAACTAGGAAAGTTTATGGTTAACCCTGAAAAATACATTAAAGTGTTCCATAAACTGGGCTTAATATTTAAACTCATTGGAGGGACCTCACAGCCATACTGGGTCACTTTCCGAGGGAGACTTTCCATTATGGAGGTAGCTCTGTAATGCGCAAATGTCATGCACATAACTGACCATAGTGGCTACCCTGTGGGGGCCACCACAGTTTCTCAGGTTAGCTCCAACTGGGATTACAATGCCCAGGGGAATATTTGGGAAATAAACCACAAGTTACTCTTTCTAATACAGTGAATACAAGCTAGTAGAACAAAGCCAGTGAACTATAATAAATTAGCCTTAATAGATCAAGGCCCACTTGCAACTCCCACTACTTTCCTAGAGAGACTGCAAGAGGCTTTAGTAAAACACACTAACCTAGACTCAAAAACACCAGAAGAGGCTGGGCGCGGTGGCTCACACTTGTAATCCCAGCACTTTGGGAGGCCGAGGCGGGCGGATCACGAGTTCAGGAGATCGAGACCATCCTGGCTAACACGGTGAAACCCCGTCTCTACTAAAAATACAAAAAATTAGCCGGGCGTGGTGGCGGGCGCTTGTAGTCCCAGCTACTCAGGAGGCTGAGGCAGGAGAATGGCGTGAACCTGGGAGGCGGAGCTTGCAGTGAGTCGAGATCAGGCCACTGCATCCAGCCTGGGTGACAGAGCAAGACTCCGTCTTAAAAAAAAAAAAGAAAAAAGAAAAAAGAAAAAAAAAAACCAGAAGAGCAACTGGCCCTAAAGGAGCTTTTTCTAACTCAGGCAGCCCAAATATTTGGAGAAAACTCAAGAAACTAGCACTGAGACCCAACACCCATACTATGCCTGACATCTTCAAAATAAGTTCCTTGATCTTTTACAACTGGGGCCAGGAAGAAAAAAGGACTCAGGAAAGGGAGAGGCAAAAGAAAATGTAGCAGTTCCAACTATTGGCTGCTCCACCAGCCCTCTCCAAGTTACCCTCAGAAAGCACCCCCAGGCAACTGCCATCAATGTAGGAAGGCAGGCCACTGGAAGGCAAACTGCCCCAAAGGGGTAAATGGAAACAAACCCCGTAAGGCTTGCCCCCTTTGCCAGAAGCTTGGTGACTAAAATTCGGACTTCCCTAAAGGCTGAAGGGCCCCCAGGACAAAATTGCAATCCTTGGAAACCTTGAGCTGAAGGAGCTCTACACTCTGGCTGGCTCCCAGATCAAATATCACTATTGAAGGAATGGAGCCAATGGCTGCTTTGCACATTGCAGGTAAGACAATAACCTTCCTTTTGGACATGGGAGCTACCTTATTGGTGATTACCTCTTTTCCTCTAAGTCCTGTCAGGTAATGAGGGTAAATGGGCTGCTCATTACGCAGAGGTTTACTCCTGCTCTATGGTGCCTGTGGAGGAGAACTGACTTTTCCCATTTATTTTTAGTAATGCCAGAATGCCCTACAACCCTTTTGGGCAGAGACATTTTGTTCAAACTTCTTAGTTTGAACTTTGAGACATTTTGTTAAAATTCCTTAGCTCAATTAACCTTTCTTCCAGGGACTCCCCCTTTTCCAAATGCAATCTTATGCTTCAAGAAAGCCACGCAGTGATAACCTGCTCCTAAGCCTTCATATTAACCCAGAAGTCTGGGCCACAGAAATGCCAGGGAAGGCTATAGTGGTAATGTCTGTAGTATTCAGCTAAAGATCCCTTCTAGCTATGATTATAAAAAGCAATTTCCTCTTCAGGTAGAGGTCAAAGCGAGACTTAGGCCCCTGATTAACAAGTTTCTTAAACATAGGCTATTTATACCCTGCAGCTCACCCTGTAACACCCCAATCTCACCCTAAAGAAAAGCAATGGTGAATACGGGCTAGTCCCAGACTTACAAATGGTAAATGAGGCTATAGACACAATACACCCAATGGTCCCCAACTAATGTAATCTAGGATAAATACCTCCAAATTCTTAGTGATTTTCAGTTCTAGACCTCAATGATGCTTTCTTTGTATCCCCCTTGATATGGTTTGGCTGTGTCCCCACCCAAATCTCACCTTGAATTGCAGTAATCCCCATGTGTCAAGGGGGGAACCAGGTGGAGATAATTGAATCATGGTGGTAACTTTCCCCATACTGTTCTTGTGGTAGAGAATAAGTCTCATGAGATCTAATGGTTTTATAAATGGGAGTTCTCCTGCACAAGTTCTCTTGCTGCCATGTAAGATGTGACTTTGCTCCTTCTGTGTCTTCCACTATGATTGTGAGGCCTTCACAGCTTGTGGAGCTGTGAGTCAATTAAACCTCTTTTCTTTATAATTTACCCAGTCTTGGGTATTTCTTTATTAGCAGCATGAAAACAGACTAATACAGTAAACTGGTACCAGTAGAGTGTGGTGCTGCTGTAAAGATACCCAAAAATGTGAAAGCAACTTTGGAACTGGGTAACAGGCAGAGGTTAGAAGAATTTGGAGGGCTCAGAAGTAGACAGGAAGATGTGGGAAAGTTTGGAACCTCCTACAGACTTGTTAAATGGCTTAGACCAAAATGTTGATAGTGATATAGACAATAAAGTCCAGGCTGAGGTGGTCTCAGATGAAGATGAGAAACTTGTTGGTAACTGGAGCAAAGATGGCTCTTACTATGTTTTAGCAAAGAGACTGATGGCATTTTGCCCCTTCCCTAGAGATTTATGGAAATTTGAACTTGAGAGAGATAAGTTAGGGCATCTGGCAGAAGAAATTTCTAAGCAGCAAAACCTTCAAGAGGTAACTTAGGCAATGTTAAAAGCATTCAGTTTTATGTATTCACAAAGATGTGGTTTTGAATTGAAACTTAGGTTTAAAAAGAAAGGAGAACATAAAAGTCTGGAAAATTTGCAGCCTGGTAATGTGATAAAAAAGAAAAACCAATTTTCTGGGGAGAAATTCAAGCTGCCTGCATAAATTTGCATAAGTAATGAGGAATGAAATGTTAATCACCAAGACAATGGGGAAAATGTCTCCAGGGCATGTCAGGGGTCTTCACAGCAGCCCCTCCCATCACAAGCCCAGAGGCTTAGGAGGAAAAAATGGTTTTGTGGGCTGGGCCTAGGGCCTTGCTGCTTTGTACAGTCTCAGGATTGGTGCCCTGCATCCCAGCCGTGGCTAAAGGGGGCCAACGTAGAGCTCAGACCATTGCTTTAGAAGTTGCAAGCCCCAAGCCTTTGCAGCTTCCACATGGTGTTGGGCCTGCAGGTGCACAAAAGTCAAAAATTGAGGTTTGGGAACCTCAATTTTGGGATCTGCCTAAATTTCAGAGGATGTATGGAAATGCCTGGTGTCCAGGCAGAAGTCTGCTGCAGGGTCAAAGCAAGCCCTCATGGAAAACCTCTGCCAGGGCAACACACAAGGGAAATGTGGGGTTAGAGCTCCCACACAGAGTCCCCTCTGGGGCACTGTTCAATAGATCTGTGAAAAGAGGACCACTGTCCTCCAGACCCCAGAATGGTAGATCCACTGACAGCTCGCACCATGTGGAAAAGCCACAGATGCTCAATGCCAGCCTGTGAAAGCAGCCATGAGGAGTTGTGTCCCCTGCAAAGCCACAAAGGTGGAGCTTCCCAAGGCTGTGGGAGCCCATCACTTGCATCAGCATGACCTGGATGTGAGACATGGAGTCAAAGGAGATTATTTCAGAGCTTTAAGATTTGATTTTTTCCATTGGATTTTGGACTTGCATGGGGCCTGTAGCTGCTTTATTTTGACCAATTTCTCCCATTTGGAATGGGTATGTTTACCCAATGCCTTTACCCCTGTTGTATCTAGGAAGTAATTAACTTGCTTTTGATTTTTACAGGCTCATAGGTGAAAGGGACTGGTCTTGTCTTAGATGAGACTTTGGACTGTGTGTGTGTGCATGTACACGTTTCTTCATGTGTCTGCATGTGTAGCTTTATTGAAATATAATTCATATGCCATAAATTTACCAACTTAAAATATATGATTCAACAATTTAATATACTCAGAGTGTATAACCATCGCTACTGTCTAATTTTAGAATATTCTCATCAATCTAAAAAAAAACTCTGTACCCATTAGCAGTCACTCCTTATTCCCCCTAACCCTTTCAACCTTAGGTAATCATGAATCTATTTTCTGTCTCTATGGATTTGCCCACTCTTGACATTTCATATAAATGGCATATTATGACATGTGGGTTTTTTGTAACTGGCTTTATTCACTTAACACAATTTTTTGTTTGTTTGTTTGTTGGTTGGTTTTTTTTTTTTTTTTTGAGACAGAGTCTTGCTCTGTCACCCAGGCTGGAGTGCAGTGGTGCGATCTTGGCTCACTGCAAGTTCCATCTCCCGGGGTTCACGCCATTTTCCTGCCTCAGCCTCCTGAGTAGCTGGGACTACAGGTGCCCGCCACCACGCCTGGCTAATTTTTTGTATTTTTAGTAGAGACGGGGTTTCACCATGTTAGCCAGGATGGTCTCGATCTCCTGACCTCATGATTCACCCGCCTCGGCCTCCCAAAGTGCTGGGATTACAGGCGTGAGCCACCGTGCCCAGCCAACACAATGTTTTTAAAATCCATCCATGTTGCAACAAGTATCAGTAGTTCATTACTTTATTGTCAAATAATGCTTCATTGTATAAAGATAGCCCATTTTGTATACCCATTAATCAGTTGATGGACATTCTGAATTTTTCCACGATTAGTTATTGTCAATAATGCTTGTATGAAAATTATTGTACAAGTTTTTTGTGTTACTATGACATATTAATTATGAGTAATAGTGTAAAGCACAAACTTTTCAGCTAGCATTTTAGTTTACAAATCACTACGTAAATAACGGGTATATTTTGACCAGCGATCAATCACATCACTCCTTTAAAGTCTGTCCGTGACTATTCACTGAATGTGTTATTCAGTTAACGCATAGCAGCATAGCATGTAGTTTTGTTTGCTTCTGTCTCCTAGTAATAAACCCCTGTGACATTTTTCAAAAATAATTAAAATAGGGAATCACCTAATAAAGATGAAAGTATAGCAAAGAAACAAGCGGTGATAATACTGAAAGTAAAATTAGAATCAAACATAAATGTAAGTATAGAAGAAATAGCTACCCATGGGAGTCTTAACACTGCCACTGCCTGAGAGAATCTACCTGTGCAGCCAGAGGAAATTAATGAAGGGAAATTTATCCACATAAGTGAGGAAAGTTGTGACAAAAGAAAAAGGATGAAGATGACCAAGAGAAAGTTACACCAATCAAAGCCTTCACATTAAAAGGACTATCAGAAAGGTTTTACAACACTGATAACGCAAAAGATAAAACGATGGGAGGTTATCCAAACTTATAAAGGACCAGACAGTTTTCCAGAGTAGAGAAAGGATGCTTGCTCTTTATTACTAGTCATAAAATGAGGAGGCAAGTACAATAGAAACTACTCTTGAGTGTTTTCTTGTAAAGATATAAAACACTTCAATTCTCAGTGTTTCTAATGTTTTAAATAACAGTGAAATTTTCTTTTTATATACATTTATAATAAAAGTTTCTTATGTTTTGACCAAACTTTTTTTAAGTTCAAGGGTACATTTGCAAGTTTGTTATATAGGCAAACTTGTGTCATGGAGGTTTTTTCTACAGATAAATTTATTCCCCAGGTATTAAGCTGAGCACCCACTAGTTATTTTTCCTGATCCTCTCCCTCCTCTACCCTCCACCCTCTGGTAGGCCCCAGTGTGTTTTGTACCTCTTTATGTGTCCATGTGTTCTCATCATTTAGCTCCCACTTGTAAGTGAGAACATGCAGTATTTGGTTATCTGTTTCTGTGTTAGTTTCCTAAGGATAATGGCCTCCAGCTGCATTCATGTACCTGGAAAGGACATCATCTCATTCTTTTTAATGGCTGCATAGTATTTCATGGCGTATATGTATGACTTTTTTTTTTCAGTCTACCATTGATAGGTATTTCATGTCTTTGCTGTTGTAAACAGTGCTACAATGAACAAATATATGTATGTGTCTTTATGAAATAACAATTTATTTTCCTTTGGGTATATACCCAGGAATGAGTTTTCTGGGTCAATTGGTAGTTCTGTTTTTAGGTCTTTGAAAAATTGTCACATTGCTTTCCATAACAGTTGAGCTAATTTACACTCCCATGGATAGTGTATAAGTGTTTCATTTTCTCCCCAGCCCCGCCAGCATCTGTTATCTTTTGACTTTTTAGTAATATTCATTCTGTATGTTGTGAAATGATATCTCATTGTGGTTTTAATTTGCTTTTCTCTAATGATCAGTGATACTGAGCTTTTGTCATGTGCTTGTTGTTCACATGTGTGTCTTCCATTGAAAAGTGTCATGTCCTTTGCCCACTTTTTAATGGGATTTTTTTTTTGTAAATTTGTTTATGTTCCTTATAGATGCTGGATATTAGATTTTTGTCAGTTGTATGGTTTATAAATACTTTCTTCCATTCTCTAGGTTGTCTAATCACTCTACTGATAGTTTCTTTTGCTGAGAATAAGCTCTTTAACTTAACTAAATCCCATTTGTCAATTTTTGCTTTTGTTGCAATTGCTTTCTTTTCTTTTCTTTTTTTTTGAGACGGAGTCTTGCTGTCGCCCAGGCTGGAGTGCAGTGGTGCAATCTCGGCTCACTGCAGGCTCTGCCCCCCTGGTTCATGCCATTCTCCTGCCTCAGCCCTCCCTAGTAGTTGGGACTACAGGTGCCCGCCACCTCACCCGGCTAATTTTTTTTTTTGTATTTTTAGTAGAGACGGGGTTTCACCGTGTTAGCCAGGATGGTCTCGATCTCCTGAACCCGTGATCCGCCCGCCTCGGCCTCCCAAAGTGCTGGGTGCAATTGCTTTTGACATCTTGGTCATGAAACCTTTGCCCATTTCTGTGTCCAGAATGCTATGGCTTAGATTGTTTTCCAGGGTATTTATAGTTTTGGGTTTTACATTTAAGTTTTTAATCAAGCTTGAGTTTATTTTTATATATGATGTAAGGAAGGGGTCTAGTTTTCATCTTCTGCATATGGCTAGTCAGTTATTTTTTCAGCTTCTTCAAAGATCAGACGGTTGTAGGTGTGTGGACTTGTTTCTGGGCTCTCTATTCTATTCCATTGGTCTATGTGTCTGTTTTTGTACCAGTATCATGCTGATTTTTGTTGTTTTTCACTGTAGTCCTGTAGTATAATTTGAAGTCAGGTAGCATGATGTCTACAGCCTTGTTCTTTTTGCTTAGGACTGCCTTGGCTATTTGAGCTCTTTTTTGGTTTCATATTAATTTTAAAATAGTTTTTCTTTATATAGTTCTGTGAAGCATGTTGTTGGTAGTTTAATAGGAATAGCATTGAATCTGTAAATGTATTTGGGCAGTATGGCCATTTTAATGACATTGATTCTTCCTATCCATGAGCATAGAATGTTTTTCCATTTGTTTGTGTCATCTTTGATTTATTTGAGCACTGTTTTGTAGTTCTCCTTGTAGTGACATTTCACCTTTCTGTTTTGTTGTATTCCTAGGTATTTTATTCTTTTTGTGGCAATTATGAATGGGATTGTGTTTCAGATTTGGCTCTTGATTTGACTGTTGTAGTGTATAGGAATAATGGTGATTTTTGTACATTAGTTTTGTATCCTGAGACTTTGCTGAAGTTGTTTATTAGCTTAAGGAGCTTTTGCATCAAGACTATGGAGATTTCTAGATATGCAATCATATCATCTGCAAACGGGGATAGTTTGACTTTTTTCCTTTGTATTTAGATGCTCCTTTTTTTTTCCTCTTGCCTAGTTTTTCTGGCCAGGACTTCCAATATTATGTTGAATAAGAGTGGTGTGAGAGTGCATCCTTGTCTCGTGCTGGTTTTCAAGTGGAATGCTTCCAGCTTTTGCTCATTCAGTATGATGTTGGCTGTAGGTTTGCCATAGATGGTTCTTATTATTTTGAAGTGTGTTCCTTCAACACCTAGTTTATTAGGAGTTTTTAACATGAAGTGGTGTTAAATTTTATCAAAAGCCTTTCTGCATCTATTGAGATAATCATGTAGTTTTTGTTGTTCTGTTTATGACAAAAATGTCATTAGTTCTGTTTATGTTCTTCTGTTTATGTGATGAGTCACATTTATTGATTTGCATATGTTCAACCAACCTTGCATCTTGAGAATAAAGCCTACTTGATCCTGGTGAATAAGCTTTCTGATGTGTTGTTCAATTTGGTTTGCCAATATTTTGTTGAAGGTACTTGTTTCAATGTTCATCAAGAATATTGACCAGAAGTTGTTTTTCGTTTTGTTTTGTTTTTTGCATGTGTTTCCACCATGTTTTGATATCAGGATAATGCTGGCCTCATAGAATGAGTTAGAGAGAAGGCCATTCCCTTCCATTTTTTTTTTGTTTGTTTGTTTTTGAAATAGCTTCAGTAGGAATAGTGCCAGTTCTTTTTTGTACATTTGGTTGAATGTAGCTGATAATCCATGTTTCTAGGCTTTTTTGATTGGTAGGCTATCTATTACTGATTCAATTTAAAAGCTGGTTATCAGTCTGTTCAGAAATTCAATTTTTTCCTGGTTAAGTGTTGAGAGGGAACACGTTTCCAGGAATTTAATAATTTCTTCTATGTTTTCCAGTTTGTGTGCAGAGATGTTTTAGTAATATTATATGTTGGTTATTTGTATTTTTCGGAGTCAGTAGCAATATTCCCTTTTTCATTTCTCTTTGTGTTTAGTTGGAACTTCTCACTTTTCTTTTTATTAGTCTGACTAGTAGTCTGTCTATATTTTTATTTATTTTATTGTTGTTTTTTTTTTTGAAAAACCAATTCCTGGATTGTTGATCTTTTGAATTGTTTTTGTGTATCAATCTACTTCAGTTCAGCTTCGATTTTGGTTATTTCTTCTCTACTGCTAGCTTTGGGGTTAATTTGCTTTTGATTCTCTAGTTCTTTTAGTTATGATGTTAGTTTGTTAACTTGAAATCATTCTAAGTTTTTGATTTGGGCATTTAGTGCTATGAATTTCCTTCTTACCATCACCTTAGTTGTGTCCCAGATATTGTGGTATGTTGTTTCTTTGTTTTCATTAGTTTCAAAGAACTCCTTGATTTTTGCCTTTATTCCATTATTTACTCCGAAATCTTTCAGGATCAGGTCATTTAATTTCCATGAAATATTATGGTTTTGAGCTATTTCCTTTGTCTTAATTTCTAATTTTACTGCACTGTGTTCTAACAGAGAGGTTGGTATAACTTCAGTTTTTTTTGCATTTGCTGAGAATTGTTTTAAGCCTTATTGTGTGGTCAGTAGTAAAGTATGTGCCATGTGACAATGAGAAGAATGTAGATTATGTTGTTTTTGAGTGGAGAGTTATGTAGATGTCTATCAGTTCCATTTGATTTAGTGTTGAGATCAGGTCCTGAATTTCTTTTTAATTTTCTGCCTCAATAATCTGTCTAATATGGTCAGTGAGGTGTTAAAGCCTCTTACAATTATTGTAGGGGAGTCTAAGTGTCTTTGAAGGTCTCTAAAAATTTCTTTATAACTCTTTGTGCTATTATGTTGGGTGCATATATATTTAGGATGGTTAGGTCTTCTTGCTGAATTAAACCCTTTACCATTATGTGATTAATGCCTTTCTTTGTCTATGAAGATCTTTGTTGATTTAAAGTCTGTTTCCTTTGAAATTAGAATTACAACCTTTGTTTATTTCAGTTTTTCATTTACTTGGTAGGTAATTATCCATCTCTTTATTTTGAGCCATTGGTTGTCTTTGCATGGAAGATAGGTATTTTAAAGACAGCATAACATTGGGCACTGCTTCTTTATCTAACTTGCCACTCTGTACCTTTTAATTGGGACATTTAGCCTGTTTACATTTAAGGTTAGTATTGATATGTGTAGATTTGATCCTGTCTTAATTATATTAGCTCGTTATTATTCAGATTTGTTTGTGTGGTTGCTTATTTGTGGTTGCTGTCACTGGTCTGTGTACATAAATGTGTTTCTTTAGTGTCTAGTAATGGTTTTTAATTTCCATATTTAATGCTTTTTCCAGGAGCTCCCGTAAGGCAGGTCTGGTGATAACAAATTTCCTCAGCATTTGTTTGTCTGAAAAGGGTCTTATTTCTCCTTCACTTATGAAGCTTAATTTGGCTGGATGTGAAATTCTGAGTTAGAAAATCTTTTCTTTAAAAATGTTAAATATTGGCCCCCAATCCCTTCTAGCTTGTAGGATTTCTGCTGAAAGGTCTGCTGTTAGTCTGATGAGTTTCCCTATGTAGGTGACCTGACCTTCCTCCCAAGCCACTTTAACATTTTTTCTTTCGTTTCCATCTTGGAGAATCTGATGATTATATGTCTTGTGGATCACATTCATGGAAAGTATCTTGCTGGGGTTCTCTGCATTTCCTGAATTTGAGTCTTGGCCTCTCTAGCTAAGTTGGGAAAGTTCTCATGGATGATATTCTGAAATGTGGTTTCCAAGTTGCTTCTCCCCATCTCTTCCAGGGACACCAGTGAATCATCAATTTAGTTTTATTATGATTCATAGCCTCCTTCAATTGAGTTGCAATGTAATCCTGTAGCTCAATGATCTTTCTTCCTATCTCTATTCTGAATTCTATTTCTGTAATTTCAGCCATCTCAGCTTGTTTTAGAACCTTTGCTGGAGGGCTAGTGCAGTTGTTCAGAGAAAAGATGCAACCCTGGTTATTTGAGTTATCAGAGTTTTTGTGCTGGTTCTTTCTCTTCTTTGTGGATTGACATTTATTTCAATCTGTGAAGTGCTGTCTTTCGGATTAAAAAAATATTCTATTTTATTACCTTAATGATTGGATTGTGGTATAAAGTGTGTTCAGTTGACTGGCTTCATTTCTGGAATATTTTATGGGGCCAAGGCTCAGCTCACAGCTCCTGAACTTTGCACTCTAACTCCGGAGGACTTGTATCAGGCCTTGACTTTGTTATCTGGCTCCTGGAGGTTAAGAACCCACTGCACTGGGGAGAGCCAAGGTGCTCCTAGACCATTGGTCATAACACTCTGATGTGTGATGCCAGCCAAAGCATTTCACAGAGCAGTGGCAGTGGAATCCATCATTGTTCACATGTGTGAGTGGCAGTAGAAGTGGCAGCAGCAGCACAATGGGGTGCACATTAATCAGCTGAGGCAGGGTGCTAGTGGGTGCCAGGCTGCTGGGGGGTGCCAGCTTCCATGTGGGCATGGAGAAGTGGTGGAGGCAGCACAGCTTGAAGGAGAGGGGCCTCTGCTGGTGACTGTGTGTGCATTTTCACTGGTAGTGGTATTAGTACGGGGGTGGGGCGCTGGCAGGCACAGAACTGTGTGCATCCTGTGTGTCCATTCATGCAGGAAAAGGTGGCTACTCAGGGTGTCAGAAGATTTGTTGTTTTTTGTGTCTAGTTTCACTCCAGTGGCAGTGTTGACACAGGTGTGGGACACTGGCACAGGCAGTGCTGGTGGGCTGTGTTGCCATCAAGGTTGTGACTGCACTGTTGGTATGGCAGGGGGAGGGGGGACACAGTGTACTCACACTGACAGTAGTGGCAGGGCAGGGTGCAGACACACATGCACGCTGGCATGGCAGAGAAGGCAAGATCCATTCATGTACATGTGCACTGGCAATGCAATGTTGGGATGGTCTTGGGCCTGGGGGAAGGTGCAGTAGGGGGAGGAAGTGGGGAGGCTGCTGCATGTCCACAGTGGCTTCTTTGCTGGAACTCTGTACCTGTCAGGTGTGTCCTGCCAGTGCAGCAGCTATGATGTAATCCCCCAGGGAACCCAAGGCTGCACTTCAAGCAGGCATGGCTAGGCTGGGGCCCTGGGAGAGGCCAGCCGCCCAAAGGGTGCTCTTTTCAGACTAGGCTCGTCTGATGGGAAAGACTGCCCTGTAGAGTTCAAGTCTTAAAGTTCTGCTAGGGCTAGAGTGTCCTGTGGAAGCAAGTCGAACCTAGGGGAGTGAGTGTCCCTTCCCGTGCTCCGCTGCAGACATGCCTGCACCAAACCCTCTGTGTCCTGCACCAGATTTTAAGTGCTGCCCATACCCCTTCTCTAAGCAGCTCTCCCTGCCAACTCAAGCGTCCATGGTGGTGAAGAAGTCTCCTTCTGCAGGGATTCCAGAGGCTTGTGGTGAGAGTGGGTTGCTCCTTGCCAGCTCAACTCACCTGTTCCTCCAGAGTCAATGGGGACCAGAAACATGCCCTGGTGCATTTCTGCCTGTGTCATTTTCAGTTTCATCTCCCTTTAATGCAGCTTCCTTGTCTTCCCTCTGTCCATTCTCAGGACCTTCCCTCTGAAGATCTTTTAGGAAGGCACCAGTCAGTCCCTTGGTGGCAGTTGTTCCACCTGGCTGCATCTAGTTGGCTAACTGTCCCAGCTCCCACAAAGAAGCATTTTAGAGGTCACGGAACAACTGTAGATTTTCCCATTGATTGCTAAGATTACTTCTCAAGTCACTTTTAGAGTTCAACACAATTATGGAAAGTGAGGATGACCTAGATATTAAAATATTATTATTTACCCTATGGTGTGTCTTCAGTGCAAATTTGTAAACATTTTAAGGCAAAGAATATCTCAAGCTTAACTTTTTTAATATTAAATTTTTATTTTGGAATAATTTTAGATATGCAGAAAAGTTACAAAGATAGACTTCTCATATATTTTTTACCCAATAGCCCCCAATGTTTACATCTTATATAATCATGCCACTTTTGTTAAAAGTAGTAAGTACTGGCATCCTATCATTTCATGTGTATTTCAACAATCTTTTTACTAATATTTTTTATTCCACTAATTGCCTTATCAATCAATGAATACCAGTGTACATTCCAAGTAATCTTTCAGAAATTATCACTTTCCTTTGTTCCTTCCTTCTTTCGTTTATGTACTTAAGACACATTTTAAATGTCTATATGCTAGGATACGTTGATAAACAAGGCATGATTCTAGCCTTCAAGCAGCCCATACTTACACATAAAATTGGATTTCAAGTGTTTTTTTTTCCTCTGTTTAAAAAGAATGAGAAAAAGTATAAATAGAAAAAAAATAATTTTTACCCAAATGTCACTTAAAAGATTCTAGCTTTTATTTCTAAATGTTATTAACTTCATTGACCATTATTATCTCTTAGTACAACTACCTTTTAAAATAAATATGTTTTGCGAATTACTGAGTAGTCCCTGTATCTTCTAATTTCCTTCAACATTACTGTTTACTTTTAAAATCTGTTTTTTCTTAAATTTCTGTATTCTTTCTACTGAAGCTAACCTTTGTGTAATATTCAATGTATGATTTCATATAAGCTCTGTTGTGGTTAAACTAAAAATTTGAGCCATTGGCTGAAAAAAAAAAATGGCCCATGTTTCAATCCAGATATTTACTTTAACCCCTACATTATTAAGAGGTATCTTATGCCTTCCTTAAATTCTTAGATACTGTAAGCCTCTGATCTAGAGGGGTTTGTGGTTGTTTCTATCCTGACAGAAACAGTTATGGTAAGGGCTTCTTATTATCTCCCTGTCTATTAAGAGAAACATATGGCTCACTGCTGAGACATCTTATCATGCAGGGTACCTTCCCAGTTGCTGTCGGTGTGACAATAAAGGCTTCTTCTATTTCTCTTTGGTAATAAATGCATTGAATCACAAAATAAAAGCAGATTGTTTGTTCAGTCTTCAAATGGAATGGAAAGCAGTTCCTGAAATTTGCCTGTGTAAAAGGCAGTTAATAATTTATATTGGCCAAATAATGTAAGATATGAGTAAAAAGCATTTCCTTAAAGGGTTCATGTTATGACAAGGCACTTATCTATATGCTCTGATTTGAGGGATTCTAGGACAGACACGTGATCCTAAAGAAATACCATTCTCCATGTCCCCATTCCCTGGTCATTGAAAAAGAGGAAGAGGCAACACTTTTGACATAAAATACCAGGGTGGAGAATATTTGGCAACGATGTTTGTGGTTGCATGGATTATGGCATTGGGGGAGAAGATATCTAAATAAAAACAAGTGGAAAAAGAGGAATGAATAAGGCATGTTCTCAAGAGAAGTTTTGAGTTATAGAATGTCAGAAATTACCCCGTGTGTTCAATTGCTTCATCTTGCAGATGATGAAACTGAACTTCAGGGAGGTAATCTTAGTTATTCTGTGAGAAGACAAAATAGAACGTGGGACTAGAACATAGTTCTCAGACACACAGTTCGGTGCTTTTTAAATAGTTCATTACTGTTTCCCAATTTTTCTGAGAGTTGAAATCAAGACACAACAAAATTCACAGTGATCCAGATGAAGTGCTGAATCAGAAAACATTCTTAAAATTTGTAGTTATTTTGTGTTATTCTGTAGATATGTATACTAATTTTTTAATTTTAATAGTTTTATGTATTTTAACAAATTGCTGTAATGCAACATTTGACTGGGGCCAACAACCTCTTTAATATACATCTTGCAATTTTAAGTCAAACAATTTTTGTAGATTTGATGATGGAAATCTTAAGGTTCTTAGGATAAGAAATGCAATTAAATATACAAGACATGGTAAACTGCCTAAAATTATTAGTTTAATTTACTCGAGGGGTTTACATTCAAAGCCACTCCTTTGCTAACCAATTTTTAAAATGTATTTCAACATCAATAGAGTATTCAAGTAATTGCCTTATTTATAGTTGTCAGCACTGATGATGACACAGCCGGTGAATTTTTAAATTCTGCTTTTATTTACCAGACTTTGACATCTCTGTCTCAAACCCCTTCGTTGTGCCAGCTGACTTTGATGGACATGTCGATTTTCACCCCACCTCAACTATCGTTCCCCATGGTCTCACCTAGATTTACAGATTGCTAACTTTACTATTACCATTGTATCTGTCCTCTGATTTCGTAAAAACCTCCAGTCTATTAAAACCTCTTTTATTTTTCCCCACGTATCAGCTTCCTGTAGCTTTTACTTCCTACAAAATGATTAATTAGATTTACCTATCTTTAATTAACTTTATTTTATTTATTCATCATTTACTCCTCCAGCAATTCTAATCTGAAAATTGCTAGTGATGCAATCCAGTCACTGCCATCATTAAACTTGCTACATGTAATGCTTTTATACTTCCAGATACAGGTCCTTCAGTGGTGGCCTGAGGATGTTCAGGAAGAAAAGTAATTCAGAATATGGTATTAAAGGAGTCTCTTATCTCTGAGCTCAGAAAGCTCCTGACCCCAATTTCTGACAGTGCTCTGTCTAAATTAGCATCAGAGTACACTCACTAATGGAAGCAGAATGTGGACATTCTTGCTGCAATGAAAGAAGCTGTATCCATTCTATGCATGAATTGTTGACTTTTGCATCTTAATATACCACTGCCTTTTACACAGAACAACAAGATAAATTAGAAGTCTATTGCAATGTAACTTGATACATAGTGAGGGAGCTAACTTAAAAGTCAGTTAATTTGCAAACTAGTGGTCCAAAAAGCATTAGTGCAGTAACTACTTGTTTTAAATACTGCATTCTGATCTACATTACTAACTAGTACAATCAATCATGCTAAATCTGCAAAAGGCAGAAGTGAGCATGTAAAAATTAAGCGGAAAATAACCTGTTTGTCTCGCACTGAAATTCAGCATACCAGTTTAAACTTAGGTTCATAAAGTGCAAAATATAAAATCTTAAAATAGTAATGGTGAATATTGAAAACATTTTCTATTTTAGTTCAAATAATTGCTTCATTTATGCTTACTTTTATTAAAGCAATATTTTCTTATAGCTATACTGCTTATCTTAAAATTTCAATGACTTCATGGAACTGCAATATTCCAGATTGGTCGCGTCATTTCTGAATACATTAACAGGATCATTTGAATTGTGAATAGTTACTAATATTAGCAGGTGCTTCGAATATTTAAATTAGTTTACAGTTATTAGTATTTTGGTAGCTGAAACAACAATATATTGCTGAAGACCAGGATTCCCCCCAAAATAGATCTAACAATATCTATAGCCACATCCACATCTGTATTGACATATATTTATATAGGGTATGTAAAAATTGATAACTATTATGATATTTATATATATGTGCTGTGTATATAATCATAAATGTGTTCTGCAAGTGTGGCAGAATTGTTTATCATAGTTTCTTAAAAAACACTTTGGGGGTGGAACAAGTTGGTAGAACAGAAGCCCACGCTATTTATCCTTCCTGCAGGAACACCACATTTTAAAAATTATCTGCACATAGAAAAGCACTATCACAGGAAGCAAAAATCAGGTAAGCAATTAAAACACATGGTGTTAACTTCATATCACTGAAAGAGACATTGGAAAGGGTCAGAAAGAAAATCTTGAATCCTTGATGTCATCCCTCCCCATGCCCCAGCAGAGGCTATGCAGCATAGAGAGTTTGTGCACTTGCAAGTGGGAAAGTGCAGTGACTGTGGGAACTCTACACTGAGCTTAGAGCATCCCTGTCATAGCAGAGAGCAAAGCCATGCTTGGATCAGCCTGCACCTGTGCACAGAGGGAGCATTTGGAACGGCCCTGGCAAGAGGGGAATAACCCATTCCAGTGGTCAGAATTTGGGTTTTTCCACTAGCCTTACCATAGCAGACAAAAGTGCTCTGGGGTTCCAGGTTAAATTGAAAGGCAGTCTAGGACACAAGGGCTGCAATTCCTAGGCAATTCCTAGGGATATGCTCGGCTTAGAGCCAGAGGACTAGGGCTACATGTAACCTAGGGAGACATGAGTCAGGGTATCTAACAGAGTGCTTGTGCCACATCTCCCTCAACACCAGGAAGTGCAGATCACAGCAATGAAAGTGACTCCTCCCTTCTCCTTAAGGAGAGGAAACTGAAGAATAAAAAGGACTTTTTCTTGCGTCTTGGATACCAGCTCAGCCACAGTAGGATAGGGCACAAGTTAAAGTCCTGAGGCCCAAATTCCAGGCCCTAGCTCATGGATGACATTTCTAGACACATCCTGGTTCTAAAGGGAACCTGCTGCCTTGAAGACAAAGACCCAGCCCTGGCAGAATTTATCAGCTTCTGACTAAAGAGCCCTTGAGAGCAGAATAATCAGCAATGATGCCCAGGTGGTATGCCATGGACCCTGGGCTCTGAGACATGCTGACTTCAGGTGTGACTCAGCATATTCCCAGCTGTGATGGCTATGGTGAAAGATTCCTTCTGTTTGAGAAAAGCAGCGGGAAAAATAAAGGGGACTTTGTCTTGCACCTTAAATACTAGCTCGACCACAGTGTGGTAGAGCAACAAGCAGGATCTTGGGGTTCCTGTGTCCAGGCCTAGGCTCATGAACATCATTTATGGACCTTCCCTGGGCCAGAGGGGAGCCCACTTCCCTGAAGGGTGAGACCCAGGCCTGGCAGCATTCACAACACACTGACTAAAAAAGCCCTTGGGGTTTAAGTGAACATTGGCGGTGGCCTGGCAGAAGCCTCCATGGGTTGGTGGTTGTGGTGGCCATATGGAGAAGCTACTCTCCATGTGGAAAGGGGAGAAAAGGGTGGGAAGAACTTGATATTGTGGTTTTAATGCCAGCTTAGCCATGGTAGAATAGAACACCAGGTAAATTTCTAAGGTTTGTGACTCCAATCATTGGGTCCCAGACAGCATCTCTGGACCTGTACAGGATCTGAGGGAACTTGCCACCCTGGAGGGAAGGACACAACCTAGCTGGCTTCAACACCAGTTGATTGTAGAGCCCTAGGGTCTTGAGAGAACATAGGTGGCAGTCAGGTAGTGGATATATGCCTTAGGTGAGTTAGATAGTGGTTATAGGCCTTGGGTAAGACCTAGTGCTGTGCTGGCTTCAGGTCTGACCCAGTGCAGTCCCAGTGGTGGTGGCCACAGGGGTCTTTGTATTACCACACCCCCAATTCCAGGTGACTCAGCACAGAGAGAGACTCTGTTTTGGAGAAAGAAAGTGAAAAGGACAAGATTTCCCTGCCTGGTAACATAGAGAATTCTTCTGGGTTACTTCCAAGATGATCAAGGTGGTACCTCCATGAGTCTTTAAAAACCACAGCGCTATTGGGCTTAGGGTTCAAGTTCCTTTGAAGACCTGGAAAGCCTCTTCAAGAAGGACAGGCAGAAACAAGCTCAGACTATGAAGACTATAAAATTTCTTAATTCATCCATGCCTAGACATTAATGAACATCTACAAGCTTCAAGACCATGCAAAGAAACATGATTTCAGAAAAGGAAATAAATAAGGCACCAGGGAACAATGTTGGAGAAACAGAGATAAGAGAACCTTCAGACAGATAAAATAGCTCCTTTGAGGAAACCCTAAGAAAAGCATAGCCCAGAGAAAAGAACTAGACAAGAATGCCCACTTTCAACACTTCTATTTAACATCATTCTGGAAGTCACAGCTGGAGCAATTAGTCAAGAAAAAATAATAAAGGGCATCCAAATTGGAAAAGAGGAAGTTGAGCTATTGCTGTATGCAAATAATATAATTGTATACCTATAAAATTGTAATTTTTTTTAAAAGACTCCTAGATTTGATACATAAATTCTGTAAAGTCTCAGGTTACAAAATCAATGTACACAAATCAGAAGCACTGCTATACACCAACAATTACCAAGCAGATAATTGAATCAAGAACTCATTTCCTTTTAAAATAGCTTCAAGAAAACAAACAAACAAAAAAAAAAAAACAAACAAAAATCCTGGGAATATACTTAACCAAGAAGGTGAAAGATCTCTACAAAAACAACTACAAAACACTGCTGAAAGAAATCATAAATGACACAAACTAATGAAAACACACCCCATGATCATGGGGTTGAAGAATCAATGTTGTGAAAATAGCCACACTGCCCAAAGCAATCTACAGATTCAATGCAATTACCATCAAAATACCAATATCATGTTTTATAGAATTAGGAGAAACAACCCTAAAGTTCATATGGAAAAAATGAGCCCAAATTGCCAAATTAATCCTAAGCAAAAAAAAAAAAAAAAAAGAAAAAAATCTGGAGGCATTACATTACCTGACTTCAAATAATATTACAAGACAATACTTATCAAAACTGCATAGTACTGATATAAAAGTGGGCACATAGACCAATGGGATAGAATAAAGAATGGAGAAATAAAGCCGAATATGTACAATCAACTTGACAAAGCATACAGAAACATAAATTGGAAAATGTACACCCTATTTTAATAAATGATGATGGAGAAACTAGCAAGTCACATGTAGAAGAATGAAACTGGATTCCTATCTCTTCCCATATATAAAATCATCCAACATGGATCAAAGACTTAAATATAAGACCTGAAACTATGAAAATTCTGGAAGACAACATTGAAAAGTCTCTACTAGATATTAGCCCAGGCTAAGAATATACGACTAAGACCTCAAAAGGAAATGCAACAGAAACAAAAATAAATAAATGGGACTTATTTAAACTAAAAATCTTCTGAATAGCCAAAGAAATAATCAGCAAACAGACAACCCACAGAATGGGAAAAAGAATTTTGTAAATGATGTGTCTGACCAAGGACTAGTATCCAGAATCTAAAAATAACTAAATCAAATCAGAAAGAAAAAACAAAAACCAAAAAAATTGTCATCACAAAGTGGGCAAAGGTCAAAAATAGATATTTATGAAAAAATGCCCATCACTAATGGATCCAGAAAATGCAAATTAAGACCACAATGAGATACCCCTTTACTCCTAGAAGAATAATCACTTTTAAGAAGTCGAAAACCAATAGATGTTGGCATAGATGTTGGGAAAAGAAAATGCTTATACACTGCTGGTGGGAATGTAAATTAGTACAGCCTCTGTGGAAAACAGTATGGAGATTCTTTAGAGAGGTAAAAGTAGATCTACTATTCAATCCAGCAATTCCTCTACTAGGAATCTACCCCTCAAAAAGAAGTCATTATATGAAAAAGACACCTACACACTTATGTTTAGAGCAACACAATTCACAATTGAAAAGATGTGAAACCAATCTAAGTGCCTATGGACTAATGAGTGGATGAATGAAATGTGTTATATACACATATGGAGTACTACTCAACCATAAAAAAAATGTCTTTTGCAGCACCTTGGGTGGGGCTGGAGTCCATTATTCTAAGTGAAATAACACAGGAGTGAAAAACAAGCAAAAAAACTGAATGTTTTTACTTATAAGTGGGAACCTAGCTATGAATATGAAAAAAAATTACAGAGTGATATAACAAACTTTAAAGACCAAGAAGAGGGAGGAAATAAGGGAGGTTAGAAATAAAAACTACATATTAAGTAAAATGTACTCCACTTGGGTGACAGATGCAGTAAAATCTCAGAATCCACCATCACATGACTCATTTATGTAACAACAACAACAACAACAAAAGCAATAACAACAAAACATAGTACCCTAAAAGCCACTGAAATGAAAATTTAAAAAACTGAATCAATCAGGATTCTGGAGTAGACAAATGAATTGACATCCTAAAAAATGCAGGAGTTTCTTAATAGCATAATTTATCAAGCAGAAAAAATAATTAGCATGCTTAAAGCAGGCTATTTGAAAATACACAGTAAAAGGAGACAGAAGAAGAAAGAAGAGAGGAGAAAGAAGAAAATAGCCTCGAATGGGCAAATCCAGGTTTTATTGGCTATAAAGAGGAGGTAGAGATAGAGATAGGGGTAGAAAGCTTATCCAAACAGATAATAAGAGATAACTTCTCAAACCTAGAAAGAGATATTAATGTCCAAATAAAAGGTTATAGAACACCAAACACATTTAACCCAAAATAGACTATCTCAAGGCATTTAATAATCAAACACCCAAATGTCAAGGATAAAGTAAAGATCCTAAAAGCAGCAAGAGAAAGGAAACAACATACAATTGAGCACCAATAAATGTGGTGGCAAATTTTACAGTGGAAACCTTACAGGCCAAAAGAGAGTGACAAAACATATTTAAAGTACTGAAGGAAAAAAAAAAAAAACTTTTATGCTGCTAGAATCGTATATCTGGTGAAAATACTCTTCAAACATGAATGAGAAATAAAGACTTTCCCAGACAAGCAAAAGCTGAGGGATTTCATTAACACCAGACTTGTCTTAAAAAAAATGCTAAAGGGAGTACTTCAATTAGAAAGAAAAGGTTGTTAATGAACTATATATAAGTAACAACCTGAAGGTACAAAAAATTTGTAATAGTAAGTACACAGAAAAACACAGAATTTATAACACCATAACTGTGGTGTGTAAACTACTCTTATAAGTAGAAAGACTGAAAAAAGATTCAATCAGAAATAATAACTACAAGAACTTTGGAAGACATACTCACTACATCAAGGTACGAATGAAAACAAAAAAAAAAGTGAAAAAGCAGGGTGATGAAGTTAATATGTAGAGTCTGTATTAGTTTTCATTTTGCTTGTGTGTTTGTTTATGTCAAAAACTTTAAGTTGTTATTGGGTAAAAATAATGAGTTATCAAATAGTATTTTCAAGCCTCATGGAAACTGAAACCAAAAAAGATACAATGGAGACAGAAAAAATAATTACCTGGAAATTAGCTTAACTAAAGAAGTGAAGATGTCTATAGTAAAAACTATAAAAAACTGATGAAAAAACTGAATAACAGTCAATAAAAATATTCCATGTTCATGGATTGGAAGAATTAGCATTGCTACAAAAATTTTATACAACTCAAAGCAATCTACAGATTTAATGGATTCTCTATCAAAATACCAATGTCATTCTCCACAGAAACAGAGAAAACAATCCTATAACTTATATGGAACCACAAAAGGCCCAGAATACCCAAAGCTACAGTAAGCATAAAGGCCAAAACTGGAGAAATCACATTACCTGACTTCAAATTATACTACAGAACTATAGTAACCAAAACAGCTTGGTACTTGCATAAATACAGACACATAGACCAATGAAATAGAATAGAGAACCCAGAAACAAATCCACATACCTACAGTTAACTCTGGGAAAAAACAATCTCTTCAATAAATGTTGCTAGAAAAACTGGGTATCTATATACAGAATAATAAACTAGACCCTTGTATTAGTCTGCTCTTACCCTGCTGATAAAGACAAATCTGAGACTGAGTAATTTATAAAGGAAAGAGATTTAATTGAATTACAGTTCCACATGGCTGGGGAGGCCTCACAATCATGGCAGAAAAGCAAGAGACAACTTACATGGCAGCAAGCAAGAGAAAAATGAGAACCAAGTGAAGAGAAAACCTCTTATAAAACTATCACATCTCCCAAGGCTTATTCACTACCATGAAGACAGTATGAGGGAAACCACCCCCTGATTCAATTATCTCCCACTGAGTACCTCCCAGAACATGTGGTATAATAAAGAGCCAAAATTCAAGATGACATTTGGGTGGGAACACAGCCAAACCATATCATTCTGTATCTGCCCCCTCCCAAATCTCATGTCCTTACATTTCAAAACCAATCGTGCCTTCACAAGAGTCCCACAAAGTCTTAACTCATTTCAGCATTAATTCAAAAGTCCATAGTACAAAGTCTCATCTTAGACAAGGCAAGTCCATTTTGCCTATGAGCCTGTAAAATCAAAAGCAAGTTAGTTACCCCTTAGATATACTGGGGACACAGGTATTGGGTAAATACAGCCATTCTGAATGGGAGAAATTGGCCAAAATGAAGGCATTAAAGGCCCCATGCAAGTTTGAAATCCAGTGGGGCAGTCAAGTCATAAAGCTCCAAAATGATCTCCTTCAACTCCATGTCTCACATCCAGGTCATGCTGATTCAAGAGGTGGGTTCCTGTGGTTTTGGGAAACTCTGTCTCTGTGTCTTTGCAGGGTACAGCCTCAGTCTCGGGTGTTTTCACAGGCTGGCATTTCTGCAGCTTTTGCAGGTGCATGGTAAAAGCTGTTGGTGGATCTACCATTCTGGGGCCTGGAAGATGGTGGCCCTCTTTTCACAGCTCCACTAAGCAGGGCCTCAGTGGGGACTCTGTGTGGAGACTTTAACTCCACATTTTCTTTCCACGCTGCCCTAGCCGAGGTTCTCCATGAGGGCCCTGCCCCTGCAGCAAACTTCTGCCTACACATCCAGGCATTTCCATACATTATCTGAAATCTAGGTGGAGTTTCCCAACCTCAATTTTTAACTTCTGTATACCCGCAGACTCAAAACCATGTGAAAGCTGCCAAGGCTTGGGGCTTGCACTGTCTGAAGCCACAGCCCTTGGCCCCTTTTAGCCATGGCTAGAGTGGCTTGGATGCAGAGCACCAAATCCTTAGGCTGCACACAGCAGGAATCCTTAGGCCCAGCCCACAAAACCATTTTTTTTCTCCTAGGCCTTGGCTCTGTGATGGAAGGGCCTGCTACAAAGGTCTCTGACATACCCTGGAGATATTTTCCCCATTGTCTTGGTGATTAACATTTGGCTCCACATTACTTATGCAAATTTCTGCAGCTGGTTTGAATTTCTTTTCGGAAATAGGGTTTTCTTTTCTATCGCATCATCAGGCTGCAAATTTTCTGAACTTTTATGCTCTGTTTCCTGTTTAAAACTGAATGCTTTTAACAGCACCCAAGTCACCTCTTGAATGCTTTACTGCTTAGAAATTTCTTCTGCCAGATACCCTAAATCATCTCTCTCAAGTTCAAAGTTCCACAAATCTCTAGGGAAGGGCCAAAATGCCACTAGTCTTTTGCTAAAACAGCAAGAGCCACCTTTACTCCAGTTCCCAACAAGTTCCTCATCTCCATCTGAGACCATCTCAGCCTGGATTTCATTGTCCATATCATTATCACCATTTAGGTCAAAGACATTCAACAAGTCTCTAGGAAGTTCCAAACTTTCCCACATTTTTCTGTCTTCTTCTGAGCCTTCCAAACTATTCCAGCCTCTGCCTGTTACCCAGTTCCAAAGTCACTTCCACATTTTCAGGTATCTTTACAGAAGCACCCCACTCCCACTACCAATTTACTGTATTAGCCTGTTCTTATGCTGCTAATAAAGACATACCTAAGACTGGGTAATTTATAAATGAGAGACTGACTCACAGTTCCACATGGCTTGGAAGGCCTTCAGAATCATAGTGGAAGAGCAAGGAATGTCTTACATGGCAGCAGGCAAGAGAAAAATGAGAGCCAAGTGAAAGCGAATATCCCTTATAAAACTGTCATATCAGGTGAGGCTTATTCACTACCATGAGAACAGTATAGGGGAAACTGCCCCCATGATTCAGTTATCTCCCACTGGGTCCCTCTCACAACATGTGGGAATTATGGGAGCTTCAATTCAAGATGAGATTTGGATGGGGACACAGCCATGCCATATCAACCCCTATCTCTCAAAATATATAGATCTAAAATAAAAATTGATGAAAGACTTAAATATAACACCTCAAACTATGAAACTACTACAAGAAAACATTGAGGAAAATCTCCAGGACCTTAGTCTGGGCAAAAATTTTTTGAACAGTAACCCACAAGCACAGGCAACCAAAACAAAAATAGAAAAATTGGATCACATCAAGTTAAAAAGCTTCTTCACAGCAAGGGATACAGTCAACAAAGTGAAGAGAAAATCCAGATAATGAGAGAAAATATTTACAAACTAACCATCTGACCAGGAATTAATAACCAGAATGTATAAGAAGCTCAAAAAAACTCTACAGAAACACATCCAAAAATCTGATCAAACAGTGGGCAAAAATTACAATAGACTTTTCTCAAAAGAAGGAATAAAAATGGCAAATGGGACCAGGAGTAATGGCACATGCCTGTAATCCCAGCACTCTGGGAGGGCAAGGCGGATGGATCACTTGAAGTCAGGAGTTTGAAAGCAGCCTGGCCAACATGATGAAACCCCATCTCTACTAAAAATACAAAAAATGAGTTGGGTGTGGTGGCACATGCCTGTAATTTCAGTTACTTGAGAAGCTGAGACAGAATAGCTTGAACCCAGAAGGCAGAGCTTTCAGTGAGCCGAGATCACACCATTGCACTCTAGCCTGGGTGACAGAGTGAGACTCCGTCTCAAAAAAACAAAAAAACAAAAAAAAAAGAAAGAAAAAAAAAACGACAAACAGGCATATGAAAAAGTGCTCAATGTAGTTGATCATCAGAGAACTGCAAGTCAAAACTACAATCAGATATTATCTCACCCCAGTTCAAATGACTTATATATAAAAGACAAGGAATAACAAATGTTGGTGAGGATTTAGAGAAAAGAGAATCCTCATACACTGTTGATGGGAATGTAAATTAGTACAACCACTATGGAGTACAGTTTCACAGCTCATCAAAATACTAAATGTAGAGCTACCATAAAATACAGCAATCTCATTGCTGGGTATATGCCCAAAAGAAAGAAAATCAGTATATTGATGAAGTATCTGTACTTCCATATTTGTTGCAGCACTGTTCACAAGAGCCAAGATTTGAAAGCAACCTCAATGTCCATCAATACATAAATAGATAAAGAAAGTGTGGCTTATATACACAATGGAGTATTATTCAGCCATAAAAGATGAGACCCTGTCATTTGCGACAACATTAATGAAACTGGAGATTATTAGGCAAGTGAAATAATCCAGGTACAAAGAGATATACATCACGCATTCTCACTTTTTTGGGGGACCTAAAAATCAAATCAATTACACTTGTAGAGAGTAGAAGGACGGTTAAAAGAGGCTGAAAAGGGTAGTGGGTTGTTGGGAAGAGGTGAGGTGGGGATGGATAATAGGTACAAAAAGTAGTTAGAAAGCACAAATAAGACCTACTACTTGATAGCACAACAAGGTTACTATAGTCAATAACTTAATTTTACATTTAAAAATAAAGAGTGTAACTGAATTGTTTATAATGCAAAGCATAAATGCTTGTGGTAATGGATACCCCATTCTCCATGATGTGTTTGTTTCTCATTGCATGCTTGTATCAAAACATCTGGTGTACCCCATAAATATATACACTTACTATGTACCCACAAAAATTAAAAAGAAAAGTAATTGACTAACCAAGGTCACCTAGATTTTTATTCCAATGTTATCTTCTAGTTTTACATTTTTGCATTTTATATGTAGGTCGATAATCCATTTTTAGTAAATTATGTAAAATGTGTAAAGTCTGTAAAGATTTTGTTTTTGGTTTGGTTTTGCTTTGTTTTGCATTTGGATACCCAGTTGTTTCAGCACCATTCATTGAAAATACTATCATTTTTCCTTTGAATTATCATTGTCAAAGGTCAGCCAACTATTTTAGTTTGGGTCTATTTCTAGGTTGTTTATTTTGTTCCAGTGATATGTCTACTCTTTTATCAGTACCAGAGTGTTGATTACTGTTGCTTTTTTGTAATTCTTTATGTTTGGTAGTGTTAGTCTTCTTTTTTTCTTAAATACTGTGTTAGATATTCTGTGTCTTTTTCTTTTCACATAAGCTAAAGAATCATCTTGTCAATAGCCATGAAATAACTGGCAGGGATTTCTAAATGTTTAGTTGTAGTCACAAACCTGTAAATTTTACCATCTTAATTATTTTATAAAGTTTAATAGTATTAAGTATATTTACATTGATTTGCAACAGTTTCTTAGACATTTTTCATCATGCAAAATTGCAACTCTATACCAATTGAACAACGAATCCCCATTTCCTTCTCCCCAAGTCCCAAGAAAATACTATTCTACTTTCTGTTTCTGTGAGATTGACAACTTTAGATACCTCTTATAAACAGAATCATGCAGTATTTTCTTTTTGTATTATCTTATTTCTTTTAACATAACGTTCTCAGTGTTCATTTGTGCTGTAACATGACAGAATTTTCTTTGTTTTAAGGCTGAATAATGTTTTATTGTAGGTATATACAAAATTTTATTTATCTATTAATCCATTGATGAACATTTGAGTTGCTTTCACCCCTTGGTTGTTGTGAATAATGGTGCAATTAGCATGGGTGTGCAAAGATCTTGCTTTAGATTTTTTTGTACATATTCCCAGAAGTGGAATTCTTGGATTATATGGTAATTCTATTTTTATGTTTTTGGGGAACCCTCATACTGTTTTTTTAATGTAAAATAGGTGTGGCATATTTCGTTCCCACCAATTGCACAAAGAGTTTCCAATTTCTCCATATCCTTTCCAACACTTGATATTTTCTATATATTTTTATGGTAGTGGTCGTCCCCATGAATATGAGAACGTATCTCATTGTGGTTTAATTTGCATTTGTCTAATGGTGTAATGTTGAGCATCTTTTCATATGCTTCTTTTGAAGAAATGTCTATTTAAGTTCTTTGCCATTTTTAATGGACTTGTTTGTTTTTGTTCTTGAGTTGTAGGTTTTTTTTATGTATTCCAGATATTACTCCTTATCAGAAGTATGATTTGCAAATATTTCCTTATATTTCATAGGTTGCCTTTTACTTCGTCAATTGTTTCTTTTAATGTATAAAGGTTTTTAAGTTTGATGTAGTTCCATTTGTCAATTTTTGCTCTTGTTGCCTGTGCTTTTGGGATCACATCCAAGAAATCATTGTCAATCCAATGTCATGAAGTTTTCTTCTCCACTGTCTTTTGTCTTCTAAGAGTTTTATGCTTTTAAATCTTAAATTCAAATTGTCAGTTCATTTTGAATTATTTATATATGGTATAAAGTAAGAGTTCTAATTCATTCTTTTGCATGTGGAAATCCAGCTTCCCCAGCACCATTTGTTGAATAAATTATCCTTTCTTCATTGCATTATCTTGACACTCTCATTGAACAACATTTGACCATATATGTGAGGGTGTATTTCTGGGCTCTCTATTCTGTACCCCTGGTCCATATGTCTGTCCTTATGCCAGTGCCACAGTATTTTGATTAATGTAGCTTTGTAATATGTTGTAAAATCAGGAAGTGTGAAGCTTCCAACTTTATTCTTCTTTCACAATATTATTTTGGCTATTTGGAGTGTCTTGCTGGAATTCTGAAAATCATTGTATAAAACTGATAGACTGTGTTGGGAAGGACTGACATCTTAACAAATTGAGTCTTCCTATTTATAAATAGAGACTATTTTTTCATTTCTTTAAATCTTCTTCAGTTTCTTTAATCAGAGGCTTATAGTTTTTCTTATATAGACCTTGTTCACATTCTGTTAAACATGTACCTATTTAATTTTTTGGTGCTAATGTATATGGTATTTTATTTTTCATTTCAAATTCCAATGCTCATTGATGGTATATATAAAAGCAATTGACCTTACTTTAATAGTTTATTAATTCCAAAGGTTGATTCTTTGGGATTTTCTTCATAAATAATCATATCATCTGTGAACAAATACAATTCCATTTTTTTTCTTTCCAAACAGTGTGTATTTTATTGGGGGAACCAGCCCCTAATATTTCAACGTGGATTCTTTTCTATTTTCCCTAAGTGTCGGCCAGTCTGAGAAATAAAGAGAAAGAGTACAAAGAGAGAAATTTTACAGCCGGGCCTCTGGGGGTGTCATCATATATTGGTAGGACTGTGAAGGCAACCCCAAGCCAAAAAACCAGCAAGTTTTTATTAGGGATTTTAAAAGGGGAAGGGGTGTACGAATAGGGAGTAGGTCCCAAGGATCACATGCTTTAAAGGGCAATAGAGATCACAAGGCAAGGCAAAATTAGAATTACTGATGAGGGTCTATGTCCTGCTGTGCACACATTGTCTTGATAAACATCTTAACAGGAAACAGGGCTCGAGAACAGACAACCGGTCTGACTAGAATTTACCAGGCTGGAATTTCCCAATCCTAGTAAGCCTGAGGGTACTGCAGGAGACCAGAGTGTATTTCAGTCCTTATCTTAACCACATAAGACAGACACTCCCAGAGTGGCCATCTATAGACCTACCCCCAGGAAGGCATTTCTTCCCCAGGGTCTCAATTATTAATATTCCTTTTCGGGAAAAGAATTCAGCGATATTTCTCCTACTCGCACGTCCGTTTATAGGATCCCTGCAAGAAGAAATATACGGCTGTATTGTGTCCGACCCCACAGGCAGTCAGACCTTATGGGTATCTTCCCTCATTCCCTGAAAATCACTGTAATTCTGTTCTTTTTCAGGGTGCACTGATTTCATATTGTTCAAACACATATATTTTACAATCAATTTGTATGATAGTGGTCCTGAGGTGACGTACATTCTCAGCTTACGAAGATAACAGGATTAAGAGATTAAAGACAGGCATAAGAAATTATAAGAGTATTGATTGGGGAAGTGATAAATGTCCATGAAATCTTCACAATTTATGTTCAGAGATTGCAGTAAAGACAGGCATAAAAAATTATAAAAGTATTAATTTTGGGAACTGATAAATGTCCATGAAATCTTTACAATTTATGTTCTTCTGCCTTGGCTCAAGCAGGTTTCTCCATTTGGGGTCCCTGATTTCCTGCAACAATATTTTATCTTCTTGTCTTATTATATCAGCTAGGAATTCTAGAATGATGTTGAATAGGGATGATGAAAGGGTACAGCCTTCTCTAGTTCACGAGTTTAACAACAAAGAATTTTATTTCTCACCATTAACAATGATGCTAGCCTCAGGGTTTTTGCAGCTATTTAAAGAATTATCAAGTAGAGGGAGTTGCCCTCTATTTCAAGTATACCAAAGGTTTTTATTGTGAATAGATGTTGATAGTATTTATATTTGAATCCTTGTGGTTTTACTTTGTTTTGTTGTTGTTGTTGTTTTTTACAATGTTTACCATGTAGTTAAAAAGATGTCTGGTATATTTTATACAGTGATTTTTAGTGTTAGTGGAAACAGATACTTGACATATCTACCAGATAATAAGGACCAAGAGGTATCTATGTTTTCTTTTTTCACCCTTATCTCTGTATCCCAAAACCCTATTTTTTAATTATTTCTATATTTACTTTTAATATATCACTTTACACTTATAGATCTCATGATCTTCAATATGTCTCATGTAGTGGCACCAACTCACCTTTAAAAATCACATTACCAAACTCTTTTCTTCGTAAATTAAGGTAGAAAAGTAACTCAATTTTAGGGAAATTTTAATTTCCTCTGTCCCAAAGCAGATAATCACCTAAATCTACATACAAGCTTCATGAAGAGATAGTATTTTTTAAATTATAATTTAATGTGTAAAACACCTATACTTTCCCCTGTATTATAGCCTTAATTTGCTATATAGTCATTTTATTTTTTCACTTTATTCTGAAATAGTAAATAAAATTATATATTCATATAGTACACATTATTTTTTATCTCAAAAGTTATGCAGTTTTTCAACTAAAATTCAAAATCCTCTTTATTATACTCTTCATTACTCTTGGTGAGTTATTCATGGAGCATAAAATGTCTGGCTTTGGTACCAGCAAACCTAGGTTTGAAATAATTCTACTCCAGGTTAAAAATTAAAATATTGTCTATACTATATGATTACTGCAATAATTAAATGAGATAACATATTGGACTCTGTCCAATATACCACTGTTCAGATAGTAGATGGTCAACAGATACTTATTTGGATTCTCTGCTTACAGACATCAGATCAATTTTGTTAACATAAATGGATCACATTTTATTTGTAACATATTCTTAACTAAATGAACAAATGACTCCATTTTACTTTTTTAATAATTTATTTGTATTAGAATATGACAAACAATACAAATATACAGCTTGATGAATTATCACAATGAACATACTCAGGTAAACACCCAAAATATTCAAGAAATAAAGCATTACCAGCAATTCAAAACTTGTCACTTTGCCATCTTATAATCACTATCTCTTACTTTGGCTTGAGATAACAGCTACCCTGTCTTCAATCCCCATAGATTAATTGTCTTGTTTTAAAGTTTACATCAATAGAATAAAATGTTATATAATGATTTGTCCCTCACTTCTCTCATTCACCATTATTTGTGAGATTCCACCTAGTTGTTGAGTACAGCAGTAGCTTGCTCATAGTCATTCATCTATAGTACTCTGTTCTATGAATATGTCACATTTTAAAAAATTAATTATACTATTGATGTGCATTTTGATTGTTTCTAGTATTAAGCTATGAATATTTACATATATTTTTATGGAGCTATGTATGAATTTCTGTTGGTTACATACCTAGGTGTAGAACTTCAGGACTGTAGAATACATATGAATTTAACTTTATATATACTGAGAAAATGGTCCCTAATGTGGTTGTACCAATTTAGAAAACCTTCAAAGGGTTTGAGAATTCCAGTTGTACCATCTTCTGATCAACATTTATTTTCAGGATTTTAAATTTTATCTCTAATAATGCATACTTATTGATTAATGTTGAATAATAAACTAAATATCTTTTATTTATTTTCATTATACTTTAAGTTCTGTATTACATGTGCAGAAGTGCAGTTTTGTTACATAGGTATACACGTACCATGGTGGTTTGCTGCACCCATCAACTCGTCACCTACGTTAGGTTTTTCTCCTAATGTTATCCCGCCCCTAGCCCCCCACCCCCTGACAGGCCCAGGTGTGTGATGTTCCTCTCCCTGTGTCCATGTGTTCTCATTGTTCAACTCCCACTTATGAGTGAGAATATGCGGTGTTTGGTTTTCTGATCTTGTGATAGTTTGCTGACAATTATGCTTTCCAGCTTCATCCATGTCCCTGCAAAGGACGTGAACTCATCCTTTTGTATGTCTTCATGGTATTCCATGGTGTATATGTGCCACATTTTCTTAATCCAGTCTATCATTGATGAACATTTGGGTTGGTTTCAAGTCTTTGCTATTGTGAATAGTGCCGCAATAAACATACATGTGCATGTGTCTTTATCGTAGAATGACTTATAATCCTTTGGGTATATGCCCAGTAATGGGATTGCTGAATACTTTTTTATATGTTTAGTGGAAACACAGATATCTTCCTTTATGAGGTGATTGTTTAGGTATTTTGCCTCTTTAAAAAAATTGCTTGTCTCTTGCTTATTGATTAGAAGGAATTTTTTTCTATATACATATTCATTCTTTATTAGTCCTTTTTAAATATAGAATATATATATTTATATAGTTAATGAATATTTTATATAGATGTAAAAATAGAAATATATATTTATTTAGATAGAAACATAGATATACAGGAAGATAGATTTATGGATGTAGTCTCTCCCTATGCCTTCGCTTTTTTTTTTTTAATTTTTTTTTTTTGAGACAATGTCTCACTCTGTTGCCCATGCCTTCCTGGCTCAAGTGATCCTCGCACCTCAACTTCCCAAGTAGGTGGAACTTCAGGCACATGCCACCCAGCCAAGCAAATTTGTGTGTGTGTGTGTGTGTGTGTGTGTGTGTTTTTATTTATTTTTATTTTTTTATTTTTTAGAGACTGGGTTTTGCTGTGTTGTCTAGGCTGGTCCCAAACTCCTGGGCTCAGGGGATCCATCCACCTCAGCCCCACATAGTGCTGCGATTATAGGCATGAGCCACTGCACCCAGCCCCTAATCTTTTTCATTTTTCACTCTTTATTAATGTCTTTGATGAACAAGGTTTTTCATTTTAATTTGGTTCAATGTATTATTATTTTCCCTTGATGATTAATGTGTTCGTATGCAGTTTTAGAAAGTTTTTTCTCATCTGTAGTCATGAAGAGAGAATCTTATGTTATCATCTATAAGCTACTCATTTAATCTTTCACATTTATATCTAGAATTTATTTTTGTGTGTGGTCTAAGATAGAGGTAAAAACATTATCCATATGAGTATCCAGTTTACTCAGCATCATTTAATGCACAGATTCTTTTCTCCATTGCTTTGAAATGTCACTTTTGTTATCTATATATTTGTGAGTTTCTGGACTCCTGGTTCATTTTTGTGTGTGTGTCTGTTCTTGCAAATTTAGCACTTTGTTTCAATCACAAGAGCTTTTTAAATGTCTCAACTCCTAGTAATATTAGACTTCTCACATTGTTCTCTGAGATTACCGCAGTTACACTGGTTTTATATACATTTTCATATAAAGTTTATCAATAGCTTGTCAATTTCTGAAAAGAAAACAAAACTGAAATTTTTATTTGTATACCATTGAATATATAAATCAATTTGGGTATAATTGAAATTTTTAAATTCAGTGTAACTCCATGTAAGGCCACATTCTGCTTACTTAAGTCTCCTCAGTTTCTCTCAATAATGTTTTATATTGTTTAAGGTACAGGGCTTACAAATCTCTCCTTAGAATAATTTCTAAGAATTAAGTGTTTTTACAATTACTCAAAGAGTTATCGTAGTTTAGTATTATTTTATAATTGTTGCTGATATATAAACATAAAATTTATTTTTATATAATTCTAGTATTCAATAATCTTGCTTGATTCATTTATTAATTGTCATAGTTTATCTGTAGATTTTTCTGGATTCTGTACTTACATAATTTTTTTCTTTGTGAATAATTGCACCTTTTTTTTTTTAAATCTCAAGCTAATATTTTTATTTGTTTGTTTGTTTTTATTACCTGTTTTACTTGCTAGGACACTGAGTATTATGTTAAATAGGTGTGGTGATAATGGGTGTTCTTGTCCTAAAGAAGATTCCTTCAAACTTTATCTTGCTAAAAAATTTTTATTTTTAATAATTGCTGGGTATTCTTGTCTTTGGATAATTACGAATGTAATTATATAGATTTTATTTTTTTCTTTATTTATTAAATCAATCATGCTTCTTTAAAAATAAACCAATTTTCTTTTTTTGGGGGGTAGGTTTCTTGTATTATTACTGAATTTAATTGGCTAATATTTGCTTAAATTGTTTGTATCAATGCTTATGACAGAGACTGTCCTATAATTTTTTTCCCATAGTATCCTCATCAAGTTTTAATACCAAGTTTATTCTATATTTTATATCTTATAAAACAAATTGAGAATTTGTTCTAATTTGTTTGTTTTTGTGTGTGTTTCCTAATCTTTGGAGATGTTTGTATAAGATTGTGAGGGCCTACGGTTTGCTTTATGGGAAGGTTTTTAACAAAAGAGTCTTATAGTTTTTTCATTATTTTCTTAGTAATTTTTTTTAAAATTATCAATTTTAGTATTCACAAAAAACAATTTTTTTCTTTCTTAAATATTCTATTGTACTTTCACTTTCTGTTTAATTGATATATGATATTAACTTTAACATTTTATTCTTCTACTTTCTTCGAGTTTAATTTTATATTATTTTAACTTGCTTAGATAGAGATCCAGATAATTGATTTTCAAACATTAGTGATATACATCTCTCTGAGCACTGATTTAGCTGCATTATAAGTTTTGATATACTAGTTTTTCACTATTAATCAGTTCAAATTATTTTCTAATATTTATTGAGGTTTTTTTCTTTGCACCATGATTATTTAGAAGTATATTTTGTTTATTTCCTAACATACAAGAATTTTCTACTTATATATTTTTTATCTACATCTATCTTAATTGCATGGAAATATGAAAATACACTGTATTATTTAATTTTAAGAAGCTGTGGACAATTTGACTTTAATCTAGCATATGGTAAATTTTAATCAATGTTTCAAGTTCAAATGTTCCACATTGAAAAACTTATGTATTATTCAACTGATTAATACTGTATTTCATATAGGGCAAATATCAAGTGTGTGAACTGTATTCTTCTACATCCCACCCTTTTTTTTTTCTGCTTGTTGTATTAATTACCAAGAGAAATGTGGTAAAATCTCACACTGAAATTATAAATTTTAATTTTTCTTTTGATTTTCGTACGTTTTGCTTTAAAATTTTTACACTATATCTGTAGCTGAATATAACTTTTGAATTGCTGTATCTTTGAAAGATTGAAACATTTATTATTATTAAATCTTTTTTATATCCATATAATGATATTTTCTTAGATTACACCTTGTATATATATCCATGTAAGTAAATCTACTGCTTCCTTCAGTTAGCAATTCTATGGTATATCATTTTCAACCCTGTTGACATTTTTGTTTCCTTATATTTAATGCACCTTTTCTTTGAGTAGCATATATTTCTATTTTTTATTCGATTTTACAGGGTTTGCTTTTTAATTGAAGTATTTATTTCTTTTATATTTAATATAATTATTTATATATGTGGCATATACATACCATCTTAATACTTCATTTCTATTTGTATCATCTGTTTTATGGTTTTCTAAAAATCTTTTTTTGCTTTCTTTTATATTAGATATATCTTTAATATCTCATTTTTTCTCTCTATTACCTTTGTAATTACATACTTTTTAACTTGATTTTATTAGATGCTCAAGATATTACAACATATATTCTTGTTAATAAATTCTAATGATCTCAGAAGTTGTACTATTTCCCAAGTAACACAAGGACTTTAGAACAATTAAGTCCTATTACCCCACTCCCTCATTTGGGAATTGTTACATATTTTTATTTTATTTCATTTTTAAAATTTTTCGTTATTTTCATAGGTTATTGGTGAACAGGTGGTGTTTAGTTACATGAGTAATTCTTTTGGTGGTGATTTGTGAGATTTTGGTGCACCCATCACCCTAGCAGTATACGCTGCAACCAATTTGTGGTCTTTTATCCTTCACCCTCTTCCCACCCTTTCCCCCTGAGTCCTCAAAGTCCATTGTGCCTTTCTTATGCCTTTGCATCCTCATAGCTTAGCTCCCACATATGAGTGAGAACATACGATGTTTGGTTTCCATTCCTGAGTTACTTTGCTTAGAATAATGGTCTTCAATCTTATCCAGGTCACTGCCCATGCTCATGGATAGGTAAAAACAATATTGTGAAAATGACCATACTGCCAAAAGCAAACTACAAATTCAATGCAATTTCCATTAAAACACAACTATCATTCTTCACAGAAATAGAAAAAAAAATTCTAAAATTTATATGAAACCAAAAAAGAGTCTTCACAGCCAAAGCAAGACTAAACAAAAAGAACAAATCAAGAGGCATCACATTACCTGATTTCAAACTATACTATAAGGCCATAGTCACCAAAGCAGCATGGTACTGGCATAAAAGTAGGCACATAGACTAATGGAACAGAATAGAGAACCCAGAAATAAACGCTAATACTTAACAGCCAAATGATCTTTGACAAAGCAATCAAAAACATATAATGGGAAAAGACACCCTATTCAACAAATGGTGCTGGGATAATTGGCTAGCCACATGTAGGAGAATGAAACTGGATCCTCATCTCTCACCTTATACAAAAATCAACTCAAGATAGATCAAGGACTTAAATCTAAGACCTGAAACTATAAAAATTATAGAAGACAACATTGGAAAACCCTTCTAGACATTGGCATAGGCAAGGATTTCATGACAAAGAACCCAAAAGCAAATGAAATAAAAACAAAGATAAATAGCTGAGGCTTAATTAAACTAAAGAGCTTTTGCACGGTAAAAGGAAGAGTCAGCGGAGTAAACAGACAAACCACAGAGTGGGAGAAAATCTTCACAATCTATACATCTGACAAAGGACTAATATCCGGAATCTTCAACAAGCTCAAACAAATTAGCAAGAAATAAACAAACAATCCCATCAAAAAGTGGGCTAAGGACATGAATAGACAATTCTCAAAAGAGGATATACAAATGGCGAACAAACATATGAAAAATTGCTCAACATTGCTAATGATTAGGGAAATGCAAATCAAAACCACAATGCAATATTACCTTACTCTTGCAAGAATGGCCATAATAAAAAAATCAAAAGATAATAAGTGTTAGCATGGATGTGTTTAACAGGGATGTGGTTAACTTCTGCACTGCTGGTGGCAATGTAAACTAGTACAACCACTATGGAAAACAGTGTGGAGATTCCTTAAACAACTAAAAGCAGATCTACCATTTGATCAAGCAATCCCACTACTGGGTATCTACCCAGAGGAAAACAAGTCATTATATGAAAAAGATACTTGCGCACACATGTTTATAGCAGCACAATTTACAATTGCAAAAACATGGAACCAACCCAAATGCCCATCAATCAACGAGTGGATAAAGAAACTGGTATATATATATATAATATGTATGCATATATGTGTGTATATATATATGTATACATATAATATATATGTATATATATGTTGTGTATATAGATGCATACATATATGTATATATGTGTATATATATTATATATACATATATATTATATATACACATATATATTATATATATACATATATATTATATATACACATATATATTATATATACATATATATTATATATACACATATATATTATATATACACATATATTATATATACACATATATATTATATATACATATATATTATATATACACATATATTATATATACATATATATTATATATACACATATATATACATATATATTATATATACACATATATATTATATATACATATATATTATATATACACATATAATATATACATATATATTATATATACACATATATATTATATATACATATATATTATATATATAGACACATATATATATATTATATATGTATACTCAGTAGTATTCCATCTGGCTTAGGCAAGGATTTCATGACCAATAACCCAAAAGCAAACGATATATATATATATTATGGAATACTACTGAGCCATAAAAAAGAATGAATTAATGGCATAGTTTTATTTTAAAACTCACAACACACCATCACCATCATCATCACCATTATTGTTTTATAAGTCAATTTTTATTTGGTGTTATTCACTTGTATTCGTTTGCTAGGGCTGCCATAAGAAAATACCTCAGAGTGGATGGCTTAAAAAGCAAAAATTTATTTTCTCACAATTCTGGAGCTGAAAATCCAAGATCAAAATTTTGTCAGCTTTGATTTCTTCTGAAACCCCTCTCTTTTGCTTGTAGATAGCCATCTTCTTACTATGTCCTCACATGGTCATCTCTTGGTATTTTCTGTCCTAACCTTTTCTCTTTATAAGTGTACCAGTTATAGTGGACTCAGACCCAACCAAAGAACCTCTATTTCACTTCAATGTCTCTTTAAAGTTTCTCTCTTTAAATATAGTCCAATTTTAAGGGACAGAAAATTTGGGATTTAATGTATAAATGTTCAGAGGACACAATACAGCTTATAAGATTATATACTTATGTTTGCGCGTGGTGGCTGTCACCTGTAATCCCAACACTTTGGGACGCTGAGGCGGAAGAATTTCTTGAGGCCAGGAGTTCAAGATTACTCTGGAGAATATAGCAAGACCAGGTCTCCATAAAAATTTTTTAAAAATTGTCTGAGTGTGGTGATGCATGCTTGTAGACCTAGCTACTCAGGAAGCTGAGGCAAGAGGATCGCTGGAACCCAGGAGTTTGAGGCTGCAGTGAGCTATGATTGCACCACTGCACTCTAGCCTGGGTGACAGAGTGAGTCTCCATCTCTTAGAAAAAAGTATACATTCTTACTATTTTAATTATTCTTCCTTTATTCTGTTTCTTCATGCTTTCACCTGGGATTATTTTTCTTTTGCCTAAAGAATTGCTTTTAGTATGTATTTAATGTAAGTCTGCTGCCATTGAATTAGCTCAGTTTTTGTAGATTAGAAACATCTTTATTTTCTCTCCAGTTTTTAAATGGACTTTATTTTTTCAATAATTTAGAAAAATAATTTTAGGTTTACAGCAAAATTAACAGAAGGTATAGTAATTTCACATATATCACCTGCCTCCACACAGACATACATTCTTTCGCTAATATCCCCATCCTACATCAAAGTGACACATTTACTACACTAAATGAACTTACATCGACCCACCATTATGTGCAAGTCCATAGTTTACATTCAAATTCATTCCGATATTGTATATTCTATTGGTTTTGACAAATGTATAATGACATGTGTTTACCATTATAGTATCATATAGAAAAGTTTAATTATGATAAAGTTTTTCTTCGTTCTGCTAATCCATCTCTATCTCTTCTCTAATTCCTGGCAACCAGTGATTCTTTTACTGTCTCCATAAGTTTGCCTTTTTCAAAATGTCACATAGTTAGGCCGGGCGCTGTGGCTCACGCCTGTAATCCCAGCACTTTGGGAGGCCGAGGTGGGCGGATCAAGAGGTCAGGAGATCGAGACCATCCTGGCTAACACGGTGAAACCTCATCTCTAGTAAAAATACAAAAAAATTAGCCAGGCGTGGTGGCGGGCGCCTGTAGTCCCAGCTACTTGGGAGGCTGAGGTAGGAGAATGGCGTGAACCCGGGAGGCAGAGCTTGCAGTGAGCCGAGGTCGCACCACTGTACTCCAGCCTGGGCGAAAGAGCGAGACTCCGTCTCAAAAAAAAAAAAAAAAAAAAAAAAAAAAAAAAAAAAAAGTCACATCGTTAGAAACATAAAGTATGAAGTGATTTTAAATGAGCTTCTTTCACTTAGTAATGTACATTTGAGGTTCCTCCATGTTTTTCCATGGTTCAATAACTTATTTATTTTAGCTCTGAGTAATATTATATTGGCCAAATGTACCACGGTTTGTTTATCTCTTCACCTAAAGACATCTTGGTGATTTCAGGTTTTCATAATTATTAGTAAGGCTGCTATCTATGTGAAGGTTTTGTATGACATAAGTTTTAAACTCATTTTAATAAATTCTAGCAAACGTGGTTGCTGAATTATATGGTAAAAGTATATTTAGTTTTGTAAGGAACTGCTGAACAGGGCCTGATGCAGTGGCCCATTCCTGTAATCTCAGCACTTTAGAAGGTGGAAGCAGGAGAGTCACTTGCAGGTAGGAGTTTAAGACAAGCTGAGCAATGTAGCAAGACCTAGTTTCTACCAAAAATAAATAAATGAATATAAAAATCTGCAAAATTGTCTTTCACAGTGGCTAGACCATTTTGCATTCTCATCTACAATAAATAATATTCACTGTTACTCTATATCCTCAACAGCATGTGGCATAGTCAGTATTAAATTTTTGCCACTCTAATAGGTGTGTAGTGTTATCTCATTGTTATAATTGCAATTCCATAATGACATATAATGTTGAGCATAAGTGCATATACTTACTTTTTATCTGTACATTTTCTGTAGGATTTTTTGTTTAAATCTTTTACACATTTTTAATTGGGTTGTTTATTTTCTTATTGTTGAGCTTTTAGTAGTCCTTGTACAATTTAGGTAACAGCTCTTTATCAGATACGTATTTTGCAAATATTTCTCACAATCTGTGCCTTGGTTTTTTGATCTACTGATAGTGCCTTTTGCAGAGACTAAACTTTTAATTTTAATAAAGTGTAGCTTATTAATTTTGTTATCAACCATGCCTTTGATACTGTATCTAAAAATTTATAGCTATAACCAAAGTCATCTAGATTTTCTCTTATATTATCTTCTAGGCATTTTGTAGTTTTAAAATTAAGACTATAATTAATTTTGAGTTAATTTTTATGAAGGCTGTAAAATTTGTGTCTAGACTAATTTTTCTGCATGTGATTGTCCAGTTGTCCTAGCACCATTTGTTAAAAAAACTATCTTTTTAAAATTTGAATTGCCCTTTATATTTTATTATAGAGCAGCTGGATATATTCATGTAGTTCTATTTCTGGAATCCTTATTCTGTACCATTGATTTATGTATCTATTCTTTTACAAATAGCACACTATCTTAATTACTGTAGCTTTGTACTCAGTCTTGAAGCTGAGTAGGGTCAGTACTCTGACCTTTTTTTCTTCAATATTGTGTTTTCTATCCTGGATCTTCTGTATTTCCATGTAAATTGCAGAAGCAGTTTGTAAATATCCACAAAATAATTTACTGAACATTTCATTGAGATTGTATGGAATCTATAGCGTGGGTTGGGAACAACTGACATCTTGACAACATTGAGTCTTCCTTTCCAGGAACATGGACTATCTCTTCACTAACTCATTATTTAATTTCTTTTATTAGAGTTTTGTAGCTATTCTTATGTAGATCTTGTACATATTTTCCTAGACGCACAACTAAGTATTTGATTTTGGGATGCTAATGTAAATGTATTATTTTTAAATTTTGTATTTCATAGTTGTATTGCTAATATATAGAAAAGGGATTGACTTTTGTATATTAAACTTGCATTCTACAAATATGTCAAAGTAGTTTATTAGTTACAGGAGATTTTATGTCAGTTCTTTTGTGTATTCTACATAGAAAATTATGTTATTTGAGAACAAATAGTATTCTATTTCTTTCTGTCCATTTGGTCTATATTTTCTTTTTCTTGTCTTATTACATTAGCTAGAACTCCAAGGATAATGTTGAAAAGGAGTGATGAGAGGAGGTGTCTCATCACTTGCCTTGTATTTTACCTTAGTAAGAAGCTTGTATTTTATCCATATTAAGTATTGATGCTAGGTATAGTTTTTTTGTAGTTGTTCTTTATCTATTTGAGGAAGTTCCTCACTATTCCCAGAATGCTGGTGTTGGATTTTGTTAATTTTTTTTTCCTGAATCTACAAATACAATTGCATATTTTTTTCATTAGCCTGTTGATGTAATCCATTAAATTAATGGGTTGCCAAATGTAGAACCAGCCTTTAATACCTGTTACAAATTCCACTTGATTGTGGTATATAATTATTTGTAAAAAGTATTATTCTCAATTTTCTAATATTTTATTAAGAATTTTTGTATCTGTATTTACAGGAGATATTGAGCTTCTTGTGAAGTCTATATATAAATTTGGTATCATGTTAATGCTGATATTACAATGAGTTAGGAAGTATTCCCTCTGCTTCAGTCTTATGGATGGGATTGTAGAGAATTGGTATAATTTCTTCCTTGAATGTTTGGTAAATTTCACTAATGAAGTTATCTGGGCCTGGGGTTTTCAGTTTTGGAATGCCATAAATTATGTATGTAATTTTCTCAATATATACAGGCCTACTCAGATACTCTATTTCTTTTTCTGTGAATTTTGGCAGATTGTGCCTTTCAAAGAATAGGTCCATTTCGTTGATGCCAAATATCACATATTTGGGCATAGTGTTCTTTATAATATTCTTTTGTTATCCTTTTAACATACATGAAAACTGTTGTGATATCCTCTTTCATTTTTGATATTAGTAATTTGCATTTTATTTTTTTTTGTTAGCCTGGATGGAGTTTTATTGATTTTATTGATCTGTTTAAGGAACAAGCTATTGGTTTCATCGATTCTCTCTATTGATTTCCTGTTTTCAATGTTATTGATTTGTACTCTAATTTGTATTCATTTACTTTCGTTACTTCATATTTAATTAGCTCCTTTTTTATTTTCCTAAGATAAAAGCTTAGATTATTGATTTTAGATATTTATTCCTTTGTAATATAAATATTCAATGATATAATTTTTCCTCTAAGCACTGCTTTTGCTGCATCCCATGCATTTTGATAAAATTATTTTTATTTTAATTTAGTTTAAAATATTCTTTAATTTTTTGAGATTTCTTCTTTGTTCCATTTGTTATTATTTAGAAATGTGTTGTTAATCTCCAAGTATGTTTGGATTTTCCAGGTGAATGCATATGTCTAATCTCATCAATCGTATACATTAAATATGCACAGCTTTTTTATATATTAAATTTACCTCAATACCTTAACAAAGTTGTTTTTTAAAAAAATTGTTAGAGTGGATCAAATAAAATTGAATTATATGTTGTCTACTCTATTGATTTCTGTTAATGATTTCTAGTTTAATTCCACTGTGGTCTAAGAGCACCCATTATAGGGTATTTATTATTTTAAATTTGTGAAGGTGTGTTTTATGACCCACAATGTGGCCAACCTTTCTGAATGTTCCATGTGAGTTCGAGAAGAATGTATAATATGCAGCTATTGGATGAAGCAGTCTATAGATGTCAATTACATATAATTGATAGCATGTTCTGTTGAGTTTATTTTATTGATTTTATACCAGGTGAATCTTTCCATTTCTGATAAAGGCATATTAAAGTCTTCAAGTATAATTGTAAATTCCTATCTTTCTTCTTGCAGTTTTGTAAGTTTTTTGCATTATTTATTTTGACACTTTGCTATTAGATGCCCTATAAAGATTACTATGTCTTCTTGGAGAATTGTTCTCTTTACCATTATGTAATTCTTTTATTTTCTCCTAATAACATTCCTTGTTCTGAAGTCTGCTCTGCCTAAAATTAATATAGCTATTTCTACTTTTTGATTAGCAGTAGCATGATATTTCTCCATCAATTTATGTTTAATATGTCTTCATACTTAAAATGATTTTCTTGTAGACAACATACAATTGTCTTAATTTTTGACATACTTTATCATTTTCATTTTGTAAACATTTTTATTGAAATGTATTTGATATATAAATACAACAGCATGTATTTAATGTATACAATTGAATGAATTTAGACATATGCATACATCTTTGATAGCATTACCACAATAAAGGTTATTTTATATATATATATTTATATATATAATATATATATATATATATAAATATATATAACCTCTAAAAGTTTATTTGTATCTTCTTTTTGTAGTAAGAACCCTTAACATAGTATCTGGCCTCTCAACACATTTTTAAGTGCAAAATGCCTTATTGTTATTGATGATATGCACTATGTTGTAGAGTAGATCTATAGAACTTATTTGTCTTGCATAAGTGGAACTTTACACCCATTAAAAAGGAACTAACTCCCTTTTTCTCCCTTCCCGCAACCCCTAACAAACAACATTTTATTATGTTTGCATGAATTTGATTATTTCAGATAGTTCAAATAAATAGAATCATATAAAGCTGGCTTATTTTACTTATTAGCATAATGTACTCACAATTTATCCACATTGATGGAAATAGTAGAATTTCTTTTCTTTTGAGACTAAAAATATTATATTGTATGTATATACATTTTTTATTTATCTGTCAGTAGAAATATAGGTTGTTTTTATATTCAAATATCATAAACAATGCTACAATCAATAAAAATGCTTAAGAATATATTTGTCAGGTGATATAGTTTAGATATTTATTCCTTGCAAATCTCATGTTGAAATTTGACCCCTCAATGTTAGAGGTAGGGCCTATGGGGAGGTATCTGGGTCATGGGTTGAATCTCTCATGAATGGCTTGGTGCCATCTATGGTAATAAATAAGTTCTCACTTTATTAATTCCTGTGAGATCTGATTGTTAAAAAGAGCCTGGCACCTTTCTTTCTCTAACTCTTGTTTCTTTTCTCTCAGTGTAACACTCCTGCTCCACCTTCACCTTCTGCCCTGATTGGAAGTTTCTTGAGGTTTTCACCAGAAGCAGATGGTGATTCTATGTATCTTTTACAGCCTAAAAATCTTGAGCCAAATAAATAACTTTCCTTTGTAAATTACCCAGCCTCAGGTGTACCTTTATAGTATCACAAATAGATAGCACAAATAGAATAATACTTCAGGTATAGAGTTATTGGTTGGAAGTTTGCTTTTTGTCTTTTGACACTTTGAGTATCTCATCTCACTGTTTTCTGGGCTCCAATGTTTATGTTTAAAAAATTACTGATACTATTAGAGGGACATCCTTGTATGTAATCAGTCACTTTTCTTTTGCTGCTTTCATAATTCTCTCTTTGTCCTTGACTTTTGACAACTTGATTATATGGTATCTTGGTGAACAGTTCTTAATATTCAACCTATTGGGATTCTTTGGGCTTAATGGATATCAGTGCTCATTTACCTTCTCAGACTTGGGATTTTTTCTGTCAATATATAGTAAACTAGCTTAAACTGGCTTGCTTGTTTGCTTGCTTTTTTGTTTTTGTTTTTGTTTTTTTTTGAGATGGAGTCTTGCTGTTTCGCTAAGGATGGATTGCAGTGGCATGATCTCGACTCATTGCAACCTCCACCTCCCTGGTTCAAGTGATTCTCCTGCCTCAGCCTCCTGAGTAGCTGGGATTACAGGCGTGCATCACCACGCCCGACTAATTTTTGTATTTTTAGTAGAGACAGAGTTTCACCATGTTGAACAGGCTGGGCTCAAACTCCTGACCGCAACCTCAAGTGATCCACCCCCTTCAGCCTCCCGAAGTGCTGGGATTACAAGTGTGATCCACTGTGACTGGCCTAAAATAGCTTTCTTTCTCTTTCTTTTTCTCTGCTCCTTTTTAGACTCCCATGATTTAAGTATTGGTTTTCTTGATGATATCTCATAAATCCCATGAGTTTTCATCTCTATTGTTTACTCTTTCTTTTCTAATTCTGAATGGATAACTTCATATAATCTGTCTGCAATTTGCTGATACTTTATTCTAATTCAACTAGTTTGCTTTTCAAGCTCTCTATTAAATTTTTTATTTCACATAATATTTGCTATAGCTCCAGAAATTTTTGGTTCTTTTTCAGGTTTCTCTCTCTTTTTTAAACTTGTAATTTTATTAATGTATTATTTTGCTGATATTATTTAATTTTCTGTATTCTTTTGTGCCTCACTGAGCTTCAAGACAATTATTTTGAACTCTCCATCATATATTTTACAGACCTCCATTTCTTTGCGATTATCCACTTGAGTTTTATTTTACACCTTTGATCGTGTCTTATTTCCTTAATCATTTATGTTTCCGGAAAACTTGCATTGCTATATTTGCATTTGAAGAAGCATTCACCTTCTCTATTCTTTACTGAATGACTTTGGAGTAAAAGACCTTCACCAGTCAACTTGGTTAGAAATTCTGAGGGTATCTCAGATTTTTTTTTTCTTTATAATGGATGCACCTACTCCACTCCTCTTATTTCGTCTTAGGGAGAAGTCTTAGAATCACGTACCTTCTCTGTATTACAAGAAGCTATACCTGATGCTGAGTTTTTATTTTATTTTATTTAGGACAGTACCATAAAATATTCAGTGTTGTGTGCTTTCTCCCAATCAAGCTGAATCAAGACGGCTGCAAAATTCTGCACCTGTTGTTAATATCCATATGCTATCGATGGGATATTCCATATACCATCTGTGGAATACACAGGGTGTCTTAACAGGGAAAGCACAGGTGGCATGCAGGGTGCTGTGGGTGCTTGTTAGCTTACAGAGGGGTCTGCAGGTGAGTTGTTTCGTAGGGTTTATGGGCAGACCTTTGGTGAAACCCACAAGCTGCTTAGCAAGAACCACAGCCAGCTGTTGAGATGTATGTGCAGGTTGCTGTGAGTTCCTACCCCTAACTCATTCCAGATAATTCAGCTGTGCTGATTTCCTTATTGATCTGAGTGAGATGAGACAGAAGTAGCCTCTAAGCAGCATCTTTCAAGACTGGAAAAGCTGAGTGGTCATTTTTCTCTCACTTTCCCCTACAGGAGAATTTGCAGGCTAAGGAAGGCATATTTCAGCACTAAGTTGCCCCACCCTGGAAATGGGGTGACATAAAGTAAAATTGCTCTTTACCATATCTCATGAGTTCATTATCAGACTTTTTTCTCCACTGGGGTGCTGACATTTCACAGCTGAACTATATATTACTCAAAAAGTTATACTTGTCTTTGGGTAGTTTCCAAAATCAGTGTTTTTATGGGCTGATGAGGGCTGGAACGTCCTATAACACAATATTGCCGACATTCTATTACTATGTATTTTATATTTACTATTATATTATGGAATACCTTTAGATATCCTTATTTACCTAGTTTCTCATTTTGGGGTGTCGCTTCAAAAATGTGTTTCTACCCGGTGACTTTTATAAAACAATATTTTAAAAGGTACTATCAATTCAGATTTTTCTATTATTTTCTCCTCTGTTATACCTTTCACATAAAATTTTAATTATACTATTAGTGGGAAGTGCATATCCTTATTGAAAAAGATATTAAGCAATCTATAATCAAGTTTCTCCATTAATTATCATTAAAAATTATTAGTACAGACATAAATTTTCAATTAATGCTCTTTTATAAATATGTTTTGTAATAATAAATTATTTAATAATAAAATATAAATAATTTATATTTTCCAAGGTTTTGCATACCTCTTGCAGGCTATTCTCCCATCTGTTAGATATTTTATTTACATATTTTAACATAAACACAAGCATTAGATGAACATGATTTGATCAACAAAATTAATATGAATACATTCTGTAAATGCATGTCATAAAGTATAAAAAGTTTGTACAGTAGTAATAGAGAACGTTATACTTTAAAATGAAGCTGAATTATACAAAATGTGATCTAATAACATATCCAATTATGTCATATGTGGATCATATACCTCATTAGCTAATTTAATACACACACACAACTTGTTAATGATGATGGAAAATAGTTGCTAAAACACATTAGCTCTTTCAAAACATGAACACAATAGTTAACACATGTGGGCAACCACTTTGTAAATAATCAGCAAAATTCCCAAGAGCACAATTAGCTTTTTTACACAATTGAAGTTGTGTAATATGGGCTTTAAAAAGTTCTTAAGCACCCTCTTTCTTTTTGTTTTACACAGTCATTTATTAGATGTTTATTGAAATTAAATTGAACAGATTGCTTAATATTAGGAAAAGCTCCATTAATTTGTCTATCAATATATTTGCTTATTTTAATATATCAGTAGCATGACATGAGGACCCCTGGGCAGAATCTTTAATAGTTTCCCACCTGGATTAGTTAAATACTTCAACTAGAAGGTACATCAATCATATAATTACAATAACTTTAATTAAAAATAAAAAAGTTATGGTATCTAAATGTATGATATAACCAATTATTTTTGATGTCAAAGTCTCCAATTATGATTTGTTTTATTTTTTATCAAGTGAAAAAAGTAATAGTAGCATAATTACTTTAAATAGCAATTATTTCTATTTTCAAGTTTACTTTTAAACCATTTGTGATTTTGAATTTACATTTTAATTAATTTGTACTTTTAATTTGCTTCCCAGATGCTTTCATTTATTGCTAAAGGTATATTTATTTTACATGTTAATTCACAGATAATTAAACTAAAGAAAGAGTAAAATATCTTACATGACTGTTTAACTTCATAGATTTGTCTTGGATGCAGTGTTTTAGAGATTAAGAACAGTTTATTTTTCTTTTTTTTTTCAGAGCAATAACCAATTAAAATGTCACACACAAATTGTAGCTGATGGGCTATTTGGATTTCCAGTAAAATACTGTCATTTCAACCTAAAGGACATGCATTGCAGAAAGACAAGCAGCTACAATTTAATAAATAAATAATGAAAGTTTACAAGAGTAGAAATGAGACAAGTGTAAGAAAACGCTAAATTTTGCATACAACTGTCATTCATGCTGCATATACAACATATTTTCTTGGAGTAGTTATTTCTGTCATCCATTTCTTCTTTACATTTTTCCCAAGTGTCTTCCTGGTTAAAAGTAATTAGAGACATAAAAGAGAAAAAATGGAAAGACCAAAAAAGAGACAGAGAAGGGATAGGGATATTTCCCTTAAAAAAAAAGTCATAAAATTGAGTAATTATTGTTTTTTGGAGTCCATTACTCATATGTATATTCTCAATATATTCTCAAATATATATATATATACACACACGTGACTGTATATATATGTAAATATATGTACACACACATACACATGCATATAATATATGCTTTATGGTACTGATAAATTACAAGCATTTCTCAATGAATATAACTTTTTATAAATGTGATTTCCCTGCTAACAAATTTTCTCTTACAGAAAATGAGAAAAGTCAAAGGGACTATTTTTTGTTGTTGTTAATTAGTCTCTGTTGAGATTTATTATATTTTTTTCAATGTGAGGTAAAATTATAATGACATTGGAAAATTAAAGTGTATCTTTAATGCTAATGTGTCCCCCTTCTTTTTTCTCTTTTTGAAAATGAAGAATGCGTAACTTTCTAGCAGCAGGTTTCCCTAAAAATAATAGAAAAATTGAATATGAGAAGTCAGTGTGTCACAATTTCCCAATTAGAATCTGACTTTTGAATCTGACTTTTGATCTATCCATATACTTAAAGTATTGGGATTATTGCCTCTTCTGAAAGTTAAGGAGGACATATTGCTGTGTAAATAAATCAGAGTAATATAATTACAGGATAGTTGTGGTAAATGAGGAAATGGTAGTATACAGATGTAGCATCCAACAATGGAAGTAGAATAAATCTGAAGTAAAAGTACACTTCATTTTGAATCCTGGCTCTGGGATTTATTTCCCATATAAGCTAAGGCAATTAACTTACCTCACTATCTGAGTCTTTTCATCGGTCAGATGGAGATAATCATTTTACTACATAGGATTGAGGTGAGAATCTGCTGAGACATGCATGCAAAGAGCTGAACAAGATCCATAGGGGATAATTGGCATTTACTGAATATGAAATTTATGTCCTTCTCTGCCTATTTGACACTGAAAATTATTCTAGGCCCTTGTATATATTCAGAAGCACAGTCAGAAAGTAAATGACTTGTGAAGACTAATATTAACGAAATAGTGAAATATGAGATTTCTACCATCATCCCTCCTCAGAGCATCAATTTTGACAGCTACCCATGAATAAAATTATATCTGTGGGAATCTCGGAGTCCAGCATATCTGGGAGACCAGCACACTATTGGAGCAAAAATCTTAGATGCAATGGGGAGGGTGAGAACAGTTTTGCCTTAACCAGGATACTCCCCCAACAAGGTGGTGCAGCTTAGTGCAAAAAGGGCCTTAGTTCATAATTTGTACCATAGGAGAAAGTAAAAGTATAGAGAATTAGAACCTGGCACCTCCTCTCTCTAGCTGTTGGGACAGTGCCCAAAATGCCCGTTTCTTTTCATCCTACAAGGAATACCAAATTGACTGAAACAGATGAGTGGTTGAGATAGGTTGGAAGTAGAGAGGAGAGGCCACAGATCTACTAACCACTCTGTTGAATACATCAGGAGAACTGCCCCACTAGCTAATTGGAATGCCTCACTGAAGGACACCCAGAACTGGCCTATGAGCACCACAAACATTCCATGCTCCTCACACTCTCCCAGACTGTCTCCCTGACCACACTCCTCTGACAGTAAATGCAAACACCTCATGCAGACAACTTACGTAACTCTGCAAGAATGGGAGAAGGCAAACAAATTTGAGAATTTCATGAAACTTCCCTAGTGAAAACCAGTGGATGCTTCCCAGTGCCTTGCCTGGCTTTGTGTTATTGAGAGAAAAAGATAATCTTAATAATCCACTTTCCACCCCCAATTAAGAACAAGAGGTGTGGAGTAGGCAAATACATAGAAAACATCTGAGAGATCCTCACAATTCATAGCCAGGCTAATTGGTAAAGACATATATATCCTGAAGTGAATAAGAAAAGACTAGAGAAAGTAACTGCTTATTAAAATGCAAAGACTTCAAGAACACTCAAAATAAAAATTTAAAAAGCAGTAATATTCCAGTAACCAAGCACAAAGAAATGGAGATCTATGAATTGCCTGAAAATTAATTCAAAATAATTATTTTAAGGAAGCTCAGTGTGATACAGGAGAACACAGACAACTAAATAATATAAGAAAAACTATACTTGAACAAAAAAAGAAGTTCATAAAGAGAAATAAATCATAAAAAGTAAGCAAAAAATATCTGGAGCTGAAGAACTCCTTGAATAAAATGTTAAAAATGCAACAGAATTTGTCTAGACAGACTTGATCAAAAGAAGAAGTAATCTTTGAACTCTGACAGGTCATTTGAAAATAGAGGAGAAAAAATAGACAGGAATGAAGAAAGCCTATAGGATTTATGGAATACCTTCAAGAGAGCTATATTTACATTATAAGAATTTGAGAAGAAAAAAAGAGAGAAAAATGTAAAAAACTTAAAGAAGTAATGGCTGAAAACTTCCTACATATGAATACAGATATGGACATCTAGGCACATAAAGCTTAATATTCTTCAAACAATTTTAACCCAAAAATAGACTTAGATAAGACAAATTATAATCAATCAAAAATCAAAGCCAAAGAGAATTTTGAAAGCGGTAGGATAAAAGAGGTTCACTACTTACAAATGAATGCCTTGAAGGCAATTAATGAATTTCTTAGCAGAAACCTGAAAATCCAAAAGAGAAGGGGATGACATATTCAAAGGGGTAAAAGAAAAAAAACTGCCAACCAAATATAATTTACTCAGAAAAGCTATTCTTCAGCAAAAAAAGAGAGATAAAGTATTTTCCAGACAAACAAAACCTGAGGTAGCTTATCACCACTAGACCTGCCTTACAGTAAATATTAAAGGAGTTTAAAGCTGAAACAAAATGATGCTAATTAGTAACATGAAAACATATGACTGTCTACAACTCATTGGTAAGAGTAAGTATATAGTCAAATTCAGAATACTCTAATATTGTAATGGTGATGTGTAAATAACTTTTAACTCTAGTATGCAGGTTGAAAGTCAAAAATATTAAAATAACTATAGTTATAATAGCTTGTTAATAAATATGCCATATATAAAGATGTAATTTTTGACATCAAAATGAAAATATGGGGAGGTATAGAAATAAAAGTATAGAAGTTTTGTATGTGATCAAATTTAAATTATAAGCTTAAAGTAGACTGTTACAGCTATAAGATTGTTTTATGTAAACTTAATGGTTACCAAAATGCAAAAACCTATGTACATACACAGAAGATGAAAAGAAAGTAATCAAAGCAATCTTCTATTCAAAGAATATAAAATTTCAGTTAGATAGAAATAAGTTCAAGAGATCTATTGAAGAACAGGGTGACTATAGTTAATGATAGTGTATTATTGTTTAAAAATCACTAAGAGAACATATTTTAAACATTACCACCACGAAAATAAATGTGTGAGGTAGTACATATGTTAATTAGCTCAACTGAGCCATTCCACAATGCATACATTTTCTAAAACATCATATACACAATTAATGTATACAATGTTTAGTTGTCAATTAAGAAATAAAGTGAGAATTTTTTAAAGGTAATCAAAGCCTACCAATACACAATATTATCAAATCACAAAAGGAGATAGCAAGAGAGGTATAAAAGAACAAAATAACTATAAAACTTTCAAAAAACAATTAACACAGTGGTAATAGTAATTCCTTAACCTCTCAATAATCATTTTAAATATATGTATTAAATTTTCCAAGAAAACACACAGAATAGCTGAATTTGATTTTAAAAAAATCTAAATATATGCTGTCTGCAAGACTCAATTCAGCTTTAATCCCATCTGCGGACTGAAAGTAAAGGGATGGAAAATATTCCATGCAAATAGAAAACAAAATATAATATGTGGAGTTATATTTATATTAGACAAAATAGATTTTAAGTCAATTGCAGTAAGGACAAGAGACAAAAAGATCATTATATAATCATAAAAATGTCAATTTATTAAGAGGATATAACAATTGTAAATATGTATGCACTCAATATAAAATAATCTAAATACATAAGCAAATATTAATGTATCTAAAGGAAGAAATTGGTGGAAAAATAATTGTGGTTTTCGACTGTGAATTTTAAATCATTATAACTAGGCTCTAACATCTTTATTCATCAAAATAGGAACCATTACAATCTACACATTTTTGCCAATGAGAAACAAGTTTGCTTATTCCCGTAGTGTAAAAATTCATGCTTCAGGATTTGACGAACTCTTGGAAAGCATTTTCTGCATCCTGATGGTTGTGGAAGCATTTCCCTACAAAAAGTTGTCGAGATGCTTAAAGAAGCGGTAGTCAGTTGGTGAGAGGTGAGGTACTGACACATGCAGTCGGGCGTTGTCATGGAGAAGAATTATGCCCTTTCTGTTGACCAATGCCAACTGCAGGCATTGCCGTTTTCAGTGCATCTCATTGATTTGCTGAGCATACTTCTCAGATGTAATGGTATTGCTGGGATTCAGAAAGCTGCAGTGAATCAGACTGGCAGCAGACCACCAAACAGTGACCATGACCTTTTTTTGGTGCAAATTTGGCTTTGGGAAGTGCTTCGGAGCTGCCTCTCAGTCCAGCCACTGAGCTGGTCATTGTATAAAAATCCACTTTTTGTTGCATGTCACAATCAGATCAAGAAATCGTTCATTGTTGTTGCATAAAATAAGAGAAGATGACACTTCAGAACGATGATTTTTAAAATTTTTGCTCAGCTCATGAGGCATGCACTTATCAAAGTTTTTCACCTTTCCAATTTGCATCAAATGCTGAATGACCATAGAATGGTTGACATTGAGTTCTTTGACAATTTCTTATGTAGTTGGATGAGGATCGGCTTTGATGATTGTTCTCAATATGTTGTTGTCAGCTTCCAATGGCCAGCCACTATGCTCCTCATCTTCAAGGCTCTCCCCTCCTTTGCAAAACTTGTTGAACCACCACTGCACTCTCTGTTCATTAGCAGTTCCTCAGCCAAATGCATTGTTGATGTTGCAAGTTGTCTCTGTTGCTTTGGAACTCATTTTGAACTCAAATAAGAAAATTGTTCAAATTTGCTTTTTGTCTAACATAATTTCCATAGTCTAAAATAAGAATAAAATAAACAACAACAACATCATTAGCGAAATAACATAAAGCAAGAAATGCCTATTAAAATAATGTATATCATAACCAAATTTATTTAAGAATGTATTCCAATATCAAATGGCAAATCCCAAAATGTAAAAACCACAATTACTTTTGCACTCACCTAATATAAATAAATATGATAATAGTAGCGGACTTAAATACTCCACCTTCAACAATGGATAGATTATCCAAACAGAAAATCAATGAAGAAATGTTGAAATTTAACTATACTTTTGACCAACAGATGTAACAGACATATATAGAACATTCCAATCAACAACAGCAAAATATGCATTCTTCTTGACACATGTAACATTATCTTGGATAGATCATATGCTAGGGTAGAAAACAAATTTTAACAAAATTAAGAAGATTAAAATCATCATATCTAGCATCTTTTATCGCAACAATGTTATAAAACTGGAGATCAGTAACAGGAGAAAAAGCAGAAATTTTACAATTTATTTAGAAATTCAACAAGACACTCTTGAACTTTCAAACAAGAAATCAAAAAGGAACTAAAAAATGTCTTGAGACAAATGAAAATGAAAACACAACACATCAAAACTTTCGGGGTACAGCAAAAGCAGTTCTAACAGGGAAAAATCATAGCAATAAAAAACTCAAAGCGCATTTAAGACTTTAACCTAAGATCTACAACCTTAAAACTTCTAGAAGGAAACAGGAAAATTCCATGAACTTGGTCTGCACAATAATATATTGGATATGAAACCAAAAGCACAGGAAACAAATGCAAAACAGAGAACTGGGACTACATCAAACTAAAATGCTTCTAAACTATCAAAGAAACACTCAGCAAAATGAAAAGACAACCTGCAGAATGGAAAAAAAATATTGTCAAACTATGTGTCTGATATGGGTTAATATCCAAAATATTTAAGGAACTCATACAACTTAATAGCAAAAGAACTAACAACCTAGTTAAAAAAAATGGGTAAAATACTTGAGCAGAATTTTTCTTAAAAAATATACAAATGGCCAACAGGTATATAAAATGGTATTGAACGTAATTAATCATTAGGAAATTGCAAATCAAAACCATGAGATAGATCCTCACACCTGTTATGGTAGCTATTATAAAAATGTCAAAAGATAGCAATGTTGGTGAGAATGTGTAAAAAAGTGAATCATTATACATTGGTGGTAGAAATGTAAATTGGAACAGACATTATGAAAAATAATATGAAAGTTTCTCAAAAAATTAAAAATAAAACCACCATATTATCTCATACATTTGATCCAGCAATCCCATTTCTGGGCATATATCCAAAGGAATTAAAATCACTATCTGCACTCCCATGTTTAATTACCATATCATTAACAATAGCCAAGATATTAAAAAAGTGTCTGTCAACGATAAATTGATAAAAGTATAAACTATATATTAAATTATAATATGTTATATAAAATATAATCAACAATGGATAGATTATCCAATCGGAATATCATTGAAGAAATACTACCAATATAATAGAATATTAATCAGACTTTAAAAGGAGGAAATCCTGCTATTTGTGACAACAACATGGATGAACCTGGGGAACACTATCCTGGGTAAATAGACCAGACACAGAAAGACAAATACTTGATGATCCCACTTATGTGAAATATAAAAAGTCAAATTCATAGAAACGGAGAGTAGAAGGGTTGTTACCAGGGGTTAGGAAAAGGTGAATTGGGAATATGCTTGTCAACAGATAAAAACTTGCAATTATAAGATGTATAAATTCTGGAGACTTCATGTACTGTGTTAGGACTCAGAAACAGATAACCCCAAATATGGTGCTTTGATAAGCTAATCTAAAGAAGAAGCCTTAAGGTCTCTCTCTTTGACTTTCCCTCACTTCTCTGTCTCTCTGATTCTCTTTCTTTTCTAAAGAACTGGAAAGGACTCTCTATGGAAGTTCCCTTGTTTGACTGAGAAAATGTCTAAACAAATTCCAATTGTCTTAAAATCCCCTCCCTATGAATCTCATTAAATAACCTGGAAAGATTAAACACTGGAGAAGAGACTGGGGGTACTCACCAATCACAGACATACTTTTTGTCTATTCTTCTGAGCCTGTTTCAAGAGATTACCTGAGGGACTGTATTTGCATAATAAAACAACTTTTAGTTACAATGCAATTCCATCTCCTTACCTTTATGTAACTTGTCTAAAAGTTCTTGTTTGTCCTTTGATCCCATTCTGTGTCCATTATCAATCATTTCCAAACCATTTTCTGGTCTTCAGGCCCATTCATTTACAAGAGCCACCCCCCCAAACCACCACCTAACCAACACCACTTCCCTCTCTGCAATAAGGTTATTAAAGCATCAACCATTGTAACCTTTTTTTGAGTTTTTCATAATTTTTATATGTTTCTCATGTACTATTCATGTTAAATACATTTGTTATCTTTCTCTTATTAACCTATAGTTTGTTATAGGAGTGTCAGCCATGACACTTTATGAAGAGAACGAAAGAGATCACTTCCTTTCCACTCTTACAACAGCAATGGTGACTATAGTTAATAATAATAATGTATTTTATACATAAAATTTGCTGAGAGTAGATCTTAAATAGCCTCAGCACAAAAAAGGGTAACTATGTGAGATAAAAATATGTTAATATAATTTTGGTAATAATTTCACAATGTACACTTATATCAAAACTTCATGTTACCTTAAAAATATACAATTTTATTTGGTCAAATATATTTCAGTAAAGATGAGGAGAGACGAGAAAGCAAAAGAATCAAGAATTAAAAGGGAGAGATAGTTCCTGGACAAAAATGCTTTCCAATTTCTTTACAGATCCTGATCCATTATTTTCTAAAATCTAGTTTACAAGTTTTTGTTCTATAATATCACATACCTTTCCAATGTATACATACTTGTTCATTTTAACCTGATTCCATCTGAGTGAATATGTTGGAAGAATAATAAGAGTATCTCTTTTTGGAACCCTTCATCATCTCACAAAAAGTCTTGCCTCTTTATCCCATAAAAACTCTGACCACATAAGTTATTGCTTATTTTCATAGCAGAAGGTTCTATGCAAAATACAGTCTTCATTAGTGTGATGATCAATTCAGATTTTAAAATGTCCTAATCTTTATCAGTGCTTACTAGACAAAGAATTCACAGACTGTGTACAAATTCTTTAGACTTTAAGGCTTTGAGCCTGAAGCTTAAGCACATTACTACAATTTTAGAAAAGATATATGTAAGACAAAGCAAATCTAACTTTTAAAGCAATTATTAATCTTTTTCAGAGAATAGTGATGATTCTATTTTAAATCTTCTATTTGTTGTTAATGATTCATAAAATAATCACATTTTGTTGCAATGTGTTAGGCTGATTCAATCATACAATGTAAATAATGTATGATTAATTAATATAATTTGACTGAAATTATTGCCCAGAAAGTATCAAAAGAAAAAACAAATCATTTGGTGAAAACTTAATGTAAGTATTTTTTTCCAAATAGATACTTGATTGCTAAAAATTTTTTTTGTGAATGTTCACAATTGGTTCTGACATGAATTTAAAAAATGGGAGAAATGGATTCTATTAAAATTGATCATCTTAAATATTCCTATTTCAAGAATTTCTATTTAAAAAGCATATGTATCTTAACCATAATATTAACATTTTAGAAGAGTTTTGGGCAACACTTATAAATCATGCTGTGATCCACCACACATACCTCCTTTCAGGGCTGAACGATTTATTTCCCTCAGTGGCTGAAAGCGCTGCTGTCTGACAAACTTCAGCCCCAAGCTGTAGAAAGCTGCCTCACCCTCTTATCCAGGGGTACCTTACATATATTGATCCTTGTGGGCTTAAAAAATTAACAAACTTGTTAATTTGTTAACAAATAAAAAAGTCCTGGTACCCTTGTCCTCTGCTGTGAAAATATTGCTGTATCATCTCAGTTTGAAATATTCCCACTGGGTCAGCTGAGCCCTTTATTGGGACTGAGTAAAAGCCAAACTTTTTCTTGGGCCAATCCTTCTTCTTTTCCTTTCTCCACAGGTGTGAATACAGAAGACATTCTGTAATAAACTTCCTGTATGATAATCTACATTTCAGAACTGGTTTTCCCTAGGAAACCAAACTAGTACACCACTTATCTTCAAAGTTATTTTTGGAGTGAGATAAGGAACTGTATGTACTTCGATGTGAATAAAGGAGTTCTTATGTTCTTAATGTCCAAATATTTTGCATAAAAATAATATCCATAATAGTGCCAATGTACTATATTATTTTTTATTGTATACAGTTAAGTTTTACAAGCTGACATTTTAATATACACAGTAAAATAACTATTACACTTAGAAAATTAACATATCCATACCATCATAATTAACTTGTGTGTTTGTGTCTACGTGGTAAGAGCACTTGAAATCTACTGTCTTAGCAAATTTCCAGTATACAACGTAATACTATTAACTACAGTCATCATGCTGTACATTATATCTCCAGAGTTATTTATCCTACAAAACTGAACTTTACACCTTTTGACCTACATCTCCCCAACCCCCTCCCACCCCTGGTAACTGTCAAATGGTACCCTCTGTTTCTATGTATTAGGCTTTTTGAAATTCCACATAAAAGTGAACTCATGCGATATTTTTGTTCTGTATCTGGCTTATTTCACTTACCATAATATCCTCCAGGTTCATCCATTTTGTCAAAAATGGCAGAATTTTCTTTTTTTTAAGGATGAATAACATTCCATTGTATACATATACCACAATTTCTTTACTGATTCATTCACCGGCAGGCATTTAGGTTGTTTGCATATCTTGGCTATTGTGAATAATGCTGAAATGAACATGGGACTGCAGATCCCTTGCGAGGAATTGATTTTATTTCCCTGAGGTTTATACTCATGAAGGAATCGCTGAATCAAATGGCAGTTCTATTTTTAATTTCTTGAAGAATTTCATACTATTTTCCATAATGGCTGTACCAATTTACAGCTCTACCAACAGTGTACAAGGGTTTTATTTTCTCCACATACTTGCCAACACTTGCTAGTTCTTGTCTTCTTGATAATTGTTATCCAATTCACTATATTTATATAGAATATTTCATCTTATAAAGTAGTATCAAGATACTTGAACTCGTGTGGTCCTCAGAATATCCCTGTGAAGATATAGGGAACATATTATTAACATCAATTTTATCTTGTCATATGAAAACTGAAACATACCCATAATTAGGCAAAAAAGAGATTTATAATTCAAAGTCTATGTTTATGAATCACTACAAATGCAAGCTATCCATATTAAACAAAATACATATTTCTATTACATATAACACATATAATTCTACATTAATATAAATAGTTGATTAAGCATGTATTGGAACTATTTCTAAATAATGCCTTTTAAGTAATAGTGATATTTAAATACTTAAGCTATTAAAAATCCTCCAAATTTATAAATATTTAAAATATGGTAGCTCAGGCAAGCACATGTTTATATATTTTGGAGTCATCGTCAATGCAGGGGCTAACTCTATGCTATGTTGCCCTCTAGAACATTCAGAATTACACTTTGTTCTTCAGAGTAGCAGAATTCAGAAAGTCTCCCTCAGATTTTGTTACTCTAGTCAAGTCACATCCAAGAGATAAGCCAAATAATCAATTAAAGTAAGATCTTTATTACTAATTTCTTATATTAGTTGGGTTATCATTTGAATAGTCATGTAGGTGAGGACCTTTTTGATATGGCCTAATTAGATTAGTCAATGCATCTCTCCCATAATAAGTTCTTTCATGTAAATGTTTTAGAACTGGGTATAGCGATGTCTCAGACAATAAGGTCATCCCATATTCATTTATTTTTCATACTGTCTATTAGTCTGTTTTTCTAAAACCTCATTTTGGGCCTTTGTCTTGTTCAGAATACTTCACTTTGGATTCTGAAAGGTCAAATGCGGCATCAGGGCACCCTGCAAAATAAGGCCCCTGCTTTTCTTTAGTTTTCTTTTTTTTTTTTTTTTTTTTTTTGCGCGACGGAGTTTTGCTCTTGTTGCCCAGGCTGGAGTGCAATGGCGCGATCTCGGCTCACCGTCCGCCTCCCGGGTTTAAGCGATTCTCCTGCCTCAGCCTCCTGAGTAGCTGGGATTACAGGTATGCACCACCACGCCTGGCTAATTTTGTATTTTTAATAGAGATGGGGTTTCTCCACGTTGGTCAGGCTGGTCTCTAACTCCCTACCTCAGGTGATCTGACCACCTTGGCCTCCCAAAGTGCTGGGATTACAGGCTTGAGCCACCGCACCCAGCCAATCTGGCTGTTTTAAAAAAGATGTTGCTACTGTAGGGGCAGAAAGGTGTTACACCGTTTCTTACATTTTATAAGGATCATGGCTGACACCCCAAGACAAAAGAAAGGTTAACAAACGAAAAGCACAACAAATTAATCAAAGTTTTACATGGCACACGAACCTTCAGAAATTAAGATTGAAAGGCATAGAGAAATCTATTTTTATACTTAAATTTAATAAAGATTAGACATCTGTGTAGAGATGTGATTGGACAAAAGAGTATGACGTAGTTTGGATATTTGGTGTGCCCAAATGTCGTGTTGAAATACAATCCCCAGTGTTGGAGGTGGGGCCTGGTGAGAGGTGACTGGACCATGGGAGTGGATTTCTCATGAATGGTTTAGCACCATCACCTTGATGCTGTCATTATAATAGTGAGTGAGTTCTTGCAAGGTATGGTTCTTGAAAAATGTGTGGCACTTCTCTTTTTTTCTTTTTTCTTGCTCCTGCTCTGGACATGTAATGTGCCTGGTCTCCCTTCATTTTCTATAAGTATTCTGAGGGCTCTACAGAAGACAGACAGATGCTAGCATCATACATCCTACACAGCTTGCAGAACTGTGAGCCAATTAAACCTTTTTCTTTATAAATTACCCAGTCTCAGGTATTTATAGCAATGCAAGAATTGCCTACTGCAGGGTATATAATTTAATGGTAATAGACTTAGAGGGAAAACCCAGCAAGGCCTGTCTTTAAATTCTTCTTGACCTCTCTGTTGTAGCATTTTTTCCACAGGGTATGGGGCAGGACTTTTTGGAATGAGAGTTTTCAAGAGAGAAGGGAGAAGAGAAAGAGTGACATTTCTGGATTTTATGGCTTGCATTGGGCAAGAGGAATTCTAGTTTCTATCACTAGACTTGGGGGAGAGAAATTCTCATTTCTATATCTCACTTTAGGGGAGACAGAGGTGTATAGATAGGACAAAGGGAGAAGGCTAGACAGACCTTGATCGTGAGACTCTTCCAATTATATTTATTTCAGTATGAAAAGTCAGCATACTTTGGAGTCTCATGTTCTGAATTCTAACATTACCTAGTAGAATTGCAATCAAAAATAAAATTCAGTTGATAAATAGAGTAAAATTTTTGCTCTTTCAAACTTATTGGCAGGGAGTCATACTGCTACAAGTAACTTTTCCATAATCAGGCTTTGTTAAAAAATTATAATTTATCTCTAATTTTAGAGTGAAACATGCTATTTGACCCCCAAGTATATCATGAGGTTTAGTTCTTCTCTTTAAAGAGAAAATTTCTAAAAATAACCTGAAAAAAATTTTCTGGTATACAGGCTGACAATTGCATAACATTTTCTCATTCCCCAAGTTTACATAATCACAAGTAAGATTGTAAGAAGTTTCAATTCTATGTATCTAGAGATTTTTCTTCTGAAAGAAGTACATCAATTCATTTATTGTGTTACATGAAAGAAGAAAGGGAATTTCATTTTTAACTTTTCAACCATGTATACATATAGTATTCATTCATTGGGTTTTTGTTAAAGGTTGTACAAAAAAAGACATAGGCTCCCACACAATAATGGTGGGAGACTTCAACACTTCACTGATAGCATTAGACAGAGCATTGAGGCAGAAAATTAACAAAGATATTCAGAACCTGAGCACAACATTGAAGGAACAGATCTGATAGACCTCTACAGAACTCTCCAATCAAAAACAACAGAATATACACTCTTCTTATCGCCACGTGGAAAATACTCTACAATTTACCACATAATTGGACTTAAAACAATCCTCAGCAAATGCAAAAGTACCAAAATTATACTAATAAATGCTCAGACCACAGCACACAAAAAAATATAAGTCAAGACTTAAAAAAATTTCTAAAAGTCATGCAATTACAGAGATAGTGATCAACATGATCCTGAATGACTTTGGGTAAATAATGAAATTAAGGCAGAAATCAAGAAGTCATTTGAAACTAATGAGAATGAAAATACCACATAACAGAATATCTGGGACACAGTGTTAAAAGGGGGAATTCATAGCACTAAATGCCCACATTAAAGTTAGAAAGATCGCAAATTAACAACCTAAAATCATAACTGAAACAAATAGAGAAGCAAGAGCAATCCAATGGCAAAGCTAGCAGAAGACAAAAAATAATCAAAATCAGAGCTGCACTGAAGGAATTCAAGACATGAAAGACCATTTAAAAGATCAACAAATCCAGTTGTTTTTATTTGAAAATTAATAAGGTATATAGGCCACTAGCTAGACTAATACAAAAGAGAGAAGATCTGAAGAAACGAAATTAGAAATGATAAAGGGGATGTTACCACTGACTACACAGAAATAAAAATAACCATTAGAAGGTACACAACCACCTCTATGCACACCAACTACAAAACCCAGAAGAAATTGATAAATTCCTGAACACACACACACCCTCCAAAGACTAAATCAGGAAAAAAATGATTCCCTGAAAAGATCAACAATGATCTCTGAAATTGAATCAATAATAAATAGCCTACCAAAAAAAAAAAAAAAAAAAAAAAAAAAGCTCAGGAACAGATAAATTCAAAGCCAAATTCTACAAGATGTACAAGGAATAGCTAGTATCATATCTACAGAAACTATTCCGAACAATTGAGGAGTAGCCCCTCCCCGACTCATTCTATGAGACCAGCATCATCCTGATGGCAAAATCTGGCAGAGACACAACAACAACAAGGAAAACTTTAGGCTAATATTCACGATAAACAACTGTGCAAAACTTCTCCACAAACTACTTGCAAACTGACTCCAATAGCACATCAAAAAGCTATCCAACCATAATAAAGTAGGCTTCATCCCCAGGACACAAGATTGGGTAAACATGCAAATCAATAAATGTTATCAATCACATAAACAGAACTAAAGAAAAAAAAACACGTGATTATTCTAATCGATGCAGAAAAGGCTTTCAATAAAACTCAACATCCCCTCATGTTAAAAACTCCCAATAAACTAGGTATTGAAGGAACGTATCTAAAAATGATGAGGCATGTGTGATAAACCCACAGCCAACATCACACTGAACGGGCAAAAGCTGAAAACATTCCCCTTGAAAACAAGCACAAGACAAAGATGCCTTCTTCACCACTCTTACTCAACATATTTTTGGAAGTCCTGGTTATAGCATTCATATACGAGAAATAAATAAAGGGCAACTAAATAGAAAGAGAGTTAATCAAACTATCCCTGTTTGTAGACAACATGATTTGGATGCATGTGTCTTTGTGGTAAAATGACTTACATTCCTCTGGGTATATACCCAGTGATGGGATTGCTGGGTCTTCTTTTCAGAAGTGTCTATTCATGTCCTTTGCCTATTTTTAATGAGGTTGTTGGTTTTTCTCTTGTAAATTTGTTTAAGTTTCTCATAGATGCTGGATATTAGACCTTTGTCAGATGCATAGTTTGCAAATATTTTCTTCCACAAAAGAAGACATGCATGTGGCCAATAAGAGTATGAAAAAAACCTCAGTATCACTGATTCTTATGGAAATGCAAACTAAAACCACAATAAGATATTATCTCACATCACTCAGAATGTCTATAATTAAAAAGTCAGAAAATAACAGATGCTGGCGAGGTTGCAGAGAAAAGAGAACACTTATAGAATTTTGATGGGAGTGTAAATTAGTTCGGCCTTTGTGGAAAGCAGTATGGTGATTCCTCAAAGAGCTAAAAGCAGAACTACAATTCGACACAGCATTCCCATTACTGGGTATATATCCCGAGAAATATAAATTATTCTACTATAAAAACACATGCACATGAATATTCATTGCAACACTATTCACAACAGCAAAGACATGAAATCAACCTAAATGCCCATCAATGGCAGATTCTATAAAGAAACTGTGGTACATATACACCATTGAATACTATGCAGTCATATAAACAAAAAAGATCATTTTTTGTGAGAACATGGATGCGACTGGAGGCTACTATTCTTAGCAAAGTAACATGGGAACAGAAAACCAAATACCTTATATTTTCACTTATAAGTGTGAGGTAAATGATGAGAACTCATGAACACAAAGAAGGAAACAAGAGACACTGGGGTCTACTTAAGGGTGGATTTTAGGAGGAGGGAGAGGAGCAGAAAAGGTAACTATTAGGTACTAGGCCTAATATCTAGGTGATGAAATAATACGTACAGCAAACCTCCATGACACAAGTTTACCTATATAAAAAACCTTCACATGTACACCCAAACCTGAAATGAAAGTTTAAAAATAAATAAATATATATATAAAAATAAAATAAAAGAAGTAAAGGTTGTTATCTGGGCAATGAGATAATGAACAATTTTTATTTTGTGTTTACATTTATCTTTATTAACAATGAATAAAAATTATCTAAAATATACAATACAATAATAAATAAATTTAAAAATATAAAGCCCAGTTTTGGTTTTTCCCAATGTATGCTCTTGACAACTTTGCCAAAGATGAGTTGGCTGTAAATACACACATTTATATGTGAATTCTCTCTTCTGCTCCATTAGTCTATGTATCTGTTTTATGGCAGTACCATGCGATTTGGTCACTATAGATTTGTAGTAAATTTTGAAGTCAGGTAATGTGATGCCTCCAGCTTTGTTCCTTTTGGTCAGGAGTGCTTTCTGAGTGTTTTGCTATTCCCAGTAGATTTTAATATTTTTCTTTTTATGTGAAGAATGGCATTGTTATATTCATAGGGATTATATTGAATCTGTAAATCACTTTGAATGCTATGGTTATTTTTTAAATTTTAACTTTTCCAATCTACTAAGATTTTTTTTTCAGTTTTTGTGTCCACTTCAACATTTCTAATCACTGTCTTACTGTATTCCTTGTATAGATTTTCATTTATTTGGTTAATTACATTCCTAGGTATTTTATATCTTTTGGAACTATTATTAATTGAATTGCTTTTCTGATTTCTGTTGCAGATTGTTTGGTATCGATATATAAAAATGCTACTAATTTTTTAAGGTTGATTTTGTTTTCTACAACTTTACTGAATTAGTTTATTAGTTCCAAAGTTTTTTTATGAAGTCTTTAGGTTTTTCTAAGTATAATATTATGTAATCTGTGAACAAGGCTATTTCAACTTTTTTCTTTCCAATTTACATGTCTTTTATTTATTTGTCTTGCCTGTTTGTTCTGGCTAGGACTTTCAAGTACTATGTTAAATAAAAGTGGTATAAGTGGGCATCTTTATATTATTCCAGATCTTAGAGAAAATCTGTTCAATTTTTCCCCATTCAATACAATGTTGGAGGTGGATTTTTAATGTATGACCTTTATTATTTTGAGGTATGTTTCTTCTGAACCCAGTTTGATGGGGTTTTTATTATAAAGGAATGCTAAATTTTATGGAATGCTTTTGTGCATCTATTAAAACAATCATATGGCTTTTGCTCTTGCTTCTGTTAATATGTATCACATTTATTGATTTGCATATGCTGAACCATTTTTTCCATTCAAAGGATGAATCCCAGTTGGTATAGTGGAAAATGGTTTATTTGGCTCCACCACACATAACGTTGAAATCTGATCTTCAAGGTTACAGGTAGGGTCTGGTGGGAGGCGTCTGGATCATGGTGATAGATCTCTCATGAATGACTTGGTGCCATTCTTATGGGAGTGAGTGAGTTTTTCACTCTTAATTCCTGGGAGAATTGTTTCTTGAAAAGAACCTAGCACCTCTTCCATTCTCTCGTTTTCTTTCTTGCCATGTGATCCGTACACACCAGCTCTCACTTCTCCATCAGTAAAAGCATCCTGAGTCCCTCACCAGAAGCATATCTTAGTATCATGTTTTTGTAGAGCCTGCAGAACTGTGAGCCAAATAAACCTCTTTTATTTATTAATTAACCAGGCTCAGGTATTTCTTTATAGCAACACACAAAAAAACTAAGACAACACTTAATCATGTTAAATAATATTTTAATGTGTTGTTGAATTTAGTTTGCTATTATTTTGTTGAGGGTTTCCGAGTCTATTTTTATCAGTGATATTGGCCTGTAGTTCTCTTTTTTGTTGTTTCATCATCTGGTTTTGGTATCAAGTTAATGCTGGCTTAGTAGAATGAGTTTGGAAAAATTCTCTCCTCTTCCATTTTTTGAATAGTTTGAGTAGAATTAATATTAGTTCTTCTTTAAATGTTTGGTAGAATTTGGCAGTGAACCCATCAAGCCCTGGGCTTTTCTTTGACGGGAGATTTTTAAATACAGCTTTAATCTCATTGTTCATTATTGATTTGTTCAGATTTTCTATTTCTTCATGGTTCAATCTTGGTAGATTGTATATGCCCTAAAATTTGTCAGTTTCCAATTTGTTGATGTATAGTTAGTTGTCCAAAATAGTCTCTAATAATTTTTATAAATTTCTGTGGTCTCAATTGTTTTGTCCCCTTTTTATTTCTGATTTTATTTATTTGTGTCTTCTCTTTTTAAAAAATTAGTGTAGCTAATTTGTACATTTTGTTTATCTTTTCAAAAGCCAACTCTTGGTTTCATTGACATTTTGTATTTTTTTTGTTTTAATTTCATTTATTTCTGCTGTGGTCTTTATTACTTATTTTCTTTTACTAAGTTTGAGTTTGGATTGTTCTTACTTTTTTAGTTTCATGAGGTGCATTGTCAGGTTACTCAGTCATTCCACTTTTTAGATATAGGTGTTTATTGCTATAAACTTTCCTCTTACTACTGATTTTACTATTTCTCATAGATTTTGGAATGTTGTATTTCAATATTCATTTAAAAATATTTTTTCATAATTTTTCAAGATCTTTGTTTAATTTTCATGTGTTTGTGATTTTTCCAAGGTTTCTCTTGTTATTGATTCTTTGTTTTATTACATTGTGGTCATAAAATACATGATATGATTTTTGCTATTTAAGTTTATTTAGTTTTACTTTAAAGAAATACCTGAGGCTGGATAATTTTTAAATAAAAGAGGTTTAATTGTCTCACACTTCTTTAGGCTATACAAGAAAAAAAATGGCACTAGTATCTCCTTCTGGTGAGGACATTGGGTTGTTTCAATTCATGACAGAAGGCAAAGCAAGCCAGCATGTGCAGAGATCACATTGTAACATAGAGGAGGGATGTACCCAGCTCTTTTAAAAAACTGGTTATCATAGGAACTAACAGAGTGAGAGCCCATTCATTACCATGAGAACTCACTCATTACTCATTATAACTCACTCATTACTCACTCATTACCTTGGTGCAAGTACTGCACCAATAATTCATTAGGAATCTACTCCCATTATTCAAAAACTTCCCATTAGGCCCAACTTTCAACATTAGGTTCAAATTTCAATATATAATTTGTAGGGGTCAAATACTGAAATCATAGCATCTACTCTTTTGAATTTATTAAGACTTATTTTTTGTGTGTGTGACTTATAATGTGATCCATTGTGGAGAATGTTCCCTGTGCTGATGATATGATTGTTTATTTTGCAACATTTAAGCAAAATGTTCTATAAATGTCAGTTAGACCTACTAAGTCTAGTGTATTGTTTTATTCCAATGTTTCTTTGTTGATTTTCTGTCTGGACGATCTGTCCAATATTGAGAGTGGAGTGTTAAAGTGTCCTATTATTATTTTATTTCAGTCTATCTTTCTCTTTAAATATATTAATGTTTGCTTTAGTTGGCAGCACCAGTGTTGGGTATGTACATATTTATAATTGTTATATCTTCTTGCTGAATTGAACCCTTTATTATGACATAGTGACCTTTTTTGTCTCTTTCTACAGTCTTTGATATGCAGTCTATTTTATCTGATATAAGTATAGCTACTCTAATCTTTTTTGGTTTCCAGTGGCATTAAATATTTTTTCTCCCCCTTTGCTTTCAGTCTATGTCTGTCTTTATAGGTAAAGTAAATTTTTGTAGGCAGCATATAGTTGGGTCTTATTTCTTTATGCACTTTAACCACTCAATGTCGTTTAATTTGAGCATCAAGTATATTTCACATGTATCATTATGATTGATAAGTAAGGACTTACTACTGAGATTTTGTTGCTCGTTTTCTGTTGCTTTGAAAATCCTTTCTTTCTTCATTTCTTACTGTCTTTGTGGTTATTTTCTCTGGTACTATGTTTTAATGTATACCTTTTTAGTGAATCTCTTACAGGTTTTTGCATTTTGTTTACCATGAGGCTCACAAAACACCTTATAGATATAATAACATATTTTAAAGAGGTGACAACTTAGGTCACAAAGAAAAGAATATAAACAAAGAAAAAATGATACACTTTAATTACCTTCCCACGTTTTGACTTCTAGTTGTCTCATTTTACATATTTTTATATTTCCTGCCTCTTAACAGGTTGTCATAGTTATTATTGTTTTTGGTAGATTTGTCTGGGTTTCATACTAGAGTTTTAAATGGATTGCACACCCCAATCACAGTATTAGAGTATTCTGTGTTTGCCTGTGTACTTAATTTTACCAGTGAGTTTTATAACTTTTTTTCCGCATATTAGTGCTTTTTTTCTTTCAGATTGAAGAACTCCCTTCAGCATTTCTTGTAAAGTTAGTATAGTGGTTACAAATTTTAAGCTTTTATTGGTCTGGGAATGAATGTCTCGTCCTCATATTTGACAGATAGCATTTCTGGGTATGGTATTCTTGAATGGCCTTTTTTTTCAGTATTTTGAAAATCTCAATTTTCTCTTTACTTGTATGGTTTCTGTTGAGAAGTCTGTTAACAGAGAAATTAAAATTATTTTATATGTTATTTGCTTTTTTTCTCTCACTGCCTTTAGGGGCCTTTCTTTGTGTTAGATGTTTTAGAGTTTGATAATTTATATACCTTGCAATAGTCTTACTTGAGTTTAATCTATTTAGAGTTCTCTGAATTTTCTATTCCTGGATATTTTTATCTTTCTCAAGTTTTGGAAAGTTTTCTGCTATTGTTTTTAAAATAAACTTTCTACCCTTTGTTCTTGCTAAACTCCCTATAGCACACCGATACATTTTAGATTTGGTCTTTTGAGGTAATTTTCTATATCTTGTAGGCCATATTGGTTTTTTTCTTTTCTCCTTTAACTGTGTATTTTCAAATCACGTGTTTTTGAGCTCACTGGTTCTTTTCTCTGCTTGATCCATTCTGCTGTTGGAAGCCTCTAATAAATTTTTCAGCTTAGCTAATTTATTTCTCAGTTCCAAGATTATATTTGATTTAGTAATCATTTAAATCATTGTGTTACATTTGTCGTATAAATTTCTGAGCTGCTTTTCTGTGATATATTATAGATCACTGAGTTTTCTTAAAACTGTAGTTTTGAATTCTTAGAGAGCTCAAATTATTGCCATTTCATAAGGATTAGTTACTCATTCCTTGCTTTGTCCATGTGGGGAGATCATGGTTCTCTTTTTGCTGTTGTTTTCTGTAGATGTACCTGTATGTCTTTGTATTGAAAGTTTAGTTATTTATTCCAGTGTTTTTGGTCTGACTTGTTTTTTCTTGGCTATATTTTCTAAGAGGTTTCTTAGTGCTAGGTCACAGCCTCCTTTTTGGCTCTACATGGTGCCTCAAGTCCAGGTTTGCCATAGCTTCAGTAAAGGATTGAAACACTGCCCTTTCTGAATGGGGGATGTCCCAAAGGGGATATCCCAGTAATATCAGAGGGCTGGCTAGGTGTTTATACCTGGGGGACCTGTGGAACAAACCTCCTACAGCATGGTGCTGATGAACAGCCAGTCTAATTTAGCATCTCCTTTGATCAACTACAGAGCAGAGTTTCTAGGGCTGTGGGTGATAATCCTGTGTCTCTGCCCGTCTTTGGGAATATTGCTCTTTTCAGGGACTCAGGATGCCTCCTGTGGGTTAAGGAGGGAAAATGTATCCTTCTAAGGAACCCAAGTTAATGGGGAAGCTTTGTTGTCTACCTTGACATCACTTGCTCCAGTGTAAAAACTGTGAATCAGAGCCGGCACGTTGTCTCATGCCTGTAATCCTAGCACTTTGGGAGCCCAAGGCGCATGGATCTCTTGAGGCCAGGAGTTCGAGAACAGCCTGGTCAACATGGTGAATCTCCATCTCTACTACTAAAAAAAAAAAACAAACAAACAAAAAAAAAATTAGCCGGGTGTGGTGGTGAACGTCTGTAATCCCAGCTACTTGGGAGGCTGAGGCAGGAGAATCGCTTGAATCCAGAAGGCAGAGGTTGCAGTGAGCTGAGATCCCATGACTGCACTCCAGCCTAGGCAACAGAGTGAGGCTGTGAATTGGGGGAACATTTTATGCACTTGGGGCTAGGCAGAATCGAGGGACAGCGTCACAGATATAAAAACCCAATTATCTTACTATATGCTTAATGCTTTATTTTCTTTTGTATATTTACTTTTCTGTGGCCCTGAGACTGCCTGATCTTCATATTTGGGTTCTATCATACTGTTAGTGATCATCTTGGTGCTGTATATTTTTTCTTTGGCTTTCTGTTGTAGTAGAGTGAGACCAGCTTTTTTCTATGCTGCCATTTTGGACTGTAAGTTCTATTTATTTATTTTTACTATAATTCATTTTTTATTGATAAGAACCCTTAACATGTGCTCTATCTTCTCATATTTTATAAAGTACAAATGGTATTGCTATCTGTAGATACAATATTGTACATCAGATTTCTAGAACTTATTCAACTTGCATAAATACATATTGGTGAGCAAGTCCCCCATTTCTCTCTCCCCCAAAACCCTGGCAACTAACATTTTATTCATTGCTTCCACAATTTTTACTATTTTAGATACCTCTCTTATCAGTGGAATCATGCAGTATTTGTCCTTCCATAACTAGTTTATTTCCCTTAGCATAACGTCCTCAAGATTTATCCTTGTTGCATATGGCAAGATTTCCTTCTATTTGAAGATTAATATTCTTTAGTGTGATATATAGATAGATAGATAGATGGATAGATAGAAACATAGATATAGATATATACCACATTGTCTTTATTCAATTATTCATTGAGGGACAACTAGTTTTTATCCACCTCTTGGCTATTGTGAATAATACTGCAATGAATATGGGAGTGCTAACGTATCTCCCAGATTCTTATTTCAATTGTTTTAGATAAATTCCCAGAAATAAGATTGCAAGATTGTATGGCAGTTCTATCCATCATAACAGGTGTGAAGTAATATCTCATTGTGAATTTGATTTGAAATTCTCTGATTATTAGTGATTCTGAGCATTTTTTTCCTATACTTTTTGGCCATTTTCATGTCTTCTGTGAAAAAGCGTTTATTCACATCTTTAGCCTCTATTTTAATTGGGTTATAAGGTTTTTATTACTATTGAATTGTAATAGGCTTATATATATTTTGAAAATTAATCCATAATCAGATATGTGGTTTACAAATACTTTCTTTTATTTGTAGATTGCATTTTGATTTGGCTGATTGTTTCTTTTGCTGTAAAGAATCTTTTTAGTTTGATGTAGTCCCACTTATCTATTTTTATTTTTGTTGTCTATGCTTTTGGTGTCATATCCAATAAATCATTGCCAAGATCAATGTCATAATGATATTTCTCTGTGTTTTATTCTAGAAATGTTAACATTTCAGATCTTATATTAAAGTTTTTAATTCAGTTTGAGTTAATTTTTTGTATGGTATAAACATCCATATTTATTTATTTATTTATTTGCATATAGATATTCAGTTTTTTCAGCATCATTTTTTAAAGAAACTATTATTTCCCCACTATGTACTCTTGGCAGCCATAATGTTGATCAGTTCACCATGTATGTGTGGGTTTATTTCCAGGTTCTATATTCTGTTTTGTTCATCTATATGTCTGTCTTTATGCCAACGCCATACTGTTTTAACTAATGTTGCCTTGTAACACATTTTAAAATCAGAAAATTTGATGCTTCCAGCTTTTTTCTTTTTCTTTTAAAAAAGATCGCTTTTCCCCCTGACTCAGCACAGAGCAAATGGGCAATAAACTTCAACTCCTGTGATATGTTGGGTCCTGCCAGATCTGAAAGACAAGCTAGAAGCCAGTTCTTTGTGTATTAGCTGGCAAAGTTGGAATATTACATGTGAAATCCAAAATCTTCATTAAAAATTTTTTAAGACATACACGGAAATAAAAAGAAAAGCAATTATTTTAAATCCAGTGCAATGCTTCACAGAAGCTTAGGTAAATACATAAGGTAAGGCCTCATGGGAAGACTAGAAATTAGGCCTTAAATAAATGGAAATTTGGAAATTCATCAGTGTTTAAAGCACATCTAGTTGCTTGATTATCTTGGGGATTTCTCTTATATCTTCAGCAATAAAGTTTTATTTATTTTTTACTCATTTGCCACTACTAATCAACTACTTTACTTTACAACTGTAAATCTTTTTATCTACTTATTCATGACTTTTTTTACTTATGACTTTTATGGCTTTGTGGTTTCTTCTTAGTGTTTTCTTCATGTCCTACTTCATTTTCTTCACTCTACAAGATAATGAATTCTCTTTAGAAATGATTTAACTAATTCATGTAGTCACTGTAACCACAACTGGACAAGGCTTTTTTTTTGTGGGGGGGCGGGTAGATCAAATTATATTTTGTAGGCCTGTCAATATATTGGTTGTCTTTAGGCCAGATAACTATCACTGTTTAAAACCAGTGACTTTGTGGATGTTCAGTGGTTGTCAATATAAGATAATTAGCAGTAGTTTAGAAATTTGGAAATGATTTTTGTCATATCCACAAGCTACTCATGGTCCAAAATAGTATAATTCCAACTAGTGCATTTCTCTCACTAACCACAGTTCCTCTCCATTAAATAAAAAATTTCTCATCTTATTTTTTGTTTGATTTTAGAAACAGGTGTACTTTTTTTTTATTTTCACCCCTTCTTATAAAGTATCAAGTTTTTTTTAGATTATCTCTTTCTTATAGTACCTTATTAAATTACAGCACCAAATAATCAAATTGTGGTTCCAATATTCTGAGTTCCACCAATTCATCTAAAGAAACAAATTTGTTACATAATTATCACCCATCCAGGTTATTTCAGGAGACAGTTTTACAAAAATATTTCATAATTGCATATATAGGCTGCCATTTTTTCATTGTCTAATGACAGTTTCTTTGCCACCCACAATCTGGCCCCTAAGCCAATGACATATCCAGTGACACACACACACACACACACACACACACACACACAAAACACACACTAAGTAGTTTGTTATGGCAGCACCCCAGATATTAATATTCATATTAGTAAGTTTTGCTGTGATGCTAACAACTCTAAATTCTTAGGCGTTTATCACAACAGAGGTTTATTTTCTTACCACATTTTATGTTGGCGTATATTGGCTGCAGCTCTACTTTCTATTTCTTTTTTACAATATTCAATCTATCAAAGCAGCTCCTATCTGGAAAATTACTTTAGACATATTGTTATGGAAGATCAAAAAAGGAAACCGAGCTGGCAAAAACATGCAATCACTCCTGAAGCAACTAGTTTAACTTTACGTCTGCTCACATTTAATTGGCCAAATATTGCCAAGCCCAACATCAATGAGGTGGGGAAATATACCACTCCCTCAGGAAGTACTGAAAGACCCATGGCAATGGATAGAGATATATAATCCTTATAGGAAGACAGAGTAAATAGTAGAAAATAATATAAACTACCACATTCTGCTGTAAAAGGTATACAATCCCGCAATTTTACCAAAAAGAACAGAAGAGTGAATCAACATCCATTTTACATTTATTTTCATCTTCTTATGGCCTTCAATAACCTCTTATTTTGAACATAAAGAAGTTTACATAGATGTGAACATATCTTCATGAATCGTAGACATTTCTGAATACATTTAATAGGCACCTGAGACCAACAGTCAATTTTCTGTGTCTAGTGATAAAATCATGTAACACTAAAACCCTGGGGGGGGGGGATATAGATGTTCTTTTCACTATTTTGTGATAATTGAAAAACAGTAAAAATAGTATTATAGAAGGCTAGATCGTGAGGTGAAGAAGAGAAAGTGTAAATGAAAGAGACAAATGAAAGTAAATTTATTGCAGGAAGTGAAACTGACAATCTGAACCTGGGTAAGGAAGCCACCAAATACTACCTACCTACTCATGTTAGCCACTGTGCTTGGCATTTTCAAAAGTTCTAGTCAACTAGCACAAGAATATATCATTCCTTTCAGGTTGGCAATCAGGAAGCCATTATTTGTAAGTATAATTTATCCAAACCCAATTTAAAAGCCAGGTTTGTCTCCTTCCCATATCTTCTTCTATATAGCTCAAGCATAATTGTACTGCAATATATATGTTTTTATGGATGTGGATAGAGTTTTTATGACATTGATGGTTATCCTGAGTTACACTTGCCTTAATAATTCCCTGGATATAGGGTATGGCAATCACCTCAGCATTATAAATGCTCTGAATTAGAGATAACTTTAAGCCAGTAAGAGAAATTTACTGTGAAGACTGACAAGAAAGTTCCAGCTTTCAGTTCAATTTAGCAAGTATGTATTAAATATCTACCATGTTCTAGTCACTTGTGAAATGAATAAGACACAGTCTTGGAGCTTAAATTATTTAGAGTCTTTGGAAGAGGAGGAGGAACAATTCTTTCTGACTATTTTGGTGAACTTCTGTAATACTTACATAAAGATCACATATAAAAATATCCAACACACTTGCTTGTAATAGATGCCTATTGAGTTAATTGCCAATACTCAACCGTCACTTTTATCTCAAATAAACATACCTCTATTTCACACTTTACAAGAATGTAGAAAATCAAGACAGAAGGTCAAACTCTAAAAGAGGCATGAAGAGGTTAGTCTCACTTTATTTACATTTCAATAATGAAGGAAGATTAGGAATATATGCATCTTTCTACCTATGACCAAGTTAAGTTTTGAGGACTGTAAATGTATTTGTCTCAAGTCCAAAATTATACTATACAAGGGAGCACTGAAACCAGCTATTACTTATCAGGCATGGCTAATTTATTTCACTCCAATGTACAGTTCTTTATATAAAATATTTTAGGTTGAAATTTAAAAAAGAGGATGTTCTGTACCTCAAAAGGGGTGATAGACATAAAAAGTCAAAAAATGCAAAAATCACAAAATTATTTTGTAGCAGTATAAAAATACTCTTAAAAATTAAAATTTCTGTGGTTGTAGCAAGAGATTGTGAATCATCAGGTACTGAAACATCAGGTACTAGAAAAACAAGAAGCTTTAGTTTAATGCTGAACAAGTTTTACAAGAAAAACTGAAACAGAACATAGAGAGCATGTGGCAGCTGGTGGCAACTTCTTAAACTTGAACAGAGTAATGACAACAAACAATTTGGTAAACTGAGCACGAAGATAATGTGAGAAGAAATTAAGCATGGTCTTGATCTAATACATTGTAATTAATAGATAATATTTTTGCCCAAGCCTAAATTCCTAGAGCTGTAACAGTGGTTGATCATTAGACTAATTTCAACTAATTTAAGTTCAGAGTCCCAAATTATTTAATTAAGAGTTTTAGATTTTCCACTTCTCCATGGGCCATACAAAGTATGACCGACCCTAAAGCACCACTAACGTAGGGGCTATAATAAAACTAGTTATTTATTTATAGTCACACGTAATTTACTTGTGGGTAAGTGACAGAGACCTCACAGGTAACTATTGATATAAAAACTGTGATACATTAAATTACAACAAGAATAAATAGGTTGTAGCATTGAGTTTTATTTAATCACTGAAAGCAGAAAGAAGAGTCTCAGAATGGCTCATCCTAGCCACTGATGAAAATACATAATCTTAGATTTTTTTTTAAGATACACAAAATCAACAAACTCTTAGCTAGACTAACAAAAAAAAGAATACACAAATAAATATGATCAGAAACAAAAGGAGACATTATAAAAGATATGACCAAAATACAAAGGATCATAAGAAGCTACTATAAACAATCAGACACTAACAAATTGAATTACATAGAAAAAAAATAGATAAATTCCTAGACACATACAGCCTAATAAGATTGGATCATAAAGAAATATAAAATCTGAACAGATCAATAATGAGTAAAGAGATTGAACCAGTAATAAAACACTTCCCATGAGGGGAAAGCCCAGGACCAACAAATTGTTTATCTGCTGAATCCTACCAAAAATTTAAATAACTAATACTAGTTCTTCTCAAACAAATTCAAAAAATTGAAGTAGAGAGCGTATTTCCAACTCATTTTACAAGGCTAGCATTGTAAAATGATGTTATTTATGGGTCTGTCATGTATAGCCTTTGTTGCACTGTGGTACACTCCTTCTATATTTAATCTTCCTCTATATTTAATCTCTTTCATGATATGAAAGCCAGAGAGACACTACCAGAAAATTATAGGTCAATATTCCTGATAAAGGTAGATGCAAAAATCCTCAACATGATATCAGCAAAACAAATTCTAAAACACATTAAAATGATCATTCACCATGATCAAGTAGAATTTATGGCTGAAATGCAAGAATGGTTCAACCTACAAAAATAAATAAATGTGATACACCACACTGACAGAATGAAAGATGTAAATCATATAATCATCTTAATAGATGTAGAAAATGATTTAACAAAATTTAACATTCTTTTATCATAAAACTCTCAACAGATTAAATATAGAGGAAGTGTACCACAATGCAACAAAGGCTATACATGACAGACCCGTAACTAACATCATTTTCAACAGCAAAAATTTGAAAGCTTTTTTTCTAAAAATAGGGATAAGACAAAAATGCCCACTCTCGCAACTTCTTTTTAACATAGTGCTAGAAGTCTCAGAGCAATTAGGCAAGAGAAAAAAAAAATTCTAATAGAAAAGTAAGAAGTGAAATTGTCTCTATTTTTTAATGACATGATATTTAATATAAAAAACACTAAAAAAAAACTTCACCAAAAAACTGTTAGAACTGATAAATGAATTCAATGACATTTCAGGATATGAAATCAACATACATAAATTAGTAGCATTTTTATATAACACACTCTATGAAAGGGAAATTAAGAAAAAAAATTGCATTTACAATAGAAACAACAAAAAGAAAATACATAGGTGTAAATTTAACCCAGGAAGTGAAAGACATGTATACTGAAAACTATAAAACACTGATGAAAGACATTAAAGAAAACATGAATAAATGAAAAGATATCTTATATTCATGTATTAGAAGAATTAGTATTATGAAAAAACCCACATTACTCAAAACAATCTACAGATTCATCTGTAGATTTCTATCAAAATCTCAATGCCATTTTCACTGAAATTGAATAAAAAATTCTTAAATATGTATGAAACCACAAAATACATGGAATAACCAAAAAACTCTTGAACAAAAAGAATAAGCTTGAGGCTAGAAGCATCAAATTACCTGATTTCACAAAATAATATGAAGTAATTATAATCAAAATGGCATGGTATTGGCATAAAAACAGAAATATCAACCAATGGAATAGGATAGAAAATAGAAATTATGTTTGGATCATAATTTTATTTTATTTTTATTTTTATATATTTATTTTTTTTGAGATGGAGTCTAACTCTGTTGCCCAGGCTGGAGTGCAATGGCACAATCTCAGCTCACTGCAACATCCACCTCCCAGGTTCAAGCGATTCTCCTGCCTCAGCCTTCTGAGTAGCTGGGATTACAGGTGCCTGCCACCACGCCCGGGTAATTTTTGTATTTTTAGTAGAGATGGGGTTTCACCATGTTGGCCAGGCTGGTCTCAAACTCCCGACCTCAGGTGATCTGCTCACCTCGGCTTCCCAAAGTGCTGGAATTACAGGTGTGAACCACCATGCCCTGCTTGGATCATAATTTTAAAAGACATAATCCTGAACACCAAATGAGGACAAACCAAAATATCAAAATTCCTAAAGTCTAAAGTACATAATGTCCAAAATCTCCAAAGTTAAAATCATAGGATAATTGCACCATGTTAAGTGGAACTATGACCTTGTTTTTGTCTTTATTTGGAAATTAAGCATAGTAGTTTAAGGAGATGCATATGGGTGCCAAGTTGGCAAGGGGTCTATATGTGGATTTAATTTTAGGTGTTGAGGAAAGAGGTGGAGCAAGATAGCAAAACAGAAAGCTCCACCGATCATCCCCCCTGCAAGAACCCCAATTTAACAACTATCTATACAAAAAAAAACCTTCATAAGAGCCTAAAATCAGGTGAGCCCTCGCAGAACCTGGTTTTGTCTTCATATTGCTGAAAGAGGAACTGAAGAGACAGAACAGTCTTGAATCACCGATGCCAACCCTCCCCTACTCCTCACAGGAGCAGTGAGGTGCAGAGAGTTTCTATGGGCACTGGGGGAGGGAAAATAGAGCAATTGCAAGACATTGAACTCAGTGCTGTTCTTTTAAAGCAGAAAGGAAAACCAGACCAAACCCAGTTGATGTCTGTCCACAGAGGGAACATTTAAACCAATCCTAGCCAGAGGGGAATCGCCAATCTCAGCAGTTGGAACTTGAGTTCCTGCAAACCTCACCAACAAGGGTTAAACTTATCTGGGTTTCTAAGTAAACACAGAAGGCATTCCAGGCCATGAGGACTTCAACTTTTAGGTAAGTATTAGTGCTGCTCTGAGCCCAGGGACAGTGAACTGGGGGGCATGAGACCTACTGAAACACCAGCTGAGGCAGCTAAGGAAGTGCTGGCATTTTCCCTCACCTAACCCCAGGCTGCACAGCTCACAGCTCCAAAAGGGACCCCTTCCTTTCACTTAAGAATAGAGAGAAGACTGTAGAATACTCTGTCTTGAACCATGGATACTAGCTCAGACACAGCAGGATAGGGCACTGGTCAGAGTCATGAGGCCCCTGTTTGAGGACCTAGCTCCCAGAATCATTTCTAGACACATCCCGGGCCATAAGAAAACTTGAAGCAAAGAAGACAGTCCTGACAGCACTAATCACTTGATAACTGAAGAGACTTTGAGCCCTAAATAACCAGCAGTCACACCCAGGTACCACATCAAGGGCCCTGAATGAGTGTATGAAATTTCATGCCTTCAGGTGAGACTTAGCACATTACCAGCTGTGGGGGCTTTTCCTTCTGCTTGAGAAAAGCAGAGGAAAAAGTAAAGGAGATTTTGTTTTGCACCTTAGGTATCAGCTCAGGCACAGAGTGATAGAGGAGAAAACAAGCTCTTGGATTTCCACTTCTGGACCTGCCCTGGGCCAGAGAAGAGCCTCTTTACTAAGGGGTGAGTCCCAGGTCAGGCATCATTCACCAAAAGCTGACTTAAGAGCTCTCGGGCCTCAAGAGAACACCGTGGTACTCTCATGGTATTCCCTGTGGCCTTTGGTGCCAGTGGCTGCAGGGTGAAGATCCTAGACTTCGGGAAGGGAAGGGAAGAGTGGGAAGGACTGCATCCTGTGGTTTTAGTGCCACCTCAACCACAGTACAATAAAACACCAGGTGGACTTCTAAATATTGTGATTCTGGTTCCTGACCCCAGACAGTACCTGTGGACCCACCTGGAGTCTGGGGGAACTCACCTCCCTGAAGGAAAAGACAAGCCTAGTTGGCTTTGCCAATTGCTAGCTGCTAATTGTAGAGCTCCAGGGCCTTGACCAAACATAGGCAGTAACCAGAAAATAGTTACAGCAGGCCATGGGTGAGACCCATTGCTTTGCTGGCTTCAGGTCAGACCCAGCAGAATTCACAGTAGTGATAATTGCTTCACTCCATTCCTAGCATTATGTGGCTAAGAACAGAGAGAGATGATCCATTTGCTTGGGATAAAGTAAAGATAAAGAACAAGAATCTCTGTTTGGTAATCAAGAGACTTTTTCTAGTTGTTGTCCAAGAATACCAAGACTATCTCTACAAGTCTGCAAGAGCCACAGCATTACAAGGCTTGTGGTGCCCCCTAAAGCAGACACAGTTTACATGAGAACACCTAAGTACTTTCAAATATCTGGAAAGCCTTCCCAACAACGATGGATAAAAACAAGCCCAGACTGCAAACACTACAATAAATACCGAACTCTCCAATGCCTAGAAACATCAACCAGGAAAACATGACCTCACCAAATGAACTAAATAAGGTACTAGGGACAAATCCTGAAGAAACAGAGATATATGACCTTTCAAACAAAAAATTCAAAAAAGCTGACTTGAGAAAACTCAAAGAAATTCAAGACCACACAGAGAAGGAATTTAGAATTATATCAGATGACTTTAACAAATAAATTTTAAAATGTTTTAAAAATAAAGTAGAAATTCTTGAGCTGAAAAATGTAATTGGCATAATGAAGAATGCATGAGTTTTTTAATAGCCAAATTGATCAAACAGAAGAAAGAATTTGTGAACTTGAAAACAGCCTGTTTAAAAATACATAATCAGAGAAGACAAAAGAATAAATAGAAAACAATGGGGCATAGCCTAAAAAGGGCCAATTTAAGAGTTATTGGCCTTAAAGAAAAGATAGAAATTGGGGTAGAAACGTTATTCAAGGGGAGAGTAACAGAGAACTTTCCAAATCAAGACAATTATATCAATATCTCAATTCAAGAAGGTCATTGAACACCAAGCAGATTTAAACAAAGAAAGACTACCTCAAGGTGTCTACTTATCATACTCCCAAAAATCAAGGATAAAGAAAGGATCATAAAAGCAGCAAGAGAAAAGAAAAAAAAAACATAAAAAGGAGCTTCTGTACATCTGGCAGCAGACTTTTCAGACAAAACCTTATTGGCCAGGAGTGACATGACATATTTAAAGTGTGGAAGAAAAAAACAAAACAAGCAAACAAACAAAAAAAACAAAAAAAAACCACTCTTACCCTAGAATAATATATCTAGAAAAATGCCCCTTTAAAACCTGAAGAAGAAATGAACACTTTCCCAGACAAATAGCTGAGGGATTTCATTAAAACCAGACCTATCCTACAAGAAATGGTAAAGGGAGTACTTCAATCAGAAAGTAAAGGATGTTAATGAGCAAAAAGTAATCATAAGAAGGTACAAGACTTGCTGGTGGCTGGTGGCTCACACCTGTAATCCCAGCACTTTGGGAGCCTGAAGCAGATGGATAACTTGAGGTCAGGAGTTTAAGACCAGCCTGGCCAACATGGTGAAACCCCGTCTCTTCTTAAAATACAAAAAAAAAAAAAAAAAAATTAGATGTGGGTGGTGACGCATGTCTGTAGTCCCAGCTACTTGGGAGGCTGAGCCAGAAGAATCACTGGAACCTGGGAGGCGGAGGTTGCATTGAGCCGAGATTGTGCCACTGCACTACAGCCCGGTGACAGAGTGAAACTCTGGAAAAAAAAAAAAAAAAAAAAAAAAAACACCTTACTGATAATAGTAAGTACACAGAAAAACACAGAATGTTGTAACACTGTTGCTGAGATGTGTAAACTACTCTTATCCTAAATAGAAAGACTAAGCGACAAACCAACAGAAAAATAAGAACTACAACGGTACAAAAATATGTAAATAGAAACAATAAAAAAGTGAAAGGATTAAGTTAAGACACAGGGTTTTTATGAGGTTTGTTTTTGGCTTATTTGTTTCTTTGTTAATGCCAATGGTGTTAAGTTGCTATGAGTTAAAATAATGAGTTATTTACAAGCTAAGTGGTAACCTGAAAGCAAAAAACATAAAATGAATACACAAAAATAAAAAGCAAAAAAACTTAACTATATCACCAGAGAAAAATCACCTTCACTAAAACATAGAAAAAAAAACAGGAAGGAATGAAAGAAGGAAAAAAGACCACAAAACAATCAGAAAACAAGTAACAAAATGTAAGGAATGAGTTTTTAGTTATCAATAATAACATTGAATGTAAATGGACTAAACCCTCAAATCAAATGCAAGGACTGGCTGAATGAATAAAAAAACAAGACCTATTGATCTATTGCCTACAAGAAACACACTTCACCTATGAAGAGAAACACAGACTGAAAATAAAAACATAAAAAAAATTCATGTCAATGGAAACCAACAAAGAGCAAAAGTAGCTATACTTATATCAGACAAAATAAATTTCAAGACAAAAACCATAAGATCAAAAAACAAACAAACAAAAAAGATAAGAACAGACAAGGAAGATCACTATATAGTAAAAAAGGTCAATTCAGTAAGAAGATATAGCAATTTAAAATATATATGTACCCAACATTGGAGCACCCAGATATAAAAAGGAAATATTATTAGAGGTGAAGAGAGAAATAAGCCCCAATATAGTAATAGCCAGACACTTCAACACCTCACTTTCAGCAAGAGACAGATCTTCCAGACAGAAAATCTACAACAACAACAACAACAACAACAACAACAGCAACAACAAACATTGAACTTAATCTTCACTATACACCAAATGAATCTAATAGATATTTCCAGAATATTTTGTGCAAAGGCCACAGAATACACATTCTTTTCCTCAGCAAGTGAATTATTCTCAAGGCTAAACCATATGTTAGGTCATAAAATAAGTATTAAAACATTCAAAAAAATGAAATAATATAAAGTGTTTTCTCTGACCACCATAAAATAAAACTAGAAATCAATAACAATAGTAATTTTGGAAACCATACAAATTCATGAAAATTAAACAATATGTTCATGAATGATCATTGAGTCAATATAAAAATTTAAAAAAATTTAAAAATTTCTTACAATAGATAATAATGGAAATACAACATACCAAAATCTATGAGATACAGCAAAAGCAGTACTAAGAGTGAAGTTTACAGGTATAAGTGCCTAGATCAAAAAGAGCAAAAATTTCGAGTAAAGAACCTAATGATGCATCCTAAAGAATTGGATCATAAGGAGCAAATTAAACCCATCATTAGCAAAATAAAAACAAAATAAGGAAGAGAACAGAAAAACATAAAATTGAAATAATTCAATACAACAGATTAATAAAACAAAAAGTTGTTTTTATGAAATGTTGAAAAACTGACCAATTTTTAGCCAGACTAAGAAAAAAAGGGAGAGGATCCGAATAAATAAAATCAAAGTGAAAAAAAAGCCATTACACTTGATGAAGCAGAAATTCAAAGGAATCTTAGAAACTGCTGTGGGCAATTACATGCCAATAAATTGTAAAATCTAGAAAAATGAAAAAATTACTACAGTCATACCACCTACCAAGATTGCACAAGAAGGAATGCAAAACCTGAACAAACTACTAACAAGTAATGAAATTGAAGCAATAATAAAAAGTCTCCCAGTAAGGAAAAGACCACTATCCAATGGCTTTACTGCTAAATACTACCAAAAATTAAAAAAACTAATTTCAATCCTACTAAAATTATTCAAAAAAAAGAGGAGGAAAGAATATGTTCGAACTCATTTTATGAGGCAAGTATTACCCTGACACCAAAACGAGTAAAAGACACATAAAAATAAAACCTAGAGGCCAATATCTCTGAGGAATATTCATGCAAAAATCCTCACCAAAATAATAGCAAATGGAATTCAACAATACATTAAAAAATCATTCATCGTGACCAAGTGCGATTTATCACAAGGATGCAAGGCTGGTTCAATACACACAAATCAATCAATATGATACATCCTATCAATAGACTAAAGAATGAAAACTATATTATCGTCTTAATTGGTGCTCAAAAAACATTTGAGAAAATTCAACTCCTCATGGAAAAACCCTCAAAAATTGGGAATAAAAGGAAAATACTTCAACATAATAAAAGTCATATATGACAGATCCAAAGCTAATATCATATTAGATAGGGAAAAACTGAAAGCCTTTCCTCTAATATCTGGAGCACAAGAATGTCCACGCTCACCACTGTTATTCAACACGGTACTGGAAGTCCTAGCTAGAGCAGTCAGACAAGAGAAAGATATAAATGGCATCCAAACTGGAAAGGAAGAAGTCAAAGTATCCTTCTTTGCAGATGATGATCTTATATTTGGAAAACCCAAAAGTCTCCACCAGAAAAAACTATTGGAAATAATAAACAAATTCAGTAAATTTGCAAGATATTAAATCAACATAAAAATCAGTATCATTTCTATATGCCAGTGAACAAACTGAAAAAGAAATAAAAAAGTAATCCCAATAGCCATACATAAAATTAAATACCTAGGAATTAAAGATCTCTACAATGAAAACTATAAAACACTGATGAAAGAAATGGAAGAGGACAATAATAAATGAAAAAATATTTCATATTCCTGGATAGGAAGAATCAATACTGTTAAAATGTCCATACTACCCAAGACAATGTACAGGTTCAGTGCAATCCCTATTAATATATCAATGACATTTTTCATAGAAATAGACGAAAACAATCTTAAAATTTATATGAAACCATTAAAGGGGCCGGGCGCGTGTCTCATGCCTGTAAGTAATCCCAGCACTTTGGGAGGCCAAGGTGGGCGGATCATGAAGTCAGGAGTTCGAGACCAGTCTGGCCAACATAGTGAAAACCCATCTCTACTAAAAATACAAAAAATTAGCCGAGCGTGGTGATGTGTGCCTGTAATCCCAGCTACTCGGGAGGCTGAGGCAGGAGAATCACGTGAACCCGGGAGGCAGAAGTTGCACTGAGCCAAGATCATGCCACTGCACTCTAGCCTGGGCAACAGAACAAGACTCTGTCTCAAAAAAAAAAAAAGAAAAAAGAAAAAAAGAAATAGAAAGAATGAATAAGACCTACTATTTAATAGCACAGCAGGGTGACTATAGTCAATAATAACTTAATTGTACATTTTAAAATAACTAAAAGAATATAATTGGATTGTTTATAACTCAAAGGATAAATGCTTGAGGGGATGGATACCCCATTCTCAGTGATATGTTTATTTTCTTTTTTTATGCCTGTATCAAAACATGTCATGTACTGATAAATATATAAATCTACTATGAACCCACATAACTTAAAAATTAAAACAATTAAAAATAATAACAACTGTGGATATCAACTTGACTGAATTAAGAAATACTTAGAAACCTGGTAAACCATTACTTTGAGTGTGTCTGTGATGGTTTTTCCAGGGGAGAGTAGTCTGTGAGTCTGAATGGATTAAGACCCACTCTCAGTGCTGCCAAGAAGCATCCAATCAGCTGGGGCCCAGAGAGAACAAATACAGAAGGCAAATTTGTCTGTTTCTGAGAGCTGGGACTTTTATTCTGCTGCCTTGAACATCAGAACTCCAGGCTTGTCAACATTTTTTATCCACGATTTACACCAGTGGACCCCTTGGTCTTTACACCTGGCTTCCTATGGCTTTTGACCCCAGACTGAGAGTTACATTATTGGCTTCCCTAGTGCTCAGCATAAAAATGTATAAGCTTCCTTAATAAATGAAGATATGCATTTGTACATCTGCATTTGTGAAAGACAAACTTTCCAGACGTCTTGGCTCTTTAGGTGACTGCATAAGTGGTAGTGGCCCAACATGGTTTTTGATCAATCTCATCAAAAGACTTACTTTGTCCACCACAGTATTTCAGAAGATCACAGTTATAAAGCTGGGTACACAAAATTACTATAATGGTTAGTATTAAGTGTCAACTTGATTGGATTGAAGGATGCAAAGTATTGTTGCTGGGTGTGTCTGTGAGGGTGTTGCTAGAGGAGAATAACTTTGGAGTCAGTGGACTGGGAGAGGCAGATCCGCCCTCAATCTGGTTGGACACCATCCAATCGGTTGCCAGCATGGCTAGGAAAAACAGGCAGAAGAAGGTGGAATTAGCAGACTTGCTGAGTCTTCTGGCCCTCATCTTTCTCTGGTGCTGGATGCTTCCTGCCCTCGAACATCAGACTCCAAGTTCTCAGGCTTTTGGACTCTTGGACTTACATCAGTGGTTTGCCAGGGGCTCTCAGGCCTTCGGCCACAGATTGAAGGCGGCACTGTTGGTGTCCCTACTTTTGAGGTTTGGGGACTCAGACTGAGCCACTACTGGCTTCCTTGTTCCTCAGCTTGCAGATGGCCTACCGTGGGACTTCACCTTGTGATGGTGTGAATCAAGTCTCCTTAATAAACTTGCCTTCATATATACACATATCTTATTAGTTCTGTCCCTCTAGAGAACCCTGACTAATACAATTACTAACCACAGTAATATGCATTTATGCCTTTCACTTTTTGATCTATTTTTTTATAAACAGAATTTGTCTGCTCATAACTGTTGTGTCAGTGCAACTGTTGTTAGCATACTGTTTATGCTTGCAAAGAAATGTATGTTTTTATTGTCTATTTTATTGTGTAAAGTAGTCTATAAAGTATTCTTTTGTGTTTTTATATGTTTCTCAAAAAAGTCTGCTTAAAATGTAAATAAATGTCTTTAAAAGAAAATTTTAAATCACTCTTTATAAAACTATATTTACTGATTTTGATCTTTCAGGATTTCAACATTTGAGATTGTAGTCTTTAGGATTGTGTCTTTTGGAATTATTATCTCCCTCAGAAATAAACTCACACATTTATAGTAACTAATTTTTTACAAAGGTGTCAAGAACATAGATGGGGAAAAAACACTCTCTTCTATAAGTGGTGGTGAGAAAAGTGGATATCTACTTGCAGAAAATGAAAATAAAATTTTATCTTATACCATATACAAAAATTAACTCAAAGTGAATTAAAGACTTAAATATAAGACTTGAAATTGTAAAACCACAAGAAGAAAAACCCAATGACATTAGTCTGTGCAATGACTTTTGCATAACACAAAAGCACAGACAATAAAATCTAAAATAGACAAATGGGATAACATCAAATGAAAATGATTCTGCATAGTAAAATAACAATTATCAAAGTGAAGAGAGAGTCCACAGAATTGGAGACAATGTTTGGAAAGCATGCATCTGATAATGAGTTAATATCCAAAATACGTAAAGAACTCAAACACCTCAATACCAAGAAAACAACCCTATTTAAAAGAAGCACAAGAGACCTGAATAGACGTCTCTCAAAAGAAGGTATACAAATAGCCAATAAGTACATGAAAAACTGCTCAGCATAACTCATTATTAAGGAAATGCAAATTAAAACCACAATTAAATATCTCCTCACTCTGGTCAGAATGGCTTTTATCGAAAAGATTAAAGATAAGTGCTGGAGAGGATTCAGAGAAAATGACACTCTTATACATTGTTGGTGGGAACATAAATTAGTATAGCCATTATAAAAAATGGTATGGAGCTCCTCAAAAAACTAAAAACAGAGCTACAATGATCCCATTTGTGGGTGTATGTTCAAAGGAACTGAAATCAATATGTTAAGAAATATCTGCACTCCCATGTTTATTGCAGTATTGTCACAATAGCCAAAATACGGAAAAAATCTAGCTGTTTGTCAATGGGTGAATGGATTAGAAAGTGTGGTATATATACACAGTGGGATACTATTCAGCATTAAAAAAGCAGAAATTCTTTCATTTGAAACAACATGAATTAATTTGGAGGACATTATGCTTTCTGTGCCTAAGTGAAAAAAAAATCTCACTTCTATGTGGAAGCTAAAATAGTTAAACTCATGGAAGTAGAGAGTAGAATGATGGTCACCAGAGTCTGGGGAAAGTGGGGAGGAAGAGAATGGGCAGTTGTTGATCAAAAATTACAAAGTTTCAGATAGGAGAAATAGGTTTTGAAATCTATTTTATAACAGGGTGACTACCGTCAATAATAATGTGTTATATATTTCAAAGTAGCTAAAAGAGTACATTTCAAATGTCTCACCATAAAAATGATAGGTAAGCCAGGTGATGAATATGTTAATTAGTTTTATTCAATCATTCCACATTGTATACATATAGCAAAACATCACATGAACCCTATAAATGTATACAATTATAATTTTTCCAATCAAAAATAAATTATGATAATAAAATTATCATAAATAAATTATAATACAAAGAAAATGAATAATCCACTTAGCCATATCTTGATTATCACATATGTAATAAACAGCATTAACAAAATGTCATAGAGCATTATAAAATAACTATCTCTTTTTTGGTGTCTATATTAACACAGTCTCCTGATTTTCCCTTTGTTTATGGTCACTGGTTTAGGTTTCATTGGAGGCTCAAGCACTGCTATTTGATCACTAAATGCTGGCAGGGTTTGTAAGCACTCAAGTGGGCAGTTTAGGCCATAGTGTCACAGATGGAGCTCCAGCCACAATGTATTTAGTCTCCATCAGTGCCCAAAGGGGATGTATCTGGTGGCTGCCTCAAGTAACTTATCTGCCCAAACTCCAAGAGACTGACACACCTCAGTGGTGGTTTCCTGATGCCATGGATTCCCAACAGTATTTGTATGGGATTCCCACGAGTGTATGTATGGGATTTGAGGACACCTCCAGTTACATCAGACTAGCAGGCTCCAAACGTCTCCCAAAGGCAGCGTCTGAGTAATAGCTTGTATAATGGTCTCCAAGGCCTGGTTCTGCAAAGGGCTCCTTTCAAAACTGGCATTCAACTTGTCATAGTTCATTGTCAGTTTTCATATCTTGGACGCCTTTTTGATTGGACAAATTGGGCTGTTACATTGTGACAGGTGGTTTTTCACATGCCTGTGTGTAGCAAATCCTAAATTTAAAAAGTAATGTTCCTATTTCTTCCTTGTATGTGGTATTGCTTTTGTTGAATAACTCATTGGGGCTTGGGTAACTTATGTGGCAGGTGAAAGTGGATACAATCGATTATTGTGGTCTTAATTTTTTTGCTGGCATTAGAAATACCCCTTCAGGTGGCAGTAATATTTTGTGCAGCAAGGAGCCAGAATGTCAACATATATAATGTTCTTAGTGGTGGGAACAATGATTACCAGATTAGCAGTACTCAAAATGGCCCAAAGGGCCCCATCTATAAAATGCATAAACACCTATCTGTCAGAGTCACTGTTTTCATGCCAACCACCACCTCCCCATCCCCCGCCAATGCCAAAGCTTAATCCTACCCTACTGGGGAGCTAGAAGTATCTTCATGAAGAAACAAGTGTCCAAGAGACCCAAAAACGTCTAAATTCCTTCTTTCTCCATTTCATACTAATAGGGGTATAGAGCCCCTAGTTCCTGGTAGATACCTGAAGAACTTGTCTTCATTCCTACCTGGGTGTTTGGCCCAAAACCTTTAAGTCTGCAATAAGCCTTCATCAAACTGATGAAAAAAAATGAGGCTGCATTGTTCTTCATTGGCTTTGGTCTATATCTGTTCTTTCAAAACTTCATTCTCAGGAAAACAATCTATTTCAACAGTTTCAGTTTTTGCAACACCATTGGCAGTTTTGCATTGAGGGAAAACAGATCTTATTTGATGTCTGCAAGAAACATGGACTATAGGCTAGGTGGAGCTCCCTGCATGGGGGCCCCTTACTTCCCCTAGACATTACCTTTGACCCCTGGGATATCATGGGGATTGATGCTATATCTTATTCATCGCTGTGCAGCCAGAGGGAGGTCATCGCCATAGTCTATCACCCTCTGCCTCTTATAGCCTCCCCCATCCCTGCTGCCCAGCCAGCATCAAACTGGTACAATAGGGCTAAGGAGCCATTCCATGTCTACCATATCATAGTATGTGCTACTGAAGACCCTGCTCATTGTGCAAAACAGCCAAGCAAGTGGCATTTGTTGCCTATTAACATGAACAGAAGTCTGAGCATTTCTGTTCACTGCAGCTTGATATTGGGGTTTCCAAGGATAACACGGTACAGTTAAGCACTGGATGAAAGAATATTTAACCCACATAGAGAAGAGACACGGCAAGACCAACTTCAGTAGTGGGTATCAGCCCAGTATGGCCGGTGAGTCCCTCCTAGAAGCCAAAGCAGGGATATTGGCCTGCACACACTCCCCTTGTGCTGCAGCAGAAGAGCCACATTCCCCCTTGTAGGAATCAGATCTAGTAGTAGGATTGGGCAAATGCCATATGACACATATTAGCAGAACAAAGGAATACATGTTGAGTCTGAAACAGAGAAAGGTATTCCCAAACAAGGTGACAAATCCGGCAGAGACTGTGAGAACTCTTTATCTCTTGGTAAGGAAGTGTTTTGGGCCCAGGGCCTACTTCTATGTAACTGAGAGGGAGTTTAAAGACTGTTTACATAAGACAGCCTTTCCATTCACTACTTGATTAAAATTCCTAACTATAGCAGACCCTCTGTTTGTCACCTTTACCTTTCTCCCCTCCTCCAAAAAAAAAAAAAAAAACCATGAAAATCAAAGTGTCCAGGCTTGGCAAATGCCATCAAGGTGAAAAGTAATTTTAGTGCCCAGATGATCTGTCTGGGTTCCTCTTTACACTTACCATTTAATCTTTGAGTATGCTTTACTTTGTATTTCATCGATGCATTTATTTTTTATTTTATTCAGTATTTTAGATGTTTTTACTGAGAGTATCATTCAGAATACATAATGTGACATGCCACTCTAAAGAGTTGACATTTGACTCCAAAACCTTTACCAAATAATTTTAAATATTTCACTTAACAGTCTTGAAAGCAAAAAATTCCTAGTTCTTATGTGTAAAAATTACTGATAGCCCTCGTGGGGTGACAGAAACTAGCAGTAACAGATCTTTCACTGAAACTCAGCTTTTCTAAATGGCACTCCTTTTATACTATTAAAGCAGAAACTTTTGATGTGGTAATTTTGATAGGATGTGCATTTTAAATCAATAACCAGTGCAAGCTGTCATCAGCAACAAAACGGTCTTATTCTTCAACTATTTATTCTAACAAGACAAAGCAGGGCACTTACTGTGACATGTATTGTAATCTTACTTATGGTCTAGAAAAAAAAACTTGAATTAAAACTCCATAAGTTAGAAGGATTAAAGTTTTAGCATATTTCACAGATAATATATGAAAGTACTCTCACATAGTACACCTCTGCCATCATTTATCCACAAGGTGGCAATGAAAGCCTTCAAAATCAACCAATCTCATTGGGGCATAAGCAATTGGGTTGCAATCTTGATCAGATTTTAACGAGCGAGACATATAAATAAAGGCCTACTTGCCTCTTTAATAGCATGTTTTCTTAAAAGTGGCCCGTTACAAAAAAATACTGGGGACTAAAACTCCACATTTTTAAAGCATCACAAGAACAAAGGGAACAGTAAAGCAGATAATACCAAATTGCTTAGGTTGCTTTTATTTATTTTTCTAATACTTAGAAGATCTCATTCCTGATTATACTTGGTAAAATTTTGTCTTCTGGACATTCCCTGAATAAATAGTAGCGGTAACTGACTCATAATACCGTGATGTAGCCAAGAGTTATTCAACCTGGAACTTTCAAATCTATAGGGGATAATCCACAAAGTCTTGGCACTGTATAGTTATTCAAAGGATTGTTAACAAGTGAGCTTTCAAAACTTCATTTCTTTTCTCAATTCATCCCAGGGACTTAATCCCTCAACTGAAAGCACAAATAGAAACTTATAATCATGGGATTTTAGGGATAAAAGATTCTTAAAGGCTATATAATGGAGCATTTTTATTTTACAAGTTAGAGAACTAAAACAAAAATAAATAACATCATCAAGGCTACATACTGGCATTCCAAAACTGGGTGCCATAACAGAGTTATAGTCTTTTCAGCGGATGTGGCATTTGGTCAACACCAATTATCGATGAAAGCACAATGCTGATGTGAGAGTTTTTTTTTTTTTTTTAATTATCCGTTATTGCAAGGGAGAGAAAATAAGGCTATGTCAAAATGACATCAGGAAAATAACTGGTTAATAAAGCATTACAGTAAATGAACTCCCCACAAGGGGAAAAAATCAAGCTGGTTGCTCAGCATTTATTATGGACTTCATCACTAGTTGATGGATGCGATGTTAAAACAAATTTTTGGTGTTACTCCTTAATTAATAAAGGCAGGGTATTCAACTACCTTACACATAGCTTATACCTGCTTTTTCAGCCTGCTAGATTTTGAATTCTATAATGACAGCGTTGCATGTACCTTACTTACTAATGCATCCACAACATCTCAGCACATGTTGTCGCATAGAAGGTGCTTAAATATCTATTGAATAAAGACCAATAAGCATTTCACAATATAAAATCTATATAATGCCTATTAATTTGTCAAATAGATGACTGATTTTGACAAATATGTATACATCACTAAAAAGCATCAAATTATTACTTGTCTGCTTTGTGGTTATTATAATTAGAAATAAAATATTATGTTTTACAATTTTCAAATGTATTAGCATTTGGTATTTGCTTAATGAAGGCCTATGTCTTCTAGAACAACTAACCTTATCGAACCTAAGAGAGTTTTAAGAATAATTTTTACTTTCTTATTTTCTCTATTATAACCCAGTTACTTTGTCAAAAATTCTCCTGAAATGTCAACAATTAAGACAGTGTTTATGTAACATATTTGATTGTAGGGTGAAATTCTGCCAAGGCTGTCAACAACATGATCTTTCTCTTAAAAAAAAATACGGTCTTACAGGGGAAGTAGATATGTCAGTAAGTTTAGGCTAAAGTATACAACAATTCCAAACAAGTCTCAAAATTCAATGTGTTAACATTGTAAATGTTTATTGTTCACTCCTGGCACATGTCGGTTGGGTAGCATTTGTGTGGTATTAATGGAAATACCTTATAGACCCAAGTTGACAGACTAGTCCTAATCTTGAATTTGTTCGTAGCCATGCAAAAGAGAAAAATATTTATGGAATCACACTGGTAAATGGATGCTCTGGTCCAGAGTGACACATAATATCACTTCTGCTTACAGAAGTTCTTATGAAAATTCCAATTTTCAAGAGTTAGTCACAGAGTTCTACTCAACCACAAGGATGCCAGAAAAAACTACCAGAAGATAGAGTATAAGGAATGCTTAGTGATTCATGCTAATGACTACCCCAGTAGAAAATTTATAAGTTACAGAGTTCCTATGTGGCAGAGCAGAAAGTGACTTATGAAATTATTCTCAAATCCTTTATTTTATGAAAAATTTACTTATTTTATGACCAAAAGGGAAGAAGTGATCAATTAGAGATCACATAGTTAGTGATATATAAAACTAGGTCAAAACTAAGATTTCAATCCTAAAGCTATACTCTTTCTACCAACTAAAATTCAACATATCAGTATATATCACCAGTCAAATTCAATGGTTTTTCAATTCTGCTAGTAAAATTTACTTTATGTGGGTCATATTCACCTTTCGACAATTTCAAAACTTCATTTCTACCTCTAATCAAACAGACTTTATTTATCCAACCCCAAATATTTAACTCCTTCAAAGCTTTCTTTTCCAATGGACAATTCCATTAATCATACTGCCCTCCTTTTAACTTCCACCAAGCTTTTGCAAATTAATAGTGTCATAAAAAATGATCACTGACTTTTTCTCCCTCCCACTGAAGCAGAATATTAGAAGTATCTTAAAGCAAAGGCAGTTATCCACATGGAACAGAAATTCCTACCGTGAAGTGCTGGAGACTTTATTTCCTTTACTGAAAACCAGAACTACAAAGGCACCAGGTCACACCACGTGAATTAGGATGCAAAGCCAACAGCAGTAAAAGCCAGCTAGGGGGTCGCAAGTAATAAGAGTTGGACTGTTGGTTGGTGCAGTAGTAGTCTGAATCTGAATATAATCTCCGAACATCTCGGGGGTTGGCATTTGGGACAGAAATAAATTTAAAGGAACTCTTTGTTTTAATTTGCCACATACATGGAGAAAAATAGAAAGATAGAGTCTCCTGAGGCCAGAAAGTTACTGTTGGGCAGTGCATCAGGTGTTTCTATTTTCAGGTTCCCAGGGAAGGACTTATTAAACAACTATGTCAGCAGAGCCTGCAGGCCTGAAAAAGTGAATGCTTAATATACCACCCACGTAGGACTGTAGCATAGGCCTTGGGAAAAGCTGGCTCAGCATGTTTCTGTGCTGGGCTTAGGAGTTGTTTTTCTTCAGTGTACACCATCACCTGACTCTTACAGAAAGAATATGGAACAAAGTAGGCTCAATAGACTAGTTACCTTTATAGGCAACTCTACCCCACGAAATGCCTAAATTTTACTTTGTATGTATTTTCCAGTGAAGAGACAGTTTCAGAGCAATGTCCATTCTGGTTTCGCTGCCGTAGGATACAAAGGCAGTCAATAGTTTTTATTCTACTCTTGAGCCCGTTGCAGAAATACTCTTTAGGGCAAAGTTGTGTGTTACTCTTCCCATTGCCTCTCGAGCTTGAGAGGATATTGTTTTGGATTTCATGAAAAGGTCGTAAGTGGATCAATAACACTCAGAACAGGTACATGCATAGTATCTTCTGTGATTCTGTGATTTCTATCCTCTTTCAATCTCACCAGAGTAACTTTGTGTCTTTGCATGAGTGTCAAAGAAAGAGACGCACCAAGTTGGCCTTGACTGCTCTTTGGTAATTAACTCTTGCACAACAAGCTTCAGATGTTCTTTTGATGAATAATATTTCTGTGAGACTGGCTGCAAAAGGAGAGGTAAAATGCCTCCCTAACTCAGGTTTTCCTGATGACCCATAGCAACATGGCATAGCTGGAGTGGGATCTGCAGGCCTAATTCTAGCCAACTGTCTCCTTTGTGATTTGCTTCATTTTCATTTTGTTTGACAGTTCTGAAGCTGTGCTTTCTTACAGTCGAATGTACTGTGGCACCTAGCTGCTGACAGTAGTTTTTACTCACACAGAAAGCACAAACATACATAAGAAGAGAGTGAGTGAGAGTGAGAGCAAAAGCTAGAGAAAGAGGGGAGGAAATGTGTGAAGAATTGAAATGGCAAGTGCTATTACCGAAGAAAATGTGTGAAAAATGGAAATGACAAAGACCGTTACTGGCTTGTTTCATCGTCACATACAAACTGAAATGGCTACAGGCAATCAGAGTGTTTGAAAGGTGACAGGACAGAAGATCTAGCTATCAAAATGCATTCACCCCATTGGAATCTTACAAAGGTTAGAATCAAAGAAATTCTGGTTGAATTCTAAGTTTATATAGGTTACAACATCACAGTAAGAATGTCACAGAGGGGTATATGCTTTTCATCAAACAACAAATTGAAAATTTTTTAACTCTTAAGGACTGATTTTGCTTAACTACAAGTTATGCACTGATGGTAGTAGCTTCATAAATTTAGAAAAGTTCCAAAATAATGCTTAGAAAGAGTAGCTATTTAACTTCTCATTGAACAAAATTCAGTGAATTTCTTTGTATGTGGGGTGAATTCAAAATCTAAGTGAGGTAACTAAAGTATATCATACATATGAGGTGATGAATAAAGAAAAATAATTTTAAAGGAAGATATAAGTGCTGATGATAAATGAGAAGGATGGAAAGTAAACCAATATTTATTGTTATCACATATCACAATAAAAACTCCACTCTAAAACAGGATTATGGATGAAGGAATTCCCCACCTTATGAACTTATTTATATTAGAGCCACAGAAATAGCTCAAAACTATCCATTTTTATTTCATTGGTGGCTGAAATGATGCAAGGAATGTGGCAGCAAGCCCACCTGCGATTTCAATGACAATATTAGCAGGGGTACTCTAAATATCTTGGTGCAAAGAAACATTAACAACCTCTATGACATTCTGTTGGGTATAAAAATGGAAAGTGAGATTTAATGAATACAAGCTATTGATCAGAGGTCAGTGTCTACATTGATACTGTTAATAATAATATCAAAATAACAAAAAATAAACTAACCACTACCACCACTTACTGAGTTCCTACTATTTGCCAGGCACTTCTTTTTATATACATTATCTTGCAATAGCCTTATTTATCCCTGTTTTTAAGGCTGAATAAAGTACAACTCAAAGAGGTTAAGTACCATTCCCAGAGTCTTACATAAGTAACAGAACTGGAATATGAAAAGCCTCATGTTCTTTTAAGTGAATAAAATTTTCTCAAACTTGCATTTTTAAAATATTTTCAGGGACATATTCGTAGGTATCCCATGAAAAAAGACCCAATAAGCAAAGAGCTGTGGGGGAAAAAAGTCATACTATTGCATGAGTCTTTAAAAAAATTTCCAAGCATATTAGAAGAATAATGGTTCTCCATCTTCTTCATGATGTGCTTATTTCACATTGCATGCCTGTATCGAAACATCTCATGTACCCTATAAATATATACACCTGCTATGTACCCAAGAAAATTAAAAATAAAAAAATTAAAAAAGAGTAATTGTTCTAAGAAATCCCACAGTAAATAACTGACTTAAATAATAAAATACCAACCTGATTTGAACATATAATTCATTTTGCAAAAACATTTATTAGTATATTTGAAGCTGTGTTCTGAAAACCACTGATTCAGAAAATCTCATTAGTGAAATGAAACCAAAATATACACTGACCACATCATGATTTTATATCTGAATTGCAATACACAACTTTCAAAGTACTTTCAAAATAATTATCTCATTTAACGCTTATAGTAATCTAAGGCAGACCTGATGGTAATGGTATTATCCTCGCTTTCCCAATCAAATATTTTCAAGTTCATTGAGGCTATGAGTTTACCAAGATCACAGCTACTAAATGGTAAAGGTGAAAGAAGAACTGTGGTCTTCCAACTTCTAGTCCAGTGTTCTTTATGTTATACTATACTACATTGCTAAGGTACTCTTTGCGCTTAGTCTCAAAAATTAAGGTTAATTTACATGTTTGAATTTATACTAAGTAAAACATTGGTGATAAGATTTGAAATGTTGCTTAGTTGTCAAAAAAAGTCTTATAATTTGTTCAACCTAGAGATAAGAAAAAGCATCTTAAAGTCCCCAAATCACAAACTGTAAGACAAAATTTTATGCATTGACTATATCAAGATAAAATATTTCAGGGTAGTAAATTACTCCAGTCAACTTACTGATAGTAGATACTTGCCATGTCTATAATTCCGAGGGGCTAATATTAGGTTGGTGCAAAGGTATTTGTGGCTTTTGCATTACTTTAATGACAAAAACCACAAATACCTTTGCACCAACCTAATATCTAGAATAAACACCAACAAAAAAAACTCATATGAACCAACAAGAAAATAAAATCGTAAATTTAAGAAAATATAAGAATAAGCAAGTCAGAGAAGGGAAAATCTAATATCCAATAAGCATGAGAAAATATGTTCAAAATCACTAGTAATAAAAGGTATATTAAAACAATGCTTTGCCACTTTCCATTTATATTTGCAAAGATTAGAAAATTTTATAATGTTATATATTGACAAGGATGAGAAATCAGATTTCATTTATCATTGGTGGGCATGTAGACATGTGCAGCCATTCTGAAGAGTAGTGTGACAGCAACTAACCAAATTAAGTGCATGCATATGCTATGACCTATTAACCTGGGTTAATACAGACCTCTCCTGGGTCTGTAACCAAGAAGAATTCTCACATAGGATCATAGGAGAATATATATTTATTGTAGCATTGCTTGTGATTATAGAAAGTTGGAAGAAAACTAGATCTCTCTCTCTCTCTAAAAACACAGATGAGTAATACATGGTGAATGTCACTTGTGGTTTCTGCTCAGAGATATAGAAAGTTGAAAAGAACATTACACCTCCTATGCTTACAATAAGAAATGTCAGAAACACTGAAAATTAAGGACTTTTTGTGAACCCATCAGAGAACTAAAGTCAAAGGCCAATTTACCCAAAACCTTGGAGAGATTGGCTCCTGCAAGGAAAAATTAGACTCTAGCACTGGCTTATCTGGAGAAGATGTCAGTGAATGTTATACATTGAAGGAGACGCAGTTAAAAAGTTTTAACAAACTGCTAAAGACTAAGAACATGAGCTAGGATTAGAGTGTAAAGTCTTTAATGGTGTAAATACAGTGGGGTTAGCAGCGCGCTGAAAACTTTCTCATCAGGAACTTTACCAGGTGATCACAAGGAAGTGGGGAAAATCCCAAGAAAATTGGCTTCACAATACTGCCTAGGGGAAGGGGATAGGGGAAATTATATTCAGACCCATCTTTCTTAACGCACTTATGAAAAAAAAAAAGCTTTAATATTCAGTAGGGAGGAACAACAAAACTGTACCCTTAGGACTTCAAAACAAGGAATGTTATCAGGTATAAATAGAGATAGTAGATAATAATAAAAGAATCAATTCATCAAGAAGGCACATGCTTCCTAAATACATAAAATACATGAAGCAACACTCACAGAGCTGAAAAAACAAATAGCCACATCCACAATTAAAGTTGGAAACTTCAACAATTTTCTCAAAGGTATTGATAAATAAGTAGGCAGAAAAACTATATATATAAACTATATATAATATATAATGATATATATAAACTATATATATATACACACATATATATATATTCTGAGCAACACTATCATTGATATTTATGGAACAATCTACCTAACAATGGCAGAATGAATATACATTCTTCTGAAACGTACATGGGGCACAAACAAAGGTGGATGATATTCTGAACCATAAAGGAAAGCTTATAAATTAAAATAAATAGAAATTATACAAAGTGTGTTCTAGACTAGACAAAGTAAAAATCCATTACAGAAAGACAATAGGAAAATTCAAGAACATTTGGGAATTAAATGCCAAACTTCTAAATAATCCATATATCAAAAAGGAAGTCTTAAGGGAAATTAAAATATTTTGAACTGAATAAAAATTAAAATATAACATATCCAAATCTGTAGGATGCCACTAAAGTGGTGCTTAGAAGCAAATTGAATGCAAATAATAATTATAGAAAAAAAACAAAACAAAAATCTAAAATCAGTAGCCACCCCGAGTAATAGAGAAGAGGAGTAAATTAAACTCAAAGTGAACAGAAGAAAGTAAATAATACAAATTAAAGCATAAATCAATTGAAAATAACAAAACTAGGAAAAAATAATGAACAAAAAGATGTTTCTTTGAAAACATCAATAAAATTGTTAAAACTCTAACCAGAGTAACTAAAATAAAAAGAGAGAAGACACAATTACCAATATCAGGAATAAAAGAATGAACATCAATATTGACTCCACAGATGTGAAAATATAATAAGGAAATTATATTAACAACTTTATAATAATAAATTTAATACTGAAATGAAATGGACCAATTCCTCTAAATCTGCTGTGGTAAGCAGAATAATGACTCTTCAAAAAATGTTCATTTCCTAATACCCAGAACTCACGAATCTATAACTTTACTTGTCAAAGTCACCTTGAATGTGTGAGTAAAGTGAAACATCTTGAAATGGAAAACTTATTCTGGATTTTCTGGTTTAGTCCAACCCAATCATATAAATTCTTAACAGCAGAGAACATTTCCTGGATAAAGTCAGAATGAAAGATAAAGTAGGCAGAACAGTGTCCACACCCAAAGATGTACATATTCTAAACCTTGGAATTTATGAATATTTTACCTTACATAGCAGACAAAGTTTGCTGATGTGATAAAGTTAAGGATTTTGAAATGGGAGAATATTCTGAATTGTCCAATGTCCCCTATGTAATCGCAAGAGTCTTTATAAGAGAAAGACTGGAGGGTTAGCATTAGAGGAGGACAGGTAACAACGGAAAAAGGAGTCAGAGTAATACAGGACTATGTTCCAAATAATGCAGGTAATCTCTAAAAACTGAAAAAGGCAAGAAAATTAATTTCTCCTTAAAGCATTCAAAAGAAATGCCATTAATGCTGCTGAACTACTTTGGACATCCAAGTTTCAAAACTGTGAGATAATTAATTTGTATTGTTTGATGCCACTAAGTTTGTTAAGATTTGTTATAGCAGCAGTAGAAAACATACAAGATGTGATGATAGAAGACAGCCAGAAAGAGATTTGATATAGCTAAACTTGAAGATGGCTTCCTTGAAAACAAACAATGCAAGTGGCCATTAGAAGCTGGAAAAAGCAAAAACAACAAAAACAACAACAACAACAACAAAAACAGATTATCCCTTAGAGCCCCCCAAAATATAAAAATAAACACAGTCCTGACAACACCTTGATTTTAGCCCAATGAGTCACATGTCAGACTTCTGACTTTCAGAAGTGTAAGATCATACATTTGCATCAAGACACTAAGAATGTGATGATTTGTCACAGCAGCAGTAGAAAAGTAATATGGTCATAAACTACTAAAGCTCATCAATAATGGAAAACAACAAATAGTCCTAAATCTTAAAAAAAAAATTGTAATTGTACTTTAAAACCTTCCAATAAAGAAAATTCTAAACTCAATGATTTCACTGACAAATTCTACCAAACATTTGAGGAAGAAATACTACCAATTCTACAAAATTTATTCTAGAAAATAGAAGAGGAAGAAACACATTTGAACTCATTTCTTCATGGCATTATTATTCTTTTACCAAAATCACATAAAGACATTGAAAAAGGAAAATATTAATATCCTTCATGATAATGGATACAGAAATTCTCAACAAAATATTAGCTATTAAAATTCAGAAACATATATAAAAGGATAGTATAACTTGAAAAAAAAGGATTTTTTCAGGAATGCAGGACTAGTCCAAAATTGAAATATTAATGTAATTTGCCTTATTAAGTGGCTGCAAATGAAAACCCACACAATTAAAAAAAAATCTTTTTCATGGCAGCATGAAAAAAAAATAAAACTCACACATCTCAATAAATGCGGGAAAAAAATGTAAAAACTCTCAATGAACTAGTAATAAAAGTGAAGTTATTTAATTTACAAAAGGTCATCTATCAAGAACGTTCTCTCCCACCTGTCCTAATAAACATTATATTCAAAGTCCTAGTGGAGTAATCAGTCAAGAAAAAGAAATAAGACTTTAAAGATTTTTAAGGGAGAAATTAAACTGTCTCCATAAGATAACATTATTTTTCATACAGAAAATTCAAAAAAGGGTACAAAAAAGCTGTATAAACTAATAAACAAGTTTATAAGTTCCCATGATACAAGGTCAATATATGTCTATTGTATTCTTATATACGAACAATAAAAATCAATGTCATTTAAAGTTGCATAAAAATAAAAAAACATAGTTGAAGAATAATAAATTAAGTGCAGACTCTGTATAGAGTGAACGGAAAAACACTGATGAATGCAGTAAATGAATAGAAACACATAATTTTCATAGACTGCAATGCTTAATATTGGTAAGATGTCATTTTCCCCAAATTTTATCTGTAGATTCAACAGTCTATAGGGGATTAAGAATCTCAACAAATATTCTTGTATATAATGAGAAGCAGAAACTAAAATGTATAAGAAAGGGCAAAAAATAGAATAACGAAAAGAATTCTGAAAAAGGACAAAGTCGAAGCTATATTATCTGGTTTCAAGATTTATAAAGTTACAATAATTAAGACAGCATGGTATTGGCAAAGGATAGCCACCTGTATCAGTGGAACACAGCAGAGAGCCACAAAATAGACCAAAACAAATATAGTCAAGTAGATTTCGACAAGGAAGAAGATGCAGAATAAACTGTGCATATCCTTAGGTTTGGTGTTGAGATTTTAGATATGATATCAAAAGCAAAAGATATAAAAAACACTAATAAGTCAGATTTTTGTTTTGTGAAAGAAAAAATAGAAAAATAGGGATAAACAGAACCTAAAGCTAGCAGAAGAAAATAATAAACATGAGAACATAGAGGAAGATAACAGAGAATAGAAAAACAATAAAATGTCAATGAAACCATGAGCTGGCTCTTTAAAAACAGCAACAAAATAGACAAAATTTCAGCTAGACTGAATGAGAAAAAAATCAATAGTATGTGGGGTGGAGCAAGATGTTAGAATAGAAGGTTCCACTCATCACCACTCCCCTAACACAGACACCAATTTAACAAGTATCTGCAGAATAAAAGCTCCTTCTTAAGAACAACAACAACAAAAAGAGATGAGCACTCCCAGTACCGGGTTCTAAATTTATATTGCTGAAAGAGGCACTTAGGAGGCAGGAAAAACAGTTTTCAATTGCCAACGCCATTCTTTCCTCATCGACTGGCAGTGGCAGCATAGTGCTGAGAGCATTTTTGTGAGCTGTGAAGAAGGAGAGTGCAGCAACTGGGACGCATTAAATTCAGTGCTGCCCTATTATAACAGAAAACAAACAACCAAACTCAGCTGATGCCTGCTCATGGAGGGAGCATTTAATCCAGCCATAGCCAGAAGGGAATTGCTGATCCCAGTAGTCAAAAATTGAGTTCCTGCAAACCTCACGACTTCGGGATAAAGGGCTCTGGGGCCCCAAATAAACTTGAAAGGCAGTCTAGGCCACAAGAACTGCAACTCCCAGAGGAGTCCGAGTGCTGAACTGTGTCTTGAACTGGTAGCCTAGAGGGACATGTAACCTACTTACACACCAGCCAGGGTGGCTACGAAAGTGCTAGCATCACCACCACACTAACCTCAGGCTACACAGTTCATGGCTTGAAAAGAGACCTGTTCCCTCTGCTGAAGGAAAAAAAAAATGGAGAGGACTTTGTTTTGCACCTTGGGTACCAGCTCAACCACAGCAGTGTAGGACATTGGTCAGAGTCATGAGGACCCCTTTCCAGGCACTAGCTCTTGGGTGACATTTCTAGAAACAACCTCAGCCATAAAAGAACATGATGCCTTGAAGAAAAGGACACAGTCCAGGCAGGATTCACCACCAGTTAGCTGAAGAGCACTTGGGCTCACAAAAGCCAGAAGTGATATCCAGGTACTATGTCAAGGACCTTGCATGAGCCTCTGGAACTTGCTGGCTTCAGGTGAGACTTAGCACATTTGCACGTGTGGTGACTATAGGGGAAGGCTCCTTCTGCTTGAGAAAAATGGAGAGAAAAGTAAAGGGGACTTTGTCTTGCTCCTTAGGTACCAGCTCAAACACAAGGAGGTAGAACACTAAGTAGGCTCTTGGGGTCTTAGATATCAGGACTTGGCTCTTAGATAGCATTTCTGGACCTGCCCTGGGCCATAGGGGAGCCCACTGCCCTGAAGGGTGGGTTCCAGGCCTGGCAGAATTCATCATAAGCTGACTTAAGAGACCCTGGGCCTTAAGGGGATATAGGCAGAAATCTGGCAATACTCCCTATGGGACTGCAATAGTGGTGACACTGGGTGATGCTCCTCTATATTTGGAAAGAGGAGGGAATAGAGGGAAAAACTATGTCTTGTGGTTCGAGTCCCAGCTCAGCCACAGTAAAATAGAATACCAGGTAGACTTCTGAGATTTTTGATTCTAGGCCTTGGCTGCCAGATGGCAACTCTAGACCTGCCCACCACCTGAGGAAACTCATCATCCTGAAAGGAAATACACAGGTCTGGCTGACTTTGCTAACTGCTGATTGTAGAGCACCAATGCCTTGAAAGAACATTTGCAGTAGCCAGGGAGTGGTTAGAGCATGCATTGGGCAAGACCCAAGGCTGTGCTGCATTCAGGTAGGACCCAGCGCAGTCCTACAGTTGTGGCCACAAGGGTACTTATGTTGCTCCACCCCCAGCTTTAGGTAGCTCAGAACACACACAGAGAGAGACTATGTTTGTTTAGGGGAAAATAAGAAAAAGAGAACAAGAGTGTCTCCTGGTAATCCAGACAAGTCTCCTGGTTCTTGCCCAAAACCATCAAGGCAGTGCCTCCATGAGTTTGCAAGAATAAGAGTGTTACTGGGCTGGGGTTTCCCTCTAAAGCAGATACGGCTTTGATTACAACACCCAAGATCTTTGGAATATCTAGAGAGCCTCTTCAGAAGAATGATTACCAATAAGCCCGGACTGAGATGACTATAATAGATAACTAATTATTCAATGCTCAAACACAGACAAATATCAAGACCATCCAGGAAACCATGACCTCACCAAACAAATTAAATTAAAAAAAAGGCCAGTCTTGAAGAAACAGATGTATTTGACCTTTCAGATAGATAGAGAATTCACAATAACCATTTTGAGGAAAATCAATGAAATTCAAGATAACACTGATAAAGTATTCAGAATCCTATCAGATAAATTAAACAAAGGGATTGAAAAAAATTAAAAGCAGCAGAAATTCTACAGTTGAAAAATGCTGTATTTTTCATACTGAATTTATAAATAGCAGAAATGATCAAGTTAAAGGAAGAGTTATTGACCTTAATGGCAAACTATCTAAAAATACACAGTCAGAGGAGATGAAATAAAAAAGAATTAAAAAAAAATTTCTAGATGTCATATGATCTAGAAAACAGAAAATAACCTCAAAAGAGCAAAGATAGGAGATATAACCCTTAAAGAGGAAATAAAGAGATGGGGGCAGTAAGTTTATTTGAAGGGATAATAACACAGAAATCCCAAACCTAGAAAAGGTTATCAATATCCATATACAAGAAGGTTATAGAACAGCAGTCAGAATAAACCCAAAGAAGACTATTACCTTAAGACATTTAATAATCCAATTCCCAAAGGTCAAGTATAAAGAAAGGATCTTGCCAGGGCAATCAAGCAAGAGAAATAAATAAATCGTATTCAAATAGGAAGAGAGGAACTCAAATTGTCTCTGTTTGCAGACGACATAATTGTATATTTAGGAAACTCCATTGTCTTAGCCCCAAAACTCCTTAAGCTGATAATCAACTTCAGCAAAGTCTCAGGATGCAAAATCAATGTGCAAAAATCACAATCACAATCATTCTTATACACCAATAATAGACAAGCAGAGAGCCAAATCATGAGTGAACTCCCATTCACAATTGCTAGAAGTGGGAGTTTAACAATGAAAACACATGGACACAGGGAGAGGAATATAACACACCAGGGCCTGTCGAGGGTTTGGGGGAAAGGGGAGGGAGAGCATTAGGACAAATAATGCATGAGGTGCTTAAAACCTAGATGACGGGTTGATAGGTGCAGCAAACCACCATGGCACATGTATACCTGTGTAACACACCTGCACATTCAGGACATGTATCCCAGAACTTAAAGTAAAATAAAAAAATAATAATACAAATAAATTTTTAAAAAATAAATTCAAAGTAAAAATGTCACCAGTAATTCAAATTTGGAAATGTCCCCCTCTAGCTGTTGATATAGCTTGTTACAGGCTCTTTATTAAGAGAAGCAAACTTGAGATACATATTTCTATAGAAACATTCCTCAAAGAAGTTGATTAGAAGGCATAAAAGTAAAAATTACAATCTCTTAATCTTACCCTTGTAAAATTATTACCAAGCTATTCTCAGTAGCTAAACCACTACTTTTATTTTTACAAATGTCAATCAAGCTGAGAGAAGTAGATCATATGTTATTATTTTATACATGAATTTGTCTATATATAATGTTTCATATAGTTTTAAATGTTTTAAAAGATGAAAAAAAAAAGATCCTAAAAGCAGCAAGAGAAAATAAAAAAAATAAGAAAAAAAAAAAATGGCAGATAGGAGGCAGGACTAACTTGCAACTCCCACTCGGATGGACAGAACAGAATTTGGAGACTTACATCGTGAACTTCAAAAACTACTGCAGGAACATACCAGGAAAGCCTAGAGGATCCACAGACCCTTTGAAAAAGGTGAATTGCTGCTACAGGCTCCACGGACAGCCAAAGAACTGTGAGTCGGCTTGTTTTCTCAGCTGAGAGGCTTGTAGCCTAAGGCAAGTTCTCAGCACTGCTCATGGGCTGCCTGGAAATAAACTCAGTGCTTCTGGGAGTGAGACCAGCCTTCTGGGCTGCAGGTTGCATGGGAGCTGGGTGAGGTTTGTGCCTGCTGGCTTTCCCCTACTCTTCTGGTGACCTGTGTGATGCAGCAGAGGCAGCCATAATCCCCCTGGGAACATAACTTCGTTGGCCAGAGAACTACACCTCCGTCCCACGCAGCAGGTGCAACAAGACCCGCTGGAGGAAGGTCTGAGCTCAGACATGCCTAACCCTTCCCCCACCTGATGATGTTTCTCTACCTGCCTTGGTAGCCAAAGACAAAGGGCAATAGAGCTCTGGGGAAGCTTTATGGCCCTGCCCACCACCTGGCCTTAAGGCAAGCTTGTATCCTCCCTATACTACTGCAGCTGATGCACTCTCGAAGTTTACATCTCCTGGTTGGAGACCAACAAACACAAAACCAGCACACTTAACAAAAATACAACCAAGGACCCTCACATAGTCTACTTCACTTTCCTGCTGCCTCCACTGGAGCAGGTGCTGGTATCCACAGCTGAGAGCCCTGAAGACAGAACACATCCCAGGACTCTTTTCTGACACTCCCCAGTACCAGCCCAGAGCCCATTACCTCTGCTGGGTGGCTAGATTCAGAAGAAAAATAACAGTCACTGCAGTTTGCTTCTCAGAAACCCTCATCCCTGGGAGAAGAAAGAGAGCACCAAATCAAGAGAGAACCTTGTGGGAAAAAAGAATCTGAACTGTAGCCCTTGAGTTCTATATCCTCCCTCTTACGTAGTCTACCCAAATAAGAAAAAAACAGAAAATAAATTTTGGTAATATGACAAAACAAGATTCTTTAACTCCCCCAAAATATCAGACTAGCTTATGAGGTATAGATCCAAACCAAGAAGAAATCTCTAAATTGCCAGAAAAAGTATTCAGAAGGTTTATTATTAAGCTAATCAAGGAAGCAGCAGAGAAAGGTTAAGTCCACCTTAAAGAAATTTAGAAAATACAGGATATAAATGGAAAAATCTCCAGTGAGATAGATAGCATAGATAAAAATAATAACTTCTGGAAATAAAGGACATACTTAGAGAAATGCAGAATGCACTGGAAAGTCTCAGGAACAGAATTGAAGAAGTAGAATAACTTCAGGGCTTGAAGAAAAGGTTTTTGAATTATCCCAATCCCACAAAGACAAAGAACAAAAATAATTTAAAAAAGGAATGAAGCCTCCAAAAAGATCGGGATTGTGTTAAATGACCAGACCTAAGAATAATTGGTGTTCCTGAGGAATAAGAGAAATCTAAAAGTTTGAAAAACATATTTGAGGGGATAATCAAGAAAAACTTCCCCATCCTTGCTAGAGATCTAAACATCCAAATACAAGAAGCTCAAAGAACATCTGGGAAATTCATCATGACAAGATCGCCTCGGCACATAGTCATCAGGTTAGTATCTAAAGTCAAGACGAAAAGAAAAGAATCTTAAGAGCTGTGAGGCAAAAGCATCAGGTAACCTAAAAGGGAAAACCTATGAGATTAACAGCAGATTTCTCTGCAGAAATCTTACAAGCCAGAAGGTATTAGTGTCCTCTCTTTAGCTGCCTTGAATGAAACAATTATCAGCCAAGAGTTTTGTATCCAGAGAAACTAAGCTTCATAAATGAAGGAAACGTAATCTTTTCAGATAAGCAAATGCTAAGAGAATTCGCCAATACCAAGCCAACACTACAAGAACTGCTAAAATAAGCTCTAAATTTTGAAACAAATTCTCAAAATACACCAAAATAGAACCTCCTTAAAACATAAATCTCACAGGACCTATAAAACAATAACACAATGAAACAACAACAACAACAAGGTATCCAGGCAACAAATAGCACAATGAGTAGAATAGTACCTAACATCTCAATATTAACATTGAATGTAAATGGCCTAAATGCTTCACTTACAAGATAGAGAATAACAGAATGGATGAGAATTCACCAACCGAGTGTCTGCTGTCTTCAAGAGACTCACCTGACACATAAGTCCTCACATAAACTTAAGGTAAAGGAGTGGAAAAAGATATTCTGATATTCTATGCAAAAGGACACCAAAAGTAAGCAGAAGTAGCTATTTTTATATCAGACAAAACAAACTTCAAAACAACAGCAGTTTGAAAAGACAGAGAGGGATATTAAATAATAATAAGACTAGTCAAAAAGGAATATATCACAATTCTAAGTATATATGTACGTAAAACTAGAGCTCTGAAATGTAAAGAACATTTACTACTAGACCTAAAGAATGAGATAGACAGCAATGATATTTCTCCCATGACTGGAGAAACATCAGGGTCCTTGGTCTCATGCCAGTATGATTAATGACACAGACACATGTGGAGTGGTTTTAAGGAGTGGAAAGTTTAATAGGCAAGAAAGAGGAAAGAAAGAAAATGGATCCCCTGTACAGAGGGAGGGGGACTCCCAACAGAGAAACCCTACATGTGGCAGAAAGCAGTTGGTTATAGTGGGAGGCTGGTGGAGGCAGTACCTGATTTGCATAGGGCCCAGGGGATTGGTTTGTCCAGGTATGTCATTCACATAGCTTGTGAAAAAAACAGTCTCTCCAATCCTAGCCTTTTAATGTGCAAATGTGGGACACCATGATATCCTCCACATGTGATATTATCTGGAGGTGGCCATGACACCTGGCACTTGTGGCGACAAGAAGAGGGCAGAAATCACCATGTTGGGTGGACCTGGTTTTGAGCCAGTGGCATTTGCCTATCAATGCTTGCTGGCCTGATCTTTCAATCTGCTTTCTGTTAGAAAGAAAATGGTTTAGGGGATTGCTTTTTGCTAAAGGAAAATTCCACTGAGAACATTCACCCTTTCTAGCTGGCTAAAAGTTATTTCTTAATAACTCCTATATTATTCCCCACTCAACTGCTGTTAGGGGGTGATGGATGACAATTCTTTCTGGCTACTTCCTGCTGAAAAGGGGCATTGTGTGGGGAGACAGCAATTGGGCCTTCTCCTGAGGTTGATCTAAGGGTTCTCGGAAGAATGGCACGTCCATGTGTGGCTCCGCTTGCAGCACTGTTTGGAGATTGATTGCTTCTAGGTGAAAAAAGACATGTTTTACAAGAAGGTTTAAAATATAGGGTTAAAATATGAGTATTAACATTACCACTATTAGTGGTGGTCCTATAGACCATAACTGACAGCAGAGTTTTACACCCGTTAGTTATACCAATGGATTAAAATACCGGTTTGCTTCCACTAGGTGTTGCTGTACATTACCAGAAATGTTAATATAAAAGTAACAGTTTCCTTGAGAAAATCATACATTTCCCCCTTGACTTTCCATTAGAGAATAATTTTAGGCTTAGGTCATTTTTTATAACTTGCAATATAATTGGGAGAAATACGTTATTGGGTGGCTGACATAACTTTAGTGTTAATCTTGACAATTCCTTTCCTTTAATTATGTAATTATTTCATGACTTTCACAGACCTTCTTACAACATACTCAAACTTTCTGACTTGTCCTAACATCCTTCCTTTAAACAACCAGTCATTTCCTGTTAGGACAAGAATTTACCATATAAAACTTCTCCCTTTATAACCTTCTTTTCATAGCTTAGAGTGCACCATATTACCAGTCTTCAATAAAAAGCCCTATCAAGCTTAACGATAGTAAAACTTTCATGCTTACTTCTTATCCGTAACTATTACTCCTGCTATAAGCAAAACAACTTTAACTAAATATTTCCTGCAATTATTAATTTGGTTATAAGGATGATAACCCGTTAAAATATTTCAGCAATTAGAATTTTACAACCAGAATTCCACATTGTGGGTTGCCACAGTGTACAGTTCTATTGCAAATAGTAGCATGACTATAACCATTCCCAGAAGAGTGATGTAGTAAATAATTTTCATTTAAAACTTTATTTGCCAAGATATAAGATTTCCCTTTGGGGATCTACGAAGTTACAAATGCAATTCTATGAATAATTAAAATCTCCCTGCAAATATGTGTTAAAAAGACAGTCGGTGGTGAATTTCAGAGGAAAGGGCAGAAATAATAAAAAGTATCTGGGGCGGTAGGAGTGGGACTGAGTAAGATGAGTAGCCCTCACTCAGTTACGTTTTTAAATGATTTTCAGCTTAAGATCTTCTATTTCTTCACATGGATATCCAGGACGTTCCTCTGGGCTGTCAGGGGTTGCTCCCTCAGCTTTTTAGGCTTTGACTTGAGTGTGATGTATCCAGGAATCAATTCCTGTAACTTTTACTGCTGAAGGGGTTGAAAGAACAACAGTGTGGGGCCCTTCCCAGCTTGACTTAGGGAAGGAGAGAGAGATGAGAGTTTTCACTAATACCAAATATCCTGGGTTAAATAAAGGTGGCTTTATTTCCTGGGGTTGGGCTTCTGCTAATTGTATCAATGCCTTGAGGCTTCCTTGCCACTGACTTAGCTGCCTGATCAGCTAATCTATTTCCTTTGGCTACTTTATTTGTTCCTTCTTGACATCCCCTACAATGCATTACTGCTACCTCTCATGGAAAGAAAAAATTGAGGATAATAACCTGCTGGTTTTCTGGTGACATTTTATAGGAGATCCATTGGTAGTAAGAAAATGTTTTTCCTTCCAGATGGCAGCATGAGCATGGAGAACTAAGAAAGCATACGTGCAGTCAGTATAAATGTTAGCTATCTTTCCCTTGCTTAATTCAATTGCTCTTGTAAGAGCTATTAGTTCAGTGAATTGATTGCTTTTGTCTGGAAAGAAACATTATTTAGAGTGACTACTGCTTATCCTGCCTTATGGACTTCTTGCTTTACTGGCTGTTAGCTAAGAGCTCCCCCTAGAGGACAGTGATCCTGCCACATTATGTGGAGTGTAAACAGTTAAATAATTTCCTAGGGTTAATTTGGAGGCTTTTCTGACTAAAGCTATTGTGACAATGGCTTGGAAGCATGTGTAAATAATAGGTTCTCCTAACTGCAAATAAGAGATTAAGAAAAATATTGGGTTACAAATTTTTCTGAGATGCCCTTATGGTCTTGCTATGGGAAGAGGGGAGGCCTGGATTAGAGAGGAGAAAAGAGGGAGACTGGCTCTAGTGTTTAGAAGGAGGTCTACTTTCCTTCCTTTAATTACCAGAATCACCCAGGGCTCCTGTGCTATAAGGGCAGTTTGAGTCACTGGAGCCAGGGGTTTGAGCCCCAGGACCCATCAGTCCTGCTGGACCATCTGTGAGACTGGTTCTGAACCCAGTGACCTCTGTCTCTGGGGACAGTTCCATCTCCAGTGGTCTCCACCACAGGCTGGACAGGGTTGAGGTGGCTTTCTCTTGATGCTTGGGGATTCCTTTTTAAAATGCCCTGACTTGCCACATTGATAACAACTAGCGGATGCACCTCGGGGATCATGGACTTTGCAAGTCTGCAAAGCTGCTAGTAGAGCCTCTATCCTTCTCCTGATCTTTCTCTCTTTCTTTTGGGCTTCCTCTTGATCCCTGTTATAAAAGACCAAAATGGCCACTTTCAGAAGGTTCTCTGAGGTGCTATCTGGTCCTATAGCTTCCTTCTGTAGTTTCCTTCTAATATCGGGAGCTGCCTGGGCAATAAACTTGTCCTTTATAATGACTGAATCAGGAGATAAAGAGGTGTGTTTTATTAGTGCGTCTCTCAGTCTTTCCATAAAGGCTACAGGATTCTCATCTGGCTTTTGGTTTATCATAGACAGTTTAGAATAATTGAGAGGTCTGGCCTTAGTCCTTTGCAGACCTCCTAAAATGCATATTAAAAAGTGCTTCCTTTTCCATTTATCTGCAGAGCTATTGGGGTCCCAATCAGGGTTATCTACCAGAACTGCTTCCCTTTCAATTTGGAATGGTGTTTCTGCTTTTTGTCCACTTTCTCTATCTCTTTTCTTCCCTTTTGGTGTATTATAGGAGATATATTGCTCATCTGTGAAATAATATGCTGCGGGCAGAGCTGCCTGCTTTTCAGCTGCAGTGAGGGTTTGGTTTAGAAGCAGCTTAACATCCCTCTGTATGAGGTCAAATACCATAAGAGGTTAAATTCTGGAAAGCTTCTGTATGCCTATCAGGGTCTTTAGAAGATTGGCCTAAGTCTCCCTTTATTTGCCTAAGGTTTTGTAATGAGAAGGGAACTTGAAGGGGCCCCAAATAAGGGGTGTCCTCAGATGGTTCCCCTGGAAGTTGCTTCTCTAATTTGGGGGAACCATTATCTTTGGACCTGCCTGATATGATTGCTAAAAGAGCTCGGTTGAACTTACAATGTTTGCAAAGGTTTAGTAAAAATGTCATGCCCTGTGCAAAAGAAAATGAGTTGCTTTTCTTTTCAAAGTCCTGAGGTTAAGGAAGTTCCAATATTTCAGAGTGCACTCCAGAGGGCTGTAAACTGGAGATAATCTGTTACCAACCCAGAAAGAGAAGTGAGAGAAGGCATCCCTTTAGTTTCCTTCACTTCCGTATGTGACCCAAGGTGGAAAGGATAACAGTGGAGCATCCTCCTGAATATTTTTCCTTTCTAGTTCCTGGGTCCTGGCACCCTGTTAAATGTGCTGCCCATGGTTGTAGTCATGGCCCTCCAAGCCATGGAACTGGATAAACTAAGTGATGGGACTAACCATACTTCACCCACGCAACCTTAGCTTATCAACCTTGTGTGATTCCCCCTTAACTTCATGAATTGTGGGATCTGCCTAGCTCTCCAAAACATTGATCTTGGGAAAGACTATATAAAAGACAAGCCTCCTTTAATGGAGGGAATGTGATAGAGTGCCTCCCATTACGGCCCATGCTAAAGCATTTACCCTTAGAAAAATGGTTCCGGTTAACTTCTGGACTGAAAGTCCCATTACTAACCTAATGATGATTTTTCTGCTTATGGGACAGTATTGGAACTAAAATTTGACTGTGGAGGATATTTTACTCCTAATAGTTGAAGGCAGAACTTTCCCACTCACATAAGGGACTTAGAGCTCAATTTCTAGTGATGCAAAAGGAAGCTGCAGTGTTACCACACACACACACACAAATGTGTTTCATGGAGAGGATTTCTATTTTCACTATATGGCACTGTTGGCTTAGAAATAGTATGTGCTCACCAGAGAAATGGTATAGAAAGATGCTTATTGAGTTACTCCCTGCCGCATTTGCCAATTTTTCCTAACAGACCTGTTTCCCTGAACTGCAAACTTCCCACACATTCAATACACAGAGAGGGTAAGAGACCATGGATAGAAAAAGAAAGGAAGTTTTGTGACAGGATAGCTGGGGATTCTTTACCAAAACCCCGAGTGGGCTGTTGGAGGCTAGGTCTAGTCCATCAGCCTTTGAATAACACCAAGGTGTCCCCTGGCCAGAAATTCACAGTTGCTTCAGTATTTTTCCCAGCTTCACATGATGGCTAAGTTTTCCTCAAGAAAAAAAGACTGATTTGAAGCAGGACAGATTTTTAGTTCACTCCTATACTCACCGCTCCCATGAATGAATCTCTCGGCCAATGCACCAAAATGATACTGCTCCAATGATGGGAGAATCACTAGGGTCCTTGGTCTCACATCAACACTATTAACAACACAGAAACAAATGGAGTCGTTTTAAGGAGTGGAAAAATTAATAGGCAAGAAAGAAGAAAACTGCTTCCCCGTGCTGTGGGAGGGGGACTCCAAACAGAGAAATCCCGTGTGTGGTGGAAAGCAGTTAATTCTATTGGGAGGCTGGAGGAGGTGATGCCTGATTTGCATAGGGCCCAGGGGTTTGGTTTGACCAGGTGCTTCATTCATGTAGCCCACGAAGAAACTGGTCCTCCCACCCTAGCCTTTTAATATGCAAATGCACGTCGCTGTGATGTCCTGCACCCGTGGTGTTATCTGGAGGTAGCCATGACACCTGGCACATGTGGTGACATGGAGAAGAGGGCAAAAACCACCGTATTGGGTGGACCTGGTTTTTAGCCACTGGCATTTGCATAGCAATGCTTGCTGGCCTTGTTTGTGAAGCCACTTTCTTTTAGAAAGAAAATGGTTTGGCCTGGTGCGGTGGCTCATGCCTGTAATCCCAGCACTTTGGGAGGCTGAGGTGGGTGGATCACCTGAGGTCAGAAGTTTGAGACCAGGCTGGCCAACATGGTGAAACCCCGTCTCTACCACAAATACAAAATTAGCCCAGCATGGTGGCGCATGCCTGTAATCCCAGCTACTCGGGAAGCTGAGGCAGAAGAATCACTTGAACCCAGGAGGCAGAGGTTGTGGTGAGCCAAGTTTGCGCCATTGCACTCCAACCTGGGCAACAAGAGTCAAACTCCATAAAAAAAGAAAAACAAATAAAGAGAAAGAAAGGGAAGGAAGGAAGGAAGAAAGGAAGGAAGGAAGGAGGGAAGGAAAGGAAATGGTTTGGGGGCACTTGTTTATTAAAGGAAAATTCCACTGAGAACATTAGCCCTTTCTAGCTGCCTGAAAGTTATTTCTTAATAACTCCTACAATAGCAACACAATAATAGTGGGGGACTTCAGTACTCCACTGACATCACTAGACAGGTCGTCAAGGCAGAAAGTCAACAAACAAACAATGGACTTAAGCTACATCCTAGTTTAATCGACTTAACAGATATTTACAAAACATTCTACCCCATAATGGCAAATAAACATTCTATTTATCAGCACATGAAACATTCTCCAAGATAGACCATATGATAGGCCACAAAACAAGTCTCCACAAATTTAAGAAAACTGAAATTATATCAAGTACTCTTTTAGACCATAATGGAAGAAAATTGGAAATCAGCTCTAAAAGGAACCCTCAAAACCATGAAAATTAAATAACCTGATTTTGAATGAATATTTGGTCAACAATATAATCAAGATGAAAATTTAAAATTCTTTGAACTTAATGATAATAGTGACACAACCTATTAAAACCTCTAGGGTACAGCAAAAGCAGATAAGAAGAGAATTTATAGCACTCAATGCTTACAATCAAAAAGTCTGAAAGAGCACAAATAGACACTCTAAGGTCACACTTCAAGGAATTAGAGAAACAAGGACAAACCAAACCCAAATCTGGCAGAAGAAAATCAATAATCAAGATCAGAGGAGAACTAAATGAAATTGAAACAAAAAACCTACAAAAGATAAATAAAAGAAAAAGCTGGTTCTTTGAAAAGATAAATGATGGAACATTAGCAAGATTAACCAAGAAAAGAAGAGACAAGATCCAAATAAGATCAATTACACATAAAATCAGAGATATTACAACTGATACCAAAGTAATACAAAAGATCTTTCAAGGCTCCTATGAATACCTTTATGTGTATGAACTGGAAAACCTACAGGAGATGGATAAATTCCTGGAAACATAGAGCCCTCCTAGATTAAAGCAGAAAGAAATAGAAACCCTCAACAGACCAATAATAGGCAGTGAGATTGAAGTAGTAATTAAAAAGTTACGAACACAAAAAAGTTCAGTACCAAACATATTCACAGCTGAATTCTGTCAGACATTCAAAGAATAATTGGTAACAATCATATTGACACTATTGCATAAGATAGAGAAAAAGGAAATCCTCCCTAAATAATTCTAGGAAGTCAGTATCACCCTAATACAAAAACAAGGAAATGACATAATAAAAAAAGGAAACTGCAGATCAATATCCCTGATAGATGCAAAAATTGTCAACAAAATACTAGCTAACTGAATCCAGCAGCATATCAAGAAGATAATCCACCATGATCAAGTGGGTTTCATACCAGGAATGCAGGGATGGTTTAAAATATGCAAGTCAATAAATGTGATATACCACATAAACAGAATTAAAAATGAAAATCACATGATCAGAAAAAGCCTATGACAAAATAAAGCATCCCTTTATGATTAAACCCCTTCACAAAATCGGCATAGAAGGGACATACCTTAAGGTAATAAAAGCCATTTATGACAAACCCGTAGTCAACATGATACTGAATAGGGAAAAGTTGAAAGCATTTCCAATGAGAACTGGAACAAGACAAGGATGCCCACTCTCACCACTTCTATTAAAGACAGTACTGGATGTCCTAGCCACAGCAATCATACAAGAGAAAGAAATAAAGAACATCCAAATTTGTAAAGAGGAAGTCAAATTGTCACTGTTTGTGGATTACATAATTATATACCTAGAAAACCTTGAAGACTCATGCAAAAAGCTCCTAGAACTGGTAAATGAATTCAGCAGTTTCAATCAATGGCCACAAATCAGTAGTTCTGCTATACACCAACAGCAACAAAGCTGAGAATAAAATAAGAACTTTTACAATAGCTGCAAAAAAGAAAGAAATACTTAGAAATATACCTAACCAAGGAGGTGAAAGACTTCTATGAAAACAACAACAAAACACTGTTGAAAGAAATCATAGATGACACAAACAAATGGAAACACATGGTTAGGTAGAATCAATATTGTAAAAATAATCATTTTGCCAAAAGCAATCTACAAATTCAATGCAATTCCCATAAAAATACCACCATCATTCTTCACAGAACTAGAAAAAACAATCCTAAAATTTATATGGAACAAAAAAAAGAGCTTGCACAGCCAAAGCAAGACTTAGCAAAAAGAACAAATCTGGAGGAATCACATTACCCGACTTCAAACTGTACAATAAGGCCATGTTCACCAAGATAGGGTGGTACTCGTTTAGAAATAGGCACATAGACCAATGGAACAAAATAAAGAACCCAGAAATAAAGCCAAATACTTAGTCAACTGATTTTCAACAAGTGGAAAAATTAAAAAACAACAACAACAACAACAATATAAAGTGGGGAAACGACACCCTATTCTACAAATGGTGCTGGGATAATTGGCAAGACCCATGTAGAGGAATGAATCTGAAACCTCATCTTTCACCTTATATAAAAATCAACTTAAGATGGATCAAAGACTTAAATCTAAGACCTGAAACCATACAAATTATAGAAGATAGTATTGGAAAAACCCTTCTAGACATTGGCTTAGGTAAAGACGTAATGACCAAGACCCTAAAAGCAAATGCAACAAAAACAATGATAAATAGATGAGACTTAATTAAACTCAAAAGCTTCTAACAGCAGAAGAAATAATCAGCAAACAGACAACCCACTAAGTGGAAGAAAATGTTTACAAGATACACTTTTGACAAAGAACTAATATCCAAAATCTACAATGAACTCAAACAAATCAGCAAGAAATGTCCCATCAAAAAATGGGCTAAGAACATGAATAGACAATTCTCAAAAGAAAATACACAAATGACCAAAAAACAATAAAAATGCTCAACATCACTAATGATCAATTAACTAGAGCTCTTTTATATATTTTTTGTAGTGAAACATTTTGTATTCAGCATGTAAATACATATAAAGTTGTATTAGGCATGCTGATGAAAGTACATTTTACAGATTTATAAAGACTCCCTCCCTTTTTTTTTTTTTTATCTTAGACTGTCAGATTCATGACAATGGGTTTCACAACCCTAGGCAGTTGTCAGCTAAGTAGCCTTAAATTTGCACATTAAAGGAAACAACTCAGGTGAAAATCAAATAGCAAAATTTACATCATAAGGTACAGAAAAAAAGTCTGGTGGTGCTAGAGGGAGAGGTTTTTACAGTGCACTTATTAAAAAAAACTGACATTTCTGAGTGTCTAAAATACATTATTCCTTAAAAACCCAAGAGTAGCCTCTGTTGCAATAATATTTTAGTCAAAAAATTAGGTGAAAACAGAATTCAGTCAACTGAGAAGAAAAAAAGAAAAACCTTTGCTCCAAAAGAAGGCATGGTCTTAGGAGAGAAAAACAAACAAACAAAAACTGTGAAGGCCTTTTACATACAAACATGCACCCGTGTATACATACACACAAGCATCTTGGATATTAGCCTTTTAATTAAGCTGACTTTTAACTACTCAGCTCCTTTAACAACAACAAAATCTTTTTAAATCTCATTACCTTATTTCAGCTAGGACAAAATGCTGTTAAACTAATAATGACCACACAAATTATACAATTTCTGAGTGCTCTAAGTGTAAGGAGAAATTAACACCAGCTGGTTGTTAACGCTAACTTTAGCTATTTAAAAACAATTTGCAAGACAGAATCCCAAACCAGTTCCTTACCTAGTGATGGGTCTCAGGCTGTAGATTGCTCTCTATTATACTAGAAGCAGAAAAACAACAACAACAAAAAGAAAAAAAAAAAAAACTCATCTTCCCTGTTGGAAGCAAGCTCAAACTCCAGGAAAGAGTCACCTGCCTTCCATTGTCATGGAAGCAGAAAAACTTGCCTTCCTTTTGGAAGCAAATAAAACTCCAAAAAAAAAAAAAAAAAAAAAAAAGGGGGGGGAGTTGTACAGCAAAATAAACTTTAAATATCGACCAAATTTTGGGAGATCAAGGATTCTCTGGAGGGGGTGCTCTCAGACCTCAGCAAACTGTCCTATTGGTTTGAGCCATAAAATTAGCTTGTGCTGGTACCAAGCACCGATAGGAGATTTGTCAAAGGTGAGGGGCATCTCTACTCAGAACCCCCTCCGTGGTTACCAAAATGTGAACCCCCAAAATTTGAGATAGGTCTCTGTTAATTTGGTAAGTTTATTTTGCCAAGGTTGAGGATGCACCCCTGACACAGCCTCAGGAAGTCCTGAGGACATGTGCCCAAGGTGGTTGGAGGACAGCTTGGCTTTACACATATTAGAGAGACATAAGACATCAATCAATGCGTAAGAAGTACATCCAGAAAGGCAGAGACAGCTCAAAGCAGGGCCCCCCTCACTGGAGCTTCCAGGTCACAGGTGGGTGAGAGACAGATGGTTGCATTCTTTTGAGTTTCTGATAAGTCTTTCCAAAAGAGGCAATCAGAATATGCATCTCTGTCTGTGAACAAACGGGATGACTTGAATAGAATAGGAGGCAGATTTGCCCTGAGTGGTTCCCGGCTTGAACGGGCCCAAGATATTTTTTTTTTTCACAGAGTGGATGTGGTGAAAAGGAAACACTTTTACATTGCTGGTGATAAGATGACCTAGCACAACCACTAGAATAAACAGTGTGGAGATTCCTTAAAGAACTAAAATTACATCTACCATTTGATTCAGCAATCTCACTCCTGGGTATCTACCAAGAGAAAAATAATTCATTATATGAAAAATATGCTTTCACATGCATATTTATAGCATTGTTTATAGCAACACAATTCACAATTGCAAAAATATGGAGCCACCCCAAATGCCCATCAATCAATGAGTGCATAAAGATAATGTTGTAAACTTACAATGATGGAAGAAGAGGAGGCAAACACATCCTTCTTCACATAGCAGCAGCAAAGAGAAGTGCCAAGCCAAAGGGGAAAAACCTATTATAAAATTATCAGATCTTGTGAAAACTCACTATCATGAGAACAGCATGAGGGTTACTGCCCCAATGATTCAATTACCTCCCACCGGGTCCTTACTATGACACATGGATTATGGGAATTACAATACAAGATGAAATTTGAGTGGGAAAAGAGCAAAACCTTAGTATTCTGCCCCTGGCCCCTCCCGAATCTCATGTCCTCACATTTCAAGACACAATCATGCCTTTCCAACAGTCCCCCAAAGTCTTAGCTCATTCCATCATTAATCCAAAAGTCCAAGTCCAAAGTCTCACCTGAGTAAAGGCAAGTCCCTTCCAGCTATGAGCCTGTAAAATCAATAGCAAGTAAATAACTTCCTCGATACAATGGAGGTACAGGGATTGGGTAAATACACCCATTCCAAATGGGAGAAATTGGCCAAAACGAAGGGACTACAGGCCCAATGCAAGTCTGAAATCCAGAAGGGCAGTCATTAAACCTTAAAGTTCTAAAATGATCTCCTTTGACTGCATTTCTCACATCCAGGTCACATTCATGCAAGAGGTGGGTTCCCATGGCCTTGGGCAGCTTCTTCTCTGTGGCTTTCCAGGATACAGCCCAGTTCTCAGCTGCTTTAATGGGCTGGAATTGAGTGCCTGCAGCTTTTCCAGGCACTCGGTGCAAGCTGTCAGTAGATCTACCATTCTGGTGGCTCTCTTCTCACAGCTCCATGTACCTCATGTACCTCTAGGCATTGTCCCAGTGGGGACGATATGTGGGGGCTTCAGCTCCACATTTTCATTCCCCACTGCACTGCAAGACTTTCTCCATGAGGGCTCTGCCCCTGCAGCAAACTTCTGCCTAGATATCCAGACATTTTTAATATATCCTCTAAGGTCCCCAAGCCTCAGTTTTTGACTTCTGTGCACCCACAAGGTCAATACCATGTGAAGGCTGCCAAGACTTGAGGCTTGCACCCTGTTAAGCAATGGCCCAAGCTGTACCTTGGCCCCTTTTAGCCACAGCTGGAGATGAACCAGCTGGATGCAGGGCACCATGTCTCAAGGCTGCATAGAACAGGGGGTCCCTGGACCTCCTCAGGAAACCATTTTTTTCTTCTAGGTCTCCAGGCCTGTGATGGGAGGGGCTGCTATGAAGGTTTCTCACATGCCCTGGAGACATTTTCCCCATTATCTTGGTGATTAATTTTTGGCCTCCCATTACTTATGCAAATTTATGCAGCCTGCTTGAATTTCTCCATAGAAAATGGGTTTTTCTTTTCTATTGCATCATCAGGCTTCACATTTTTCAATCCTTTATGCTATGCTTCCTCTTGAATGTTCTTCCTCTTAGAAATTTCTTCCACCAGATACCCTAAATTATCTCTCTTAAGTTCAAAGTTCCACAGATCTCTAGGGCAGGAGCAAAATGCCACCAGTCTCTCTGCTAAAGCACAGCAAGAGTGACCTTTGTTCCAGTTCCCAAAAAGTTCCTAATCTCCATTTGAGGCCACCTCAGATATGTTATTGTCCATATCACTATCAGTGTTTTGGTCGTAGCCATTCAACAAGTCTCTATAATTTTTTTTAAACTTTCTCACATCTTCCTGTCTTCTGAGCCCTCCAAGTCTCTAGGAAGTTTCAAATTTTTCCACATTTTTCTGTCATCGTCTTAGCCCTCCAAACTGTTCCAACCTCTGCCTGTTACTCACTTCCAAATTTGCTTCCACATTTATGTGTATCCTTATAGCATCACTCCACTACTAGTATCAATTTACTGTGGTTTTCTGTTCTCACATTGCTAATAAAGACATATCTGAGACTGGGTAATTTATAAAGGAAAAAGGTTTAATTGACTCACAGTTCAGGATGGCTGGTGTTGTCCCAGGTAAACTACAATCATGGCAGAAGGGAAAGCAAACACATCCCTCCACATGGCGGCAGCAAGGAGAAGTGCCAAGGGGGAAAACCCCTTATAAAGCCATTAGATATTTTGAGAACTCACTATCACCAGAACAGTATGAGGATAACTGTTCCCATGATTCAATTACCTCCCGCAGGGACCCTCTCATGACACATGCGGATTATGGGAACTACAATTTAAGATGAGATTTCTGTGGGGACACAGACAAACCGTATCAATGGAATACTACACAGCCATAAAAAGGAACAGAGTAATGGCATTTGCAGTAACCTGGATGGAATTTGAGACCATTATTCTAAGTTAAGTAACTCAGGAATGGAAAAAAAAAGCATCATATGTTCTCACTTATAAGGGGGAGCTAAGCTGTGAAGATGCAAGGCATGAGAATGCTACAATGGGCATTTGGGACATGGGGGAAAGGGTGGGAGGGAGTGAGGGATAAAATTCTATATATATAGGTACAGTTTACACTGCTAGGATGACGGGTGCACCAAAATCTCAGAAATCACCAGTAAAGAACTTATTCATGTAAATATAGACATATAAATATATATATGTACATGTAAATATATATATGTACATGTAAATATATATGTACATGTAAATATATATGTACATGTAAATATATATATATGAAATATAATATACAATAGAACTCGAATACACCAGGCAGTAGGTTTTACAATGGAAACCTTACAGGCCGGGAGAGAGTTGCATAACATATTTCAACTTCTAAGGGAAATAAGCCTTTAACCTAGAATATCTGGTAAAAATATTTTTCAAACATGAAGTAGAAATACATACTTTTCCCAACAAAAGCCAAAGCGTTTTATTAACACCACATCTGTTCTACAAGAAATACTAAAGGGAATACTTCAGTCAGAAGTACAGAATGTCAATGAGTAATAAGAAATCATCTGAAGGTAGAAAACTTGCTAGTAATAGTAAGTATAGAGAATATTAAAACACTATAACTGAGGTGTGTAAACTATTCATAGGTAGAAAGACTAAACCATAAACCAATCAAAAATCATTTTTAAAATTTTTCAAGACATAAAGAATATAATAAGAAATAAATAGTAATAACAAAAAGATAAAAAATAGGGGGACAAACTTAAGGTGTAGAGTCTTTAGAACTTTTCTCTTTGCTTGTTTGTTTCTGCAAACAGTGTTAAGTTGTTATCAGGTTAAAATAGTGGGTTATAAGATAGTATTTGCAGGACTCATGGTAAGCTGAAACAAAAATCATACAAACAAATACACAAAAATTAAAAAGGAGGAAACTAAATCAGATCACCATATAAAATTACCTTTGATAAAAGGAAGAGAGAAATAAATGAAAGAAGGAAGAGAACAACAACAACAAAGACAACCGGGAAACAAATAACCAAATGGCCGAGTAAGCTTTTACATATCAATAATAATATTGAATGTAAATGGGCTAAAGTCTCCAATCAAAAGACATAGAGTGGCTAAAAGGATATAAAAACAAGACCTAATAATCTATTGCCTATAGTAAACACACTTCACATGCAAAGAAACATATAGACTGAAAACAAAAGACAAAGGGAACAAAAAACATATGCCATGTCAATGGAAACCAAAACAAAATAAATAAATAACAAGAGTAGCCATGTGTATATCAGACAAAATAGCTTTCAATACAAAAACTATAAAGGAAACAATGAAGGTCACTGTATAATGATAAAGTGGTCAATTCAGCAAGAGGATACAATAATTTTAAATATATATGCACCCAGCATTGGAAAACCCAGATATATAAAACAAATATTACTAGATCTAAAGAGAGAGATAGACTCTCTCTCTAGAGACTTCCATACCCTACTTTCAGCATTGTACAGATCTTCCAGAAATAAAATCAACACAAAAACATTGAACTTAATCTGCACTGTCGACCAATTGGAGCTAATAGGTATTTACAGCGCATTTCATTCAATGGCTATAGAACACACATTCTTTTCCTCACCACATGGAACATTGTCTAGATAAGATCATATGTTAGGTCAGAAAACAAGTCTTAAATATTCAAAACATTGAACTAACATAAAGCATCTTCTCTGACCACAATGGAATACAACCATAAATCAACAACAAGTGGAATTTTGAAAACTATACAAACACATGTAAATTAAACAATATGCTCCTGAATGACCAATGATCAATAAAGAAATTAAAAAGGAAATTGAAAATTTTCTTGAAACAAATGATAATGGAAACAAAACATACTAAAACTTTGGGGATACAGCAAAAGCAGTACTAAGAGGGAAGTTTACGGCTTTTAAGTGCTTACATCAAAAAAGAGAAAAAAACTTCAAATAAACAACCTAACTATGCATTTTAAAGAACTAGAAAAGCAAGAGCCAATCAATACCAAAATTAGTAGAAGAAAGGAAATAATAAAGATGAGAGCAAAAATAAATAAAATTAAAATGAAGAATACAATACAAAAGTTCAATGAAACAAAATGTTTTTTGAAATGTTAAACAATATTGGCAAAGCTTTAGCCAGACTAAGAAAATAGAGAACAAATCCAAATGAATAAAATCAAAAATGAAAAAAGAGACATTACAATGATACTCTAAAAATTAATAGGGTTATTGATGGCTACTATGAGCAACTACATGCCAATTAAGTTGGTAAATGTAGAAGAAATGGGCAAATTCCCAAACACATTCAACCTACCAGGATTGATCCATGAAGAAATTCAAAACTTGAACAGACCAATAATAAGTAATGATATTGAAGCCGTAATAAAAAGCCTTCCAGGAAAAAAGAAAAATCCTGGGGCCCTATGGCTCTACTGTTGTATTCTACCAAACATTTAAAAAAAGAACTAATACCATCCCCACTCAAACTATTCCAGAGACTAAAGGAGAGAATACTTCCAAACTCACCACATTAGGCCTGTATTACCCTAATACTAAAACCAGAAAAAAGACACATCACAAAAATAAAACTACAGGCCAATATCTATGATGAATATGGATGCACAAATTGTCAATAAAATACTAGAAAACTTAGTTCAATGATATATTAGAAAACAATACTTATCATGACAAAGTGGGATGTATCCCTGAGATGCAAGGAGGGTTCAACATATGCAAATAATCAATGTGATACATAATATCTAGAGAATTAAGGACAAAAACTGTATGATAATTTCAATTAATGCTGAACAAACATTTAATAGAATTCAGCTTCCGCTCATGGTAAAAACCTTTAAAACTGGGTATAGAAAGAATATGCCTGAATATAATAAAAGCCATGTATAACAAACCCACAGCTAGTATCATATCCGATGAGGAAAAACAGAAAGGCACTTCTTTAAGATCTGAAACATGAGGATAATGCCCACTTTCACCACTGTTATTCAACATAGTACTGGAAGTTTTAGCTAGAGCAATCAGACAAGAGAAAAAAAATAAAGGATGACCAAACTCAAAAGGGAGAAATCAAATTGTGCTTGTTTGAAGATGATATAATCTGCAAATTTAAATTTGAAAAAACATAAAGGCTTCACAAAAATATTATTAGAACTAATAAATTCAGTAAATCACAAGATATAAAAGCAACATACAAAAATCAGTAGCATTTCTATAGGCCAACATTAAGCAATCAGAAAAAGAAAACAAAAAAGAAATCACATTTACAATAGTCAAAATAAAACTAAATACATAGAAATTAACTTAACCAAAGAAGAGAAAGATTTTATAATGAAAACTCTAAAACACAGATTAAAAAATTGAAGAGAACACCAAAAGATAAAAAATGATTCCATGTTTATGGGATAGAAGAATCAATATTTTTAAAATGGCCATATTACCCAAAGCAAAATAAAGATTCAATGCAATCTCTTTCAAATTTCAATGACATTCTTCACAGAAATAGAAAAAACAATCCTGGTTGAGAACAGTGGCTCATGCCTGTAATCCCAGTAGTTTGCCAGGTCAACACAAGCAGATCACTTGAGCCCGGGAGTTTGAGACCAGTCTGGGCCACATGAAAAATCACCACATAAACAATTTATGTGGAACCATAGAAAATGCAGAATAGACAAAGCTACGTTAACCCAAAAGAACAAAATTGGTGATATCACATTACCTGACTTCAAATTACACTAGAGAGCAATAATAACCAAAACAGCACAGTACTATCATAAAAGCAGACACATAGACCAAAGGAACAGAATCGAGAGCACCAAAACAAATCCACACACTTACAGTGAACTCATTTTTGACAAAGGTATAAAGAACATACACTGGGGAATAAATAGTGCTAGGAAAATGAAATAGCCACATACAGAAGAATGAAACTAGACTACTACCTCTTGCTGCAAACAAAAATCAAATCAAAATGGATTAAAGACTTAAATCTAATACCTCAAACTGTAAAACTACTGCAATAAAACTTTGGAGAAAATCTATAGCACATTGGTCTGGGGTAAAAATTTTTTGAGCAATACCTCACATGTACAAGCAACCAAAGCAAAGGAAACAAATGAGATCACATCAAGTTAGGAAGCTTCTGCAGAGCAAAAGTAGTGTGGGGTTAAGGGGAATGGGGAAGGTTAATTTACACACAAAAAAAATACCTAGAATGAATAAGTAAGACCTAGTGTTTGATAGAAAAACAGTGTTTCTGTGGTCAATAATAATATAATTGCATATTAAAATATTTTAAAAAGTATACTTGGATTGTTTGTAACACACAAAAAATAAATGCTTGAGGGGATGGTTATCCCACATTACATGATATGATTATTATGCATTGAATGCCTGTATCAATAAATCTCATTTACCTCTAAATAGACACCTACAATGTATCCACAAAAATCAAAATAAAAAAAAATCAATCAATAGAGTACACCACACTAACAGAATGAAGGCAATAGAAATCACAATTATTTCAATTGATGCATAAAAAGTCTTTGACAAGATTTAACGTATCCTTCATGATAAAAACACTTAAACAAGAAATAGAAGGAAAGTACCTCGACACAATATGGAACATTTATGAAAAGCCCACAGTTAACATCAGACTCAATGGTGAAAGACTCAGAGCTCTTTATCTAAGATTTGGAACATAACATAAGTGCCTCCTTTTGCCACTTCTATTCAACATAGTACTTGAACTTTTAGTCAGAGAAATTAGGCAAGAAAGGAAAATAAAAGGCATCCAAACTGAAAAGGAAGCAAAATTATTATATCGGTTCACAGTGAAAATAATATTGTATGTAGAAAATCCCAAAAAACACACAAAAAAATTCCAGAGCTAATTTAAAAATTAGCAAATTTGCAAAATACAAAGATCAATGCCCAAAATTAGTTACATTCCTTTACAATAATAATAAACAATCTGAAAGAAAATTAAGAAGTCATTTACATTTACAATGGCACTGAAAAAATAAATTAGGAATAAACTAAGTGAGTGAAAGACTTGTACACACACACACACATACACACAAATGTTGCTGGAAATAATTGAAGACACAAAAACATGGAAAGACATTCCATGTTCATAGATTAGAAGACTTATGTCAGGCCTCTGAGCCCAAGCCAAGCCATCGCATCCCCTGTGACTCGCACGTATATGCCCAGATGGCCTGAAGTAACTGAAGAATCACAAAAGAAGTGAATATGCCCTGCCCCACCTTAACTGATGACATTCCACCACAAAAGAAGTGTAAATGGCCGGTCCTTGCCTTAAGTGATGACATTACCTTGTGAAAGTCCTTTTCCTGGCTCATCCTGGCTCAAAAAGCACCCGCACTGAGCACCTTGTGACCCCCACTCCTGCCTGCCAGAGAACAAACCCCCTTTGACTGTAATTTTCTTTTACCTACCCAAATCCTATAAAATGGCCCCACCCTTATCTCCCTTCGCTGACTCTCTTTTCAGACTCAGCCCGCCTGCACCCAGGTGAAATAAACAGCCTTGTTGCTCACACAAAACCTGTTTGGTGGTCTCTTCACACGGACGTGCATGAAAACTTAATATTGTTAATATTTTTACACTTCGCAAAGAAATCTATAGATTCAAGGAAATCCACATCAAAATCTTAATGGTGCCTTCTGCAAAATAGTAAAATTTATCTGAAATCTATTTAGGATTATAAGGGACTCAGATTAGTGAAAATAATTTTTAAAAAGAACAAAGTTGGAGTTCTGACACTCCCTCATTTCAAAAATTACTGCAAAAGTACAGTAACCAAAACATTGTGGTAATGGCTTAAAGAAATACATATAGTCAAATACTATAGAAGAGACAGTTCAGCAATTAACCCTTGTGTATATAACCAAATGATTTTTTACAAGAGTGGCAAGTCCATTCAATGGGGAAGAAAGTCTACTCAACAATGTTCTTGAGAAAACAATGTCCACTTGCAATAGAAAAGTGAACCCTTACCTTACACCATATATAAAAAGTAATTCAAAATAAATACCTGAACATAAAAGCTAAAACTCTAAAACTCTTAAAATTAAAACAAAAGGAAAACAAAATTGTTTATATCATTGGCTTTTACAAGTACTTCTTGGATATTGTACCAAAAGCACAAGCAATTTAAAAAATAGAAAAGTTTGACTTCTTCAAATCAAAACTTTTGTGCTTCAAAGGACAGTATGAACAAAGTGAAAAGGCAATCCATGGAATGTGAGAAAATACTTTCAAATTATATATTGAATAAGTGATTAATATTCGGAATATACAAATGACTGATACTACTTTTTAAAAGATTCAAAAATCATCAAAGTTCTTAAATAGACATTTCTCCAAAGAACACATACAAATGGCCCATAACCAGAGTAACATCAGCAAAATGATGGTATAGGAGCTCTTCTACTTGTATCCACCCACAGCAACAATTGGTTCACAGCTATCCATTGACAAAAGTGTCTTTGTGGGAGTTTTCGGATTTAGGTAGAATTTTGTAATATCCCAGTAGAGCCTGAGACCTAGGAAGGCCATTCTGAGAAGACAAATCATAACAAGTTTCAGATTTGCAAACTACAGTTCCAGCCTCAGACCCAGAAATGACCGTTTCCCCTTGGGGACTTGGTTACAACCCCTTTTGTCCTTAGTCATTCTACCACCATAACTATCTGTCAAGGAACCCGGGGATCACTTGCCTCAGGTTACAGGGATGCCAACCTTGGCCCTGGCTGTGGACTTAGAAAGGACCCTGAAACCAAGCTTTAGCTTTCTCAGCTGCAGTGTGAGAAAATTACTGCTGGAAGCACAGGAATCCAGAGGGAAAAATACTGGTATGAGTCACTGGGGCAGGTATGCTGACCTTGGTCACACAGAAGACCCTAAAATGTCCCTGAGATGTGGCTCCATCCCTTCTCAGTTGTGATCTGAAGACAGTCCTGCTCACAGAGTTTCAGAGGAACTATGTCCATCTGAGTCCCTGGGGCAGGTTTACTAACTTTACAAGTCACACAAAAAATCCTGAAACATCCCTGTGACTCAGCTCCAGACCCTCTAAGCAGTAATATGAGAGCAGTTCTGCCCAAAAAAAGACCCAGAGGTGACATGCCAATCTGTGTCCCCAGTGTCAGGCTTACAGACAATGGTCTTGTATGTGAAACTTGGAGCAACCCTGTGACTTGATTCTAGCCCGTTTTAGTCTCAGTTGGAAGCCAGCACTGACTTCCCAGCGGCCTACCTAATGACCCATTGGGAGCCCTTCCAGCAAGCAGAAGGAAGCCACACCAGTCCTTGCATCTATTTAGAAGCTGATCATCAGCAGTCCCTGAAGCAGACACTCAAACCAGCTCCAGCCATACTAACCAAAATTATGGAGGCAGTCCAGTCTACCCAGGGACCAGACAGGATCCATGCTCACTATAGCCCCTGGTAACAAGCTTTTAATCTGTGAACCCCACTGCAGACCTATTAGTCATATAACCTGGCTCCAACTTCTTTTGACGGTGATCCTGGAAGCAATCCTATTAACTCAGAGACCCAACAGGAGAAAGTCTTTTCCTTTAAAAACCAGTCTGTAAAGGCAAAATAACTGTTAACTCTTTCAAATGCACAGACACCAACATGAGGCGAAATGCATACCAAAGAATCACAAAAATGTGACACCACTAAAATAAACTGATAAAGCACCAGTAATTGACCCCAAAGAAATAAAGATCTATACATTACTGGAAAAAAAGAATTCAAATAATTATCCTAAACCTAAGTGAAATACAGAAAACACAAATAGATAACTAAAGAAAATAGAGAAATAATGCATGAACAAAGTGAAGTTTAATGAAGAAATATAAAACATAAAAAACCCAAATGTATCTGATGTCAGATTAATCTTTCAGATAACACTGGTGTAGTATCTTACAGATTCTTCAGTCAAAAAGGCCCTTGTTCAAATTCAAACGCTGATAGATGTGAACACTTAAGTCCAGGCTGAGATGGTCTCACGTGGAGATGAGTAATTTATTGGGAACTGGAGTAACAGTCACTCATGCTACGCTTTAGCAAAGAAACTGGTGGCATTTTGTCCCTGCCCTAGAGATCTATGGAACATTGAACTTGAGTTGGATGATTTAAGATATCTGATGGAAGAAATTTCTAAGCAGCAATGCATTCAAGACATGACCTAAGTTAATCTGAAGGCTTTTAGTTTTATGCATTCACAAATAGATTATTTGAAATTGGAACTTATGTTTTAAGGAAAGCAGAGCATAAAAGCTTGAAAAATTTGTAGCCTGAGGATGTAATAGAAAAGGAAAAAAAAATTGCTGGGGAGAAATTCAAGCTGGCTGCAGAAATTTGCATAAGTAACAAGGAGCCAAATGTTAATCACCAAGACAATGGGAAAAATGTTTTCAGTACATGTCAGAGGTCTCCATGGCTGCCCTTCACACCACTGTGCTCCTGGAAAAGCCACAGACACTCAATGCCCACCCATGAAAGCAGCTGGGATGGAGGCTGTCCCCTGCAAACCCACAAGGGTGGAGCTGCCCAAGACTGTGTGAACCCTTGCATCACTGAATTTCAGATTTGCATGGGGCCTGTAACCCCTTTGATTTAGCCAATTTCTCCCATTTGAAATGGGAGCATTTATCCAATGCCTGTATCCTCATAGTATCTTAGAAGGAATTAAATTGTTTTTGATTTTACAGGCTCATAGGCAGAAGGGACTTGCCTTGTATCAGATGTGACTGGACTGTGGACGTTTGGGATAATGCTGAAATTAGTTAAGATTTTGGTGAACTGATTGAAAGGCATTATTGTTTCTAAAATGTGAAGACATGAGATTTGGGAGGGGCCAGGAGTGGAATAATATGGTTTAGCTTTGTCCCCGCCCAGATCTCATCTTGAATTGTAATCCCCAGGTGTTAAGGGAAGAAACTGGTGAAAGGTGATTGGAATATGGGGGCAGTTTTTCCCATGCTGTTCTCGTGATAGTGAATTCTCATGAAATCTGATGGTTTTAAAAATGGTAGTTTTCCTGCACTCTCAAAACACTCCCTCTCATCCTGCCAATATGGAAGACATGCCTGCTTCCCCTTCTGTCATGATTGTAAGTTTTCTGAGGCTGCCCCAGCCATGTGGAACTGTGAGTCAATTTTACCTCTATCCTTTATAAATTACCCTGTCTCAGGTAGTTTTTTATAGCAGTGTGAGCATGGACTATTACAGGTACAAAAAAAAAAAATAGAAAGAATAAATAAAACCTACTATCTGAAAGCATAAGAGTGACTATAGTCAATAATAACTCTACAGTTTAAAAAATTGAGGGAGTTTAATTGTATTGTTTGGGACTCAAAAAATAAACACTTGAGCACAGGGAAACACTCCCCCATCCCCCAAAATATCATTTGACCCAGCAATTCCACTACTGGTTATTTACTAAAAAATGTTATTTTAGAGCAAACACACCTGCACCTATATGTTTATCTCAGCACTACTCACAATAATGAAGTCATAGAAACAACCCAAGTGTCTATCAGTGTTTGATTGAATAGAATATATATATACATATATATATATATACACACACACACACACACACACACACACACCATGGAATACTATATGGAATACTACGAAGCTATGAAAAGACACAATCTTGCCTTTTGCAGCATCACAGAGGGAGCTAGATGCCATTATCCTAAGTGAAATAAATCCTAAACAGATAATAAAATACTGCATGTTCCCACTTATAAATGGGAACTAAACAATGTATATTCAAAGACATAAAGACGGAAATAATAGATTCTGGTAACTACAAAATGGGGGAGGTAGAGAGGCGGATGAGGGTTGAAAAATTACTTATTGTGTACAATGGTCCTTATTTGAGTGAAAAGTACACTAGAACTACAAACCGCAGCATTATGTAAAACTTCCATGTAACAAACATACACATGTACCCTCTGAATCTAAAATAAAATAAAATAAAACATTCATGTAGACTGACCAATGGAACAGATTAGAAAGCCTGGAAAGAAACTCTCATATATACAGTAGACCCTCTTATCCATGGGGGATACTTCTAAGACCACCAGTCAATACCTGAAACCATGGATGGTACCAAACCCTATATATACACTGTTTTTTTAATCTACACATATAATGTTTAATTTAATGAATAAATTAAGTACAGTATGAGATTAACAATAAGTAATAAAATAGAACAATTATAACAATATACTGTATTAAAAGTTACATAAATGTGGTCTCTCTATCCCTTTCCCTCTCTTAAAATATCTTACTGTACCATACTCTTCTAATACTGATCGTGGTTGGCCATGGGTACCTGAAAACCTGAAACCATGGAAAGCAAAATCACAGACAAAGGGATACTACTGTATTTGATTGGCTAATTTTTGGCAAGAGCACCAAGAAAACAGAGTAGAGAAAGTAGAATCTTTTCAATAAATGATGGAAAACCTGGTTATCTGCATGCAAAATAATAAAATTGGACATTTTCTTATTATACCACATACAAAAATTACCTGAAAATAATTAAAAGCTTTAGGGTCTGATATAACAAAACTCACAGAAGAAAACAAAGAAGAAAATATTGATATTGATCTTGGTAATGATTTTTGGATATAAAAAAAAACACAGTCAAGAAATGCAGAGATAAATAAATGGAGCTAAGTTAAACTAGATCGTTTCTGCAAAGCAAACAAACAATCAACAAAATGAAAAAAGGCATCTATAGACTAGATGTACAAATTTACATGTGTACATATATACATATAGACATATACATATATGTATGCATATGTAGAGAGAAATATTAAACTTTAAAAAAGATGAAAATCTTGTCACATGTAATAACATGGATGAACCTACAAGATATTTTGCTAAGTGAAATAAGCCAGACACAGAATGCTGTATGCATTGAAGTTTAAAGAAATTAAACTCATAGAAGCAGAAAGCAGAATGGTGGTGCTAGTGGTTGTTGGCTGGGGGAAATGGAGAAATGTTGATGAAGTGGTATAGTCAGTTACAAGATGAACAACTTCTAAGATCTATTACATTGAATTGGTGGTAATGGATGGGTATCTTTATTTGATTATAGTCATCATTACACTAGGTATACATATATCAAACCATCACATTTCACACTTTGAACATACTCAATTCTTAATGTTATCCAATTGAACATTTTAAAATTTTTTAAAAAATCAAATAGCTACTAAGCAATTGAAAAGATGCTCAAAATCACTATCATTAGTGAACTGTAAATTAAGGCCACTCTGAGATACCACTTCATACCCACTAGGGTGACCATTATTATTAAAACATTTAAACAAAATAAACAGAAAATAGCAAGGGTTGGCTAGTACATGGAGGAAATGGTACTCTTGTTCATTGCTTCTGGAAATGTAAAATGGTACAACCTCTGTGGAAGAGTTTTTTTCTGTCTTTCCTCCCCATATTAGAATGAACATTAATCTAGCAATATTACTTCTGAGTGTATACCCAAAAGAGTTGAAAGCTGCTGTGACTTGAACAAGTATTTGTAATGCCATGTTAATTTCAACATTATTCACAACACCCAAACATCGAAAGGAACTCGTTTGTTTTTTGGACTGATGGACGAATGAGATGTGGTACACACACACAGGAATATTATTTAGCCTTAAATAGAATAAAATTTCAATATGCTACAGCATGGCTAAACTTTGAGGACATTATACTTAGTTAAATTAGCCAGTCACAAAAGTACAAATGTTGTATGATTCCCCTTATGTGAGGCATCTAGAGTAGTAATATTCATAGAGACAGAAAGTAGAATGATAGTTTCTTGGGGCTGCAGGGAAAGAAATGTGGAATTAGTTTTTAATTGGTATAGCATTTCAGTTGTGGAAGATAAAATAATTCTGCAGATTGATGGTGGTAATGGTTGCACGCTAATGTGAATGTACTCAATGCCATAGAACTGTGCATATAAAAATGATTAACATGGTAAATTTTACATTAAGTATATTTTACTATAATACAGAAAAGTGAAAACATGTGAATTTCCTTAAAAAATAAGAGAGATTATTAAAACATAACAACAAAAAAACCCAAGACCTAACTACATGCTATGACAAGAAACCCAATTTAAATATAAAACTTACGTTCACAAAATACCCTGAATATGAATGGTCATAAAAGCCTTATTCACAGTATCCCTGGAAACAAGTATGTTGTCTTTCAACAGGTGAATCAATAAACAAACAGTGGGACATCTACCAAATGAAATGCTACTTAGCAATAGAAATGAAGGAACTAGTGATAAGTGCAAGAGCATGGAAAAATCTTACATGCATTTTTTTTTTTTCCGAGTGGGAGAAATCGGACCCAAAAACCACAGATATTGTGTAATTTTATTTACTCTATATTTTGGAAAAGGAAAATCTATAATGCTGGAAAACAGGCTTGTTGTTTCTAGGTGTTGGAAAAAGGGACAAAGATTTAGCTATAATAAAGCCTCATAATGGGATTTCTAGGGGACAGAATTATTGTTTAATATTCTGATAGTAAATATATAACATGCATCTGTCAAAAGCCCATAAAACTTAGCACAACAAAGTATAACTTTTATTGCCAGTAAATAAAAACAAAATAAACCAGGATATTGGGAAATTTGATGATGGAATGCTAACCATAAAACAATAATGTAGGTGTATTAAGAAAGGTGTGAAAAAATCTCAATTATAAGAGTGGTGAGTTAAGATCACCCAAGTAACTTTGTAAAACAATGTGTTGTCTAGATATCATAAGGCCAAACACAATGTGCATCTTAGAGCGGATCCTGAAACAGAAAACGTTAGTAAAAAAATGCGTTTCTCACAGGTATTTAGTTCATAAATTCTAAAATTACTTTACATATATACTAATGTTTAATACATAATTTTCCTGAAGATAACAATGACCTGGTTTCTCTCTGTGAAAGAAAAGGATTACAAATAAGCAAGAAAATGATGTAGAGTGTATCCTATGCTGCTAAGTTGGAATTGGAGACTTTGGTACAAATTTATGTGCTCACATTTATTTTATCATATACACAAATAAATAAATATAGATATTTGTATACATGAATTACTACACATACATTTCTTAGCTCTGTTTACTGTAATGCCTAGAAGCAATAAAATCTAATATCAAGTCAAATGTCTAACACCCATATTCTCTAATGAAAGTAACCATGATGCCTAGGAGAAACAGCTGATTCAAGGAATGAGAAATGGGAAATATAAGATGAACTGGAATGTCTTCTAGTTCTAGAAAGTAAGAAAGTGTTAAAAAAAAAAAAACGAAAATGATGGAACATATAAAGGGACACAGGAGCCAACATAAAAGAGCTTCTATTGGCCCAAGTTGGAACAATTGGAGCAATAACAAAAAAAGAATGACAACAATTTTGGATTAATAAACCAGAGAATTTTTAAGTATCTATTGTCTTCTATTGATAAAAAATAAAATATTTCATAAATAAATAGAAAAGCAAGTACAAAACTTCCTTAAAGAAGAGTGCCAATTAACAAATTTAAAAATAATGAGAAAAATAAATAATCATTATTGTAACTCCACAGTAGTAACTGACTCAGGCAGTATCCATGGACAAATGTCAAAACCAGTAGGTGAAACTTTAAGTAGAAATATGATGTATCGCATAATCTCAAAGTATCTCCCTCCAATGTATTTGCTAATTATTGTGGTGGTTTTAAAATTTTTTGATTCTCCTCCCTCCAGTAGGTGGCACTTAATCACCTTCCCCTTAATTGAGAGTTACATTTAGTGACTCGATTCTAAAGAATAGACTATGGAATATGAAATTATTGACTTTGTAGTGAGAGATAGTTGCAGACTTCTCCTTAACGAAGTTACTAGGTTAATGTCACCAGTAATATGTCATTCTCATGCCATGCACCCTTGATAAAAAAGGGTATATTGTCTCTGTGGTATTCTTCCCCAAAACCCATAACCTCAGTCTAATAATGAGAAATGATCAAACCAACTGAAATTGAGGAACATTTTTCAGAATACCTTAGAAATACTCTTCGAGATTATGAAAGTGTTATGGTCTTGCCAATGCCCCCAAATATGTGGCAGTCTCTCATTGTCTGAGATAGTACCCAGGGTTATTTGTCTCACATCCAAGAGAATTAAAGAGCAAAGACACAAGGGTAAGGTTGGAGTAGAAGTTTAGTAAGTGAAAGAAGAAAGCTCTCTGCAGTAAAGAGTGGGGCCTGAATGGGTTGTGTACTATGAGGCTGGGGTTCGGGGTTTTCAGGGACTGGGAAGGGGAAGAAATGTGCTTTGTCTGTGGCCTGTCTTGAAGAAAGCATGATTAAATTTGGTCCGGTACCTTGGGCTAGGACCTATCAGAAGCTGAAGTGAAAGCTTGGCCTGGGATCAATCAGGAACTGAAGTGAAAGCTTGGCCCAGGACCTTGGCGGCCTGGGACCAACCAGGAGCTGAAGCAATGATTTATAGAGGCTGTGCTCACAGTCCAAAAAAAAGAAAAGTGCCCAACAGAATCTGCTGGAGCCCACTGTGTTCATGCCCACAAAAGGAGAAGAAACTTTTTCCTGGGAGCCCGCTGATTATACAAAAGACAAAGACATTTCTATGTCTGATCTTGTTCCCTTAACTGAGTAAGACAGAGGTTTGTGCAAGTTTTCATCTGAATGGGCTGGAGATTCTCCTATTGAGCAGCCATGGGCATGTCTCCAGGAACAACCCCCTGTCCTAGTTCCCTTACTGAGCTCACAGCTCAATTTTTTCCCAGGCTGCTTTTTGTATTATGTGGGGATGATGCACTGATTTGTGGGCCAGGGGCTCTCCAAAGAAACTTCCCTTGCTGTCCGCATAAGGCAAGCTAGCTAACTCCTTGCAAAAGACTATTCAAGCGTTAAGATAATAAAAAATGATTTTAAAAACCCAGAAATTTTCTCAGATCAGAATACATTGAAGAGACATGCATACTAAATGCAATGTGCATCTTAGAGTAGATTTTGAAGCAGAAAAATTATTAGTTGAAAAACTAGGGAAATTCACAAGAAGTCTGGTTTAGATACTAACATTATACTAATGTTAATTTTTTAGCTTTGATAAATACAGCATTGCTATTTAAATTATTAACATTACTAGAAGTTTGGTGAAATATGTATGGGAATACTGTACTACCTTTTCAACTCTCCTGTACATTTTAAATTATTTTAAAGGGTTAAACAACTTTACAAGGTTTTAAAAATATTTTAAAAGTTTAAAACATGATTAATGCAAATTTTGAATACTGTGTTGTAGTTAGATGCAAGGAAAACATTTGTAGAGGTATGAATGTATCTCTGAAATCTGGTGCTAAGTCAAAGAATGAGATAAAATCTGTAACAAAATATCAATTTTGTATAATAAAGTTTTATAGATATGCAATTGTAAATCAGAGCAGCCACTTTAAAAAATTAATGTAACACTTACATGCTATGTTAAAATTCACCTATCCTATAACTCAGCAATTATACTCCAGGATATGTATCTTAGAAAAATCACCATATATGTGCACCAGAAGATATTGAAACAGGAAAAGTTCCCTTGTACCCCTTGCAGGGTGAGCAATGGGGGCATGGCTCACTTCTTCAGTGCCCCACTGTTCAAACCTCTAGGGGAGCATGGAGATGGGCAGGCTGTGGGGCTCCAACCTCATGGCAGTGTCTAGGGGTTAATGTTTACAGCTGAAGCTCCAGTGGGTGTGCGTTACAGGGTGCTCTTTTAGTTTAACCATCCATAGGCGGCTTGTGTTAGTCAGCTCAATTAGACTGCTGCCTTATCTCAAGGAGAGAGGGTTTTCTGTATCCCAGGTTTCTTGCCTTGGTGTACTGAACGAATTGGATCACATGTGGGCTTGGAGAATGAGTGCAAGGTTTTATTGAGTGGAAGTAGCTCTCAGCAGGTGCGGGAGTCAGAAGGGAGATGGTTTTCCCCTGGAGTCAGGTGGCTTGGTGGCCCAGGCTCTCCTCTGACTGCCCTGGCCAAACTCCGCCTCATTCTGTGCCGAGACCGGCTAGGCTGGGGAGACCCTAACCCAGCGGTGCTAGAGGAATTAAAGACACACACAGAGAAATATAGAGCGTGGAGTGGGAAATCAGAGAACTCACAGCCTTCAGAGCTGAGAGCCCCAAACAGATTTACCCACATATTTATTGACAGCAAGTCAGTGATATGGCTTGTCCTTGAGAATTATATGGGATGCCAGTAATGTGTTTAATATTCCATATAGAGAAAAATGTAGCTAGAGCTTGGCTAGTATAGCCTGGGGCATTATCTCTTTTAATAGAAGCTGGAATGCCCATCACGGCAAAACACTGCAAAAGGTGACATTTAACATAGGCAGAAGACTCTCCTGACTGGCATGTAGCCCAGACAAAGTGAGAAAAGGTGTCCACACATACATGTACATAAGCTAGTCCCCCAAACAACGGAACATGTGTGACATCCATTTGCCAAAGAGAATTAGGTTCCAATCCTTGAGGGTTAACTCCTCCTGTAAAAGATGAAGAATACACCATTTGGCAAGTTGGGCATCACTGGATAATAGCTTTAGCTTCTTTTCAGGTAATGCTGTATCTGCGTTTGAGACCAGAGGCATTAACATGGGTTAAATTGTGAAAGTGTCTGGGGTTAGGTATTGCAGTAGCAACTAGGCAATCAGCCATTTGATTCCCTTCAGTTAAAGGCCCTGGAAGAGGTGTATGAGCCCTAATGTGAGTGACGTAAAAAGGGTGCATTCTACTCCTAACTGCTGTTTGCAATTGGGTAAATAAAGTCATCAGTTGTTCATCTGTATGAAATCGTAACTGAGTATTTTCAATTAATTGTGTGGAATGAACCACATATGAAGAATCTGATATCACATTAATAGGCATATCGAAATCAGTCAATACCTCAATTACAGCTACAAGCTTGGCTTTTTGAGCTGAAGTATAGGGCATCTGAAAAACGTTACCTTTTGAGACAGAATAAGAAGCTTTACCATTACTAGGCCCATCTGTAAAAACATTCTCAGCACCTTCAATTGGTTTAAATTTAGTTCTTTTAGGGAGAATCCAATTAGTTAATTTCAAAAATTGAAATAATTTTATTGAATAATGTAACACTGTGAAAATTTTTTTACCAGTAGGTTCAATTGCTTGCCCTACATACATCTGGCAAATTGTTGGACTGTTTAACATGCTTTGTGGTAACATTTCCCCATGAAAACACTTAGCAGGCTGCAGGTTGTTTACTGCAGGAATTGTAACTGCAAACCATTCACAGTTTTGCTCAGCTAAGGGGGTAGTAAATAAACAGTCTTTTAAATCTATAACTATTAAAGGCCAATTTTTTGGAATCATAGCAGGAGAAGGCAGTCCTGGCTTCAATGTCCCCATAGGTTGTATAACTGAATTAATGGCTCTTAAATCAGTTAACATTCCCCATTCACCCGATTTTTTCTTGATAACAAAGACTGGAGAATTCCAGGGGGAAAATGTTGGAGCTATGTGTCCTTTTTCTAATTGTTCAGTAACTAAGTCCTCTAAAGCCTCCAGTTAATCTTTCCTTAGTGGCCAACGTTCTATCCAAATTGGCTTATCTGTTAACTGTTTTGGGAAGTCAGGGACCCCAATGGAGGGACCAGCTGAAGCCATGGCAGAAGAACATAAATTGTGAAGATTTCATGGACATTTATTAGTTCCCCCAAATTAATACTTTTATAATTTCTTATGCCTGCCTTTACTGCAATTTCTGAACATAAATGGTGAAGATTTCATGGACACTTATCACTTCCCCAATCAATACCCTTGTGATTTCCTATGCCTGTCTTTACTTTAATCTCTTAATCCCATCATCTTCATAAGCTGAGGAGGATGTATGTCACCTCAGGACCCTGTGATGATTGCGTTAATTGCAGAAATTGTTTGTAGAGCATGTGTGTTTGAACAATATGAAATCTGGGCACCTTGAAAAAAGAACAGGATAACAGCAACATTCAGGGAACAAGGGAGATAACATTAAACTCTGACTGCCGGTGAGCTGGGTGGAACAGAGCCATATTTCTCTTCTTTCAAAAGCAAATGGGAGAAATATTGCTGAATTCTTTTTCTCAGCAAGGAACATCCCTGAGAAAGAGAATGCATCCCTGAGGGTAGGCCTCTGAAATGGCTGCTTCAGGGGCAGTTTTCTTATATGGTCCCAGCTGTAGGGATGAAATAAGCCCCAGTCTCCCATAGTGCTCCCAGGCTTATTAGGATGAGGAAATTCCTGCCTAATAAATTTTTGGTCAGACCTGTTGTCTGCTCTCAAACCCTGTCTCCTGATCAGATGTTATCAATGACAATGCATGCCTGAAACTTCATTAGCAATTTTAATTTCACCCCAGTCCTGTGGTCCTGTGATCTTGCCCTGCCTCCATTTGCCTTGTGATATTCTATTACCTTGTGAAGCATGTGATCTCTGGTGAACCACACCCTATTCGTACACTCCCTCCCCTTTTGAAAATCACTAATAAAAACTTGCTGGTTTTATGGCTTGGGGGGCATCACGGAACCTGCCAACATGTGATGTCTCCCCCAGACACACAGCTTTAAAATTTCTCTCTTTTGTACTCTGTTCCTTTATTTCTCAGACCAGCCAACACTTAGGGAAAATAGAAAAGAACCTATGTGAAATATCAGGGGTGAATTTCACCTGATATCTGGCTGAATTTCCCCCGATAGTTAACCATTTTAAAGGTATAGGTTCTGGAGGCTTAACAATGGCAACAATCAAAAATGATATCCTAAGCCTTGGCGGGAACTTTGTCTTTCCGTTTGAAGTGGTTCCTTCAAACCTTGCAAATTTTTTCCTAGTCACATACCAGGGACATACCCTATTTCATGCATCATATGTTGACTGTGAGGGCTGTATAATTGCTCTGGAATTAGAACGTGTGCTCCCCATTGTTGTAATAAATCTCTCCCCCATAAATTTATAGGTACAGAAGTTGTAATTGGTTGAATACTCCCAGGTTGTCCATCAGGTCCTTCACAATGCAAAATATAACTACTTTGATATACTTCAGTGGCTTTACCAACTCCAACTATGTTAAATTGAGTGGGTTGAATTGGCCACACGGATGGCCAGTGCTGTAGAGAAATGATTGAAATGGCCACTCCTGTATCTACCAAACCTTTAAATTTCTTTCCCTGAATAGTTATTTCACAGGTAGGATGTTTATCATTAATTTGATTCACCCAGTAAGCTGCTTTGCCTTGTTTATTTGTGCTTCCAAATCCTCCAGTTCTTTTAATTTAACTTTTCCACATTTCCACATATGGCACACTCAGGAGTTGTGCTATACACTCCACTCTCCTGGCTCTGCTTTACAGGGAACAGAAGTAGATATAACAATTTGAATTTCCCCATTGTAATCTGAATCAATGACTCCTGTATGCACTTGCACTCCTTTTAAATTTAAACTAGACCTGGCTAGAAGTAATCCTATTGTCCCCACTGGCAAGGGTCCACAGACCCCTGTTGGAACTTTTTGCAGGGGTTCCCCAGGCAGAAGGCTGACAGCTTTTGTGCAGCATAAATCTACTGTGGCACTACCTGCTGTGGCAGGGGACAGACATTGTACGGGGGTGAGGGAGTGGCCTGTGCCAGAAATGCCCCAGTTTGGAATGGGGCCCAGGACAGGCCCCTCATGGTGTTTCCTGAAATCGGGTTCCCATCTTTATCTAATTTAGAATGACACTGATTGGCCCAATGCTTTCCTTTTATACATTTTGGACATATTTCAGGCTCAGCAGTTTTCTTTTTTCCCCCATCTGGCAGCCTAACTCACTGATTTTTTCTACATTCTTTTTTAGTATGACCATGCTTCCCACAATTAAAACAAGCTCCAGGAAACAGAGTATTTCCTTTACCCACTCTCAGTCCTGCCATTGCCTGGGCTAGCAGAGTAGCCTTATGCAGATTACCTCCGATACCATCACAGGCCTTGATATAATCAACTAAATGTACTTTCCCTCTAATAGGTCACAGAGCAGCCTGGCACTCTGGATTAGCATTGTTGAAAGCTAATGACTGCAACACTATATCCTGAGCAGCCAAATGTGCAATCACTCTTTTAAGAGACTCCTGTAACCAAGCTATAAAATCTGTGTATGGTTCTTAGGGTCCCTGTTTTACAGCACTAAAGGAAGGGTATTGTTTTCCACCTGAAGTGGTTTTTTCCCAAGCTCTAATGCACACTCTTCTAAGCTGTTCTATGGCATCATCCTGCATGGCCACTTGTGCATCTAAACCAGCCCAGATGCTGACCCCCAAAAGTTGGTCTGCAGTTATATTAATTTGAGGTTGGGCCTGGGCATTGTGAGCAGCCTGAATGGAAGCTTCATCTGCCCACCAATTTTTAAATTGTAAGAACTGAGCAGGAGTCAGACAAGCTCGAGTAAGAGCATCCCAGTCAGTAGGAATCATCCGACTGGAAAGAGCAACATTCTTTAACAGTCCCATTACGAAAGCAGAACCTGGTCCATATTGATGAATAGCTTGTTTAAATTCTTTGAGTAATTTAAAAGGAAAAGGCTCAAATGTAGTTATAATATTTCCCTGTTGATCTGGGGGGTGTATCCTAACAGGGAACTGCCAAGCCTCTATATTACCCTTACATCTAGCTTGCTGGATTTCTGTCTGAATAGAACTGAGGGTGGTTGCTCGAGGCACTGCTCAAACAGTCACTGGGGCAACTACTTTTCACCCAGTGTCCTCTGGAAAAGAAAGATCTGGAGGGTCAGGCCACTCTTTTTCTTCAAAATAAGGAGGGGGTGCAGAAGGGTCAGGATGGACCTCTTCCTCCTTTGCCACTTTAGCTTTAGCTGGCAAACAAACCTGCTCTGTTACTTCATTATACCCTCCTTCCTCCTCATCATCAGTGTGAAAAGGTGCCAAGGTGGAATGAACCAGAGCCCACACTTGTCACATTGTTACCCTGATGCTTCCGAGCTCCCCTTCTTACTAACCATGGGGATTGCTTAAGAGTACTCGGGTGTCTTCCAGCTTAGTTCCACGTTCTCCAACTGTCACTCCAGTGACCCTTTGACCTGGGTTCGAGCCCCATGTGTGGGCACCTCTTGCCAAGACCAGCTCGGTCAGGGAGACCCTAACCCAGTGGTGCTAGAGGAATGAAAGACACACACTCAGAAATATAGCATGTGGAGTGGGAAATCAGGGGACTCACAGCCTTCAGAGCTGAGAGCCCTGAACAAAGATTTACCCACATATTTATTGACAGCAAGTCAGTGATAAACATTATTTTTATAGATTATAGATTAACTAAAAGTATTCCTTACAGGAAACAAAGGGATGGGCTGAAACAAAGGGATGGGCTCTGGCTAGTTATCTGAGCAGGAACATGTCCTTAAGGCACAGATCGCTCATGCTATTGTTTGTGGTTCAGGAACGTCTTTAAGCAGTTTTCCACCCTGGTGGGCCAGGTATTCCTTGCCCTTATTCCGGTAAACCCACAACCTTCAGCGTGGGCATCATGGCCATCACAAACATGTCACAGTGCTGCAGAGATTTGTTTATGGCCAGTGTTGGGGTCAGTTTATGGCCAGATTTGGGGGCCTGTTCCCAACAATTCTGCCAGTGAATGGTCTACCAGCATGCCAGCGTCTATCATGTGCTGTTTTGCCAGCGTGCTCGCCTCAATGTCCTCTCACCATCCAGTTGCTTATGTCTTCTTTCACTGATGTGTTCCTCTTGACATCCAGCCACTTGTGTGCCTACCTGTTAGGGACTGGGGGTTTTTATAGGCACCGGATTTTGGCATGGCAGGCCAGGGAGGTCTTGGGAAATGCAGCATTTAGGCGGAAGGGCAGGAGTGCATGCCCTCATCTAGCTCCATGGGGACAGGCCTGGGGGTGGAGCCCTTGTCAGGGACCCACCCTTCCCTTCCCAGCACTTCCCTGCCTGCCTTTCATATCAATATAATAAGAATACTTGTAGCAACATTGTTAATCATAGCAAAGTAAAAACCCACCAATAACCAAATAACAACAATAACTAAAAACAATATCAATACCCAGTGATGAGAAAGCAGAAAAATGAGATCTATTATAGCAAATACAAACAATGTAATGAAATACAGCAGTATAAGCAAGTGAATTTTAGCCATACAGCCAAACAGACACACACAACATTGCTGAATTTTAAGAACATAATGTTAAAAAAAAGGTAAGTCTCATAAGATGATATACATAATACTGTTATTTAATAAAGCACAAAACAAACAAAATAAAATAATGCATTGTTTATACATGTAGATGTGTAATAAAGCTACAGAAAAAACAAGGAAACAATGATCAGATATTTAAGGACAGTGGTTACCTCTGGGAGGTAGAAGGAGAGAGACAGTTGGCATAGGGGATGAACATAGATGTAGATACCATAATATTGGTAATGCTTAAGTTCTTCAGTTGGATGGTGAGTACACAAATGTTAATTTTATAATTATACTTCATAACTTGTATATGTGTATATTCTTTTGTAGGTATCAAATATTACATTTTAAAATTAGAATAAAAATGCATATACTCACAAAAGGTTTCATATTTTAAAAAGCAAATTAATTCAATGATACATATTATTACCTTAGAGTGGTCAAGATTGGGGCAAGAAGAACAAGATAGATAAAAAATAGGTAGATGGATAGAAGAGTGGGCCAATGTACGTGTATAAATGAATACATATATAAAACAGAAGAGAGGGTTCTTGTATGGTTCACAGTATGTGATGACTAAGGCTTATTATTAAATCAAAATCTTGCCCTCAATATCTTCTCTCAAAAAGTTATAATATTTTTAAATTAAAATATGTTTTACAGAAAGCTTTATTTTTAAAAGAATAAAGTTATTATTCAACATATTCTTCTCCTGATTTCCTTCAAAATTCTCATAAATAGAACTGTCACATGGTTCAGGCATATGATACCAGCAACTTGGGAGGCAGAGGTGAGAAGATCTCTTGAGCTCAGGAGTTTGAGGCTGCAGTAAGCTATGGTAATTTTATTTTATTTGGAAAGGTAAAAGGATTGGAGATCAAGTCACTTTTTAAAAAAATAGGAGAAAAAAACTTGGAAAAATATAAGTGTTGAAGAGCCCTAAATTATACTTTTTAATTTTATTACACTCTCTTTGAATTTGTACAGAATTACAGTCACTCATATGGGTTAATCTTATTGTGTCTTCATAGTAGTAACACTACCAGCTCATCCCAACCATAAGGTATCACTTGAATGTCTACAAAAAACACCTTTGGTTTTTGAATCAGGATGCACGGAGAACAGAATCCAGTTGATCCTTGAACAACACTGATTTTAACTGTGTGAGTCCATTTGTATGTGGATTTTTAAAAATGAAATGTGGATTGAATATATGGTATTTGTGTGGTGTGAACCCCGCATGTACATGAGGGCCAACTTTTTGTATATGCAGGTTCTTCAGGGCCAACTGCTGGACTTGAGCATGCATGAATTTGGTTATGCAGAGTCCTGGAACCAATCAATTCCCGTGTACACTGAGGAATGACTGTACTTTCACTTAGCTTATTTTAAATCTATATTTTTGAGGCCTTTGAATACTTTCATAGAAAGCTATTTGAACCACTTTGAGGTGTTACATAGAGATATCACAAATATAAATTATTCATGTTAAATTAATAGGGAAAACCACAGGCATCCATAGATATAGCTTATTTCATCATGTTGAGCAAACAGCTCCCCATTTTATTCTCCTTTCTTCCTTTTCCTTTGTCCTCCTCCCATCTCCCACCTTACTTTATTTTCTCCTTTCCCTCTCTTAAAGCAAAACAAGCACTAAAGTGGAGACTGCATATGATAACTTGAAATATCTAATGTTAAATGACGAGTTAATGGGTGCAGCACACCAACATGGTACATGTATACATATGTAACTAACCAGTACGTTGTGCACATGTACCCTAAAACTTAAAGTATAATTAAAAAAAAAGAAATTTTACAAAACTAGTTTTCATCAAGAAAGACCTAAATACGGTTTCTATTAGTTTATAGAGTTCCTAAAAAAGGCAAAGCTATTACTTGACGGTTTGAGTTCAATTTAGCAAAAACAAGCGATTGGCTGACAGAATCTCCTATTTCCAGGATGAGTTATCATTCTCTTTCCACATACATATTGTCATATATTCATCAGTTAACAATTACTAATATTTTCAGATTTTTACTAGTAGCATCATTGACACAAGGGTTGAAAATAACATAAAGCTGCCTGAACTTGAGATATATATTTACCTTAAAAACAGAGAAGTTATTAGTACTTGGAGCTTGGATACAGTTTTTATAGGAAAAGTAATATACTTTCTTTCCATTGATATTCTCTTCACCCAGTTTTTTCTACTATGCATACAGATTCATTTGCACACATGTGTACATAATATACATGATTAATAGAATATTAGACAGTCAAAATACACTCTTTGTTAACTAAAGATAAGACACTTTTAGTGAGCAAGATAGTTTCAAAGATGCAGATCTTTTGCATATTGTAAATAAAAGTGAAGATTATTAGAATTTAAAATCTAGGTTATATTTAGATTTGGAGTGAAAACTGTATATTTAACATATATGGTACTGTCAATATATATCCAGTTAATGAATAAATATTGTATATATATATATATATATATGTATATATACTTCACGGGTTATAAATAGAAAAGAAGCTTATTGAGTATGTTCAATGACCAAGAAAGTACTTATTTTAAAGGAAGGTTGTCCACAGTGGCCAAGAAATAATTTCTTCCTAGTAATACTAATGAGAAAATAACAAGTAGCAAGTAGAAAAAAAGTGCCTGTTAATTAGGACACAATAATTATTTTCTGGATGAGTAAACAGATGAGATAAACATTGAAAGATGACTAGATTGAGGAGTTAGAAAATATGTTATTCAAAGAGTGACCACTAACTATTTGCACGTACTTGATCAAGTAAAATTACCATTCCAGCTTCAGCTTATCTATCTGTAAAATCAAGATAATATACCATGTGATCTTTGAAGTACTTCACAGCTTTATCATAACATTATTTTGTTTAATATTACATGAATGCATAGAAATCTGTGTGCTACACTGAATATACACAATCAGGTAAAAGTGAAGTATATCTTTATTATAATAATTAAATTGAAATCAGTAGGGTTATGTGACTTTTCCAGTAAGTGTTACAAAACTACTTAGGGACAAGTCTGAGAATATAACATAACCCAAAATCTCTAGTTTAATTCTTCTACCTGCATTTATGTAATAAATGACATTATTTCATCATTTTATTTATCTAGGAATTTTTAAATTTTATAATATATGTCCCACACTGTACTAGGCACAAATAATTTAAAATGAATTAAAAATTATGCCTAAAATAATGTAGCTTACATTCTAACTGAAAAAGATGCCAAAAAACGTAGTGTGGTAAACACTTTGATAGGGAATGTGCTCAATATATGGGACCATAGTAGAAACATTGCCACATTTCTGAGTTGAACCTTGAGGACTAAATAAGAGTTTACCATGTCAAAAATGAGAAATAATTAATGAAAGCAAAGTAAATAGCATGAATAAAGGCACTGAATTATAAAGTTAGTGTCTGGAGCAATTAGAGAACTTACTTTTTATTTTTATTTCCAACTTTTATTTTAAGTTCAGGTGTACATGTGTGGGATATGCAGGTTTGTTAACATAGGTAAATGTGGTGCCATGGTGATTTGTTGCACAGATCATCCAATCACACAGGTATTAAGCTGAACATCTATTAGCTGTTCTTCCTGATCCTCTTACTTCTCCCACCCTCCACCCTCAAACAGGCCCCAGTGTGTGTTGTTCCCCACCATGTGTCCATGTGCTCTCATCATTTAGCTCCCACATGTAAGTGAGAACATGGAATATTTGATTTTCTGTTTTTGCATCAGTTTGCTAAGAATAATGACTTCCATGTCCAGCCATGTCTCTGCAAAGGACATAGTCTCATTCATTTTCATGGCTGCATAGTATTCCATAGTGTATATGCACTACATTGTCTTTATCCAGCCTAGCATTGATGGATATTTAGGTTGATTCCATGTCTTTGCTATTGTAAAAAGTGCTGCAATAAACATACACATGCATGTGTTTTTATAATAAAATAATTTACATTAATTAGGTATATACCTAGTAATGGTATTGCTGGGTTAAATGGGATTTCTGCCTCTAGGTCTTTGAGGAATCTCCACGACAATTGTTGAAATGATTTACACTTGCACGAACTGTGTAGAAGTGTTCCTTTTTCTCCACAGCCTCACCAGCATCTGTTGTTTTTTGGCTTTTTAAAAATCACCATTTGACTGGTGTGAAATGATATCTCATTGTGGTTTTGATATGCATTTCTCTAATGATCAGTGATGTTGAGCATTTTTAATGTATGTTCATTGCATGTATGTCTTCTTTTGAGAAGTGCCTGTTCATATCCTTTGCCCAGTTTTTAATAGGGTTGTTTGATTGTTTTTTCTTGCAAATTTGCTTAAGTTCCTTATAAATGGTGAATTTTAGACCATTGTCAGATGCATATATTGCAAAATTTTTATCCCATTCTCTAGGTTGTCTGTTTACTCTGTTTATAGTTTCTTTTACAGTGCAGAAGCTCTTTAATTAGATCCCAGTTGTCAATTTTGGCTTTTGTTGCAATTTCTTTTAGCATGTTTGTCATGAAATCTTTGCTCATGCCTATGTCCTGAATGATATTGCCTAGGTTATCTTCTAGGGTTTTTTGTTTTATTTGTTTCAGGTTTTACATTTAAGTGTTTAATCCGTCTTGAGTTTATTTTTGTATATGGTGTAAGAAGGGGATCCAATTTTAGTTTTCTGCATCTGGCTAGCCAGTTCTCCCAGCACTATTTACTAAATAGGGAATCTATTCCCCATTGCTTGTTTTTGGCAAGTTTGTCAAAGGTCAGATGGTTGTAGGTGTGTGATCTTATTTCTAGGTTCTCTATTCTGTCCCATTGGTCTCTATGTCTGTTTTTGTACCAGTACCATGCTGTTTCAATTATTGTTGCCCTATAATATAATTTGAATTCTGATAGGGTGATGCCTCCAGTTCTGTTGGTTTTTCTTAGGATTGCCTTGACAATTCAGGCTCTTTTTTGGCTATACATGAATTTTAAAATAATTTTTTTCCAATTTTTTGAAAAATGTCAATGGTAGTAAGATGAGAATAGCATTGAATCTATACATTGTTTTGGGCAGTGTGGTCATTTCCATGATATTGATTCTTCCTATCTGTGAGCATAGAATGTTCTTTTCCATTTGTTTGTGTCATCTCTGCTTTCTTTGAGCAGTGGTTTGTAGTTCTCCTTAAACAGGTGCTTCACTTTCTTTGCTAGCTGTACTTCTAGATATTTTATTCTTTTTGTGGTAACAGTGAATGAAAGTTCATTCATGATTTGGCTCTCAGTTTGGCTGCTGTTGGTATACCGGAATACTAGCAATTTTTGCACATTAGTTTTGTATCCAGAGGCTTTGTTGAAGTTTCTTATTAGCTTATGGAGCTTTTGGGCTGAGATGATGGAATTTTCTAGATATATGATCATGTAGTCTGCAAATGAAGATAGTTTGACTTCTTCACTTCCTATTTGAATATACTTTATTTCTTTCTCTTGCCTGATTGCCCTGACCAGGACTTCCAACACATTATTGAATAGGAGTGGAAAGAGAGGGCAACCTTTTCTTGTGCCATTTCTCAAGGAGGATGTGTTCAGCTTTTGCCCATTCAGTATGATATTTGTTGTTGTTTTGTCATAAATGGTTCTTATTATTTTGAGGTATGTTCTTTCAATACCTATTTTATTGAGCATTTATAATATGAAGGGATGTTGAATTTTATTAAAGGCCTTTCTGGTCTATTGAGATACTAATGTGTTTTTTGTCTTTAGTTCTGTTTATGTGATTAATCACATTATTGATTTCTGCCATTGAACTAGCCTTGCATACCAGAAATGAAGCCAACTTAATTGTGCTTTTAGATATGCTGCTGGATTTGCTTTGCCAGTATTTTGTTGAGGACTTTTGCATTGATGTTCATCAAGAACATTGACCTGAAGTTTTCTTTCTTTCTTTCTTTTTCGTCTTTTTTTTTTTTTTTTTTTTTTTTTCGTATTTCTGCCATGTTTTGATATCAGGATGTTGCTGGCCTCACAGAATGAGTTAGGGAGGAGTCCCTCCTTTTTGATTTTTTGGAGTAGTTTCAGTAGGAATGGTACCAGCTCTTCTTTGTACCTCTGGTAGAATTCAGCTGTGAATCCATCTATTCCTGGGATTTTTTTGGTTGGTTGGCTATTTATTTTTGCCTCAATTTCAGAACTTGTTAATGGTTTGTTCAGTGATTCAATTTCTTAAATTTCTTTTCTTTTTCTTTCTTTTTGACAGAGTCTCACTCTGTCACCCAGGCTGGAGTGCAGTGGTGTGATCCTGGCTCACTGCAACCTCTGCCTCCCAGGTTCAGGCGATTCTCTTGCCTTAGCCTCCCAAGTAGTTGGGATTACAGGGAAATGCCACCATGCCCAGCTAATTTTGTATTTTTAGTAGAGAAGAGATTTCAACATGTTGACCATGCTGGTCTCGTACTTCTGACCTCAAGTGATCCATCCTCCTCAGCCTCCCAAAATGCTGGGATTATAGGCATGAGCCACCATTCCTGTCCTCAAATAATTAAGTTTATTTCTGGTTCACTCTTGGGAGGGTGTATGTGTCTTGGAATTTAACCATTTCCTCTAGATTTAGTTGATGTACATAGGAGTGTTGATAATATGCTCTGATGGTTGTTTGTATTTCTGTGGCATCAGTGGTAATACCCCTTTTGTCCTTTCTAATAGTGTTTATTTGAATATTCCTTTTTTTTCTTAATTAGTTTAGCTAGCAGTCTATCTATTTATTTAATTTTTTCAAGAAAGCAGCTCCTGGATTTGTTGGTCTCTTGAAGGGTTTTTTGTGTCTCTATCCCCTTCAGTGCAGCTCTGATCTTGGTTATTTCTTGTATTCTGCTAGTTTTGGTGTTTGTTTGCTCTTGGTTCTCTAGTTCTTTTAGTTGTGATACTAGGTTGTTAACTTGAGATCTTTCTAGCATTTTGATCTGGGCATTTAGTATTATAAAGTTCCCTCTTAACACTTCTTTAGCTGAATCCCAGAGATTCTAGCATGTTGTATCTTTGTTCCATTAATTTCAAAGCACTTCTTGATTTTTGCCCTAACTTCATTATTTACCCAAAAATCATTCAGGGGGAGGTTGTTCAATTTCTAAGTAGTTGTATGTTTTTGAGTGAATTTCTTAATCTTGAATTCTAATGTGATTGCCCTGTGTTTGGAGAGACTGATTGTTATAATTTCAGTTTTGTTTGAATTTGCTGAGGAGTGTTTTACTTCAGATTATGTGATCAATTTTAGAGTAAGTTCCATGAGGCAATGAGAAAAATGTATATTCTGTTGTTTTGGGGTGGAGAGTTTTGTAGATATCTACCATATATACTTGATCTAGAGATGAATTCAGGTCATAAATATATTTGTTAATTTTCTATCCGAATCATTTTTCTCATATTGTCAGTGGGGTGTTAAAGTTTCCTATTATTATTGTGTGGAAATTTAAGTCTCTTTGAAGGTCTCTAAGAACTTGCTTTATGAATCTGGGTTATCCTGGATTGGGCACATATATATTTAGAATAGTCAGCTCTTCTTGAACCCTTTACCATTATGTAATGCCCTTCTTTGCCTTTTTTGAACTTTGTTGGTTTAAAGTCTGCTTTGTCAGAATCTAGAATTGCAACCCCTGCTTTTTTCTGTTTTCCATTTGTTTGGTAAATTTTTGTCCATCCTTTATTTTAAGCCTATATGTGTCTTTGCATGTCAGATGGTTCTCCTGAAGACAGCATAGCAATAGATCTTAGTTCTTTATCCAGCTTGCCACTCTGTGTCTTTTAACTTGGGCATTTAGCCTATTTACCTTTAAGGTTAGTATTGCTATGTGTGAATTTGATTCTGTCATTATCATGGCATCTGGTTATTGTGCAGACTTGTTATGTGGTTGCTTCATTGTGTCATAGGTCTGTGTACTTCAGTGTATTTATGTAGTTGCTGGTAATGGTTTTTCCTTTCCATATTTTTTGCTTCCTTCAGGAGCTCTTGTAAGACAGGTCTGGTGGTAACAATTTCCCTCAACATTTACTTGTCTGAAAAGGATTTTATTTCTCCTTTGCTTATGAAGCTTAGTATAGCTGGATATGAAATTCTGGGTTGGAATTTATTTTCTTTAAGAATGTTGAATATAGGTCTCCAATCTATGGATCTATGGCTTGTACGTTTTCCACTGAAAGGTCCGCTGCTAGTCTGATGGGTTTCCCTTCATAGTTGACCTGTCCTGTCTTTCTAGCTGTCCATAACATTTTTTCTTTCTTTTCTGCTATGGAGATTCTGACAATTGTGTGTCTTGGGGATGATCTCATGGAGTATCTTACTGGGGGTCTCAGCATTTTCTGAATTTGAATGTTGGCCTGTCTAGCTAGGTTGGGGAAGTTCTCCTGATGATATCCTAAAATATGTTTTCCAAATTGGTTTTGTTCTCCCTCTCTTTTTCAGGTACTCCAATCATCAGTTGTAGACTTGGTCTCATTACATAATCCTACATTTCTTGGAGATTTTGTTCACTCTTTTTTATTCTTTTTTCTCTATTATTGTCTGCCTGTCTTATTTCAGAAAGACAGCCTTCAATCTCTGGGATTCTTTCCGCTGCCTGGTCTACTCTACCATTAATACTTATGATTGCATTTTGAAGTTATTGTGTGTTTTTCAGCTTTATCAAGTCAGTTATGTTCCTCTCAATACTATCTATTTTGGCTGCTTTATTTTATTATGAATCTTAGCTTCCTTGCATTGGGTTACAACGTGCTCCTTTAGCTCAGTAAAATTCATTTTTGTCTACATTCTGAAGCCTACTTCTATCATTTCAGCCATCTCAGCCTCAGCCTAGTTCTGAAACCTTGCTGGAGAGGTGTTGTAGTCATTTGGAGGAAAGGGGGCACTCTGGCTTTTTGAGTTTTCAACATTTTTGCTCTGATTCTCATCTTTGTGGAATTACATAACTTCAATCTTTGGGGTTGCTGACCTTTGGAAGGGGTTTTTGTTTGTTTGTTGTTGTTTGTTTTTCTTTTAAAAGGACTGGCCACTCTTCCATAGGGCTGCTGCAGTTTGCTGGGTATCTACTCCGGACACTAGTCATCTCAGTTTTTCTCATACTTGCAAATATCACCAGTGAAGGCTGTGAAACAGCAAAGATGGCAGCCTGCCTCTTACTCTGAGAGCTCTGTTCCAGGATGTACTGATCTGTTGCCAGCCAGAAAGCACATGTAGGAGATGGCTGGAGACCCTGTTTGGGAGTTCTCACTCAGACAGGAGGAATGGGATTAGGGACTCACTTAAAGAAGCAGTCTGGCTGCTTTTTTGTAAAGCAGCTGTGCTGTTTTGGGGATACCTTCAGCCCCTGATAGTTTTAGGCTTCCCAAGGCCCACAGGTTGGACAGGCTGAGACACCCAAACAACAAAGATGGTGGCCCACCCTTCCCCCAGACACTTTGTCCCAGGGAGAAATCAGAACTCTGTTCATAGAATATGGGCAGATGTGGCCAGATACCCCAGTTAGGAGGACCCTTCCCAGGAGGAGAAGTACATCGAGGTCCTATTTAAAAATGCAGTCTGACCCACCTTGACAAAACAGCCATGATGTACTGGGGAGCTGCCTCTGCCCCGGTCAGTTTGGACTCTCCATAGCCCACAGGTTGGAATAGCTGAGTCCTCCAAACAACAAAGGTGGCAGCTTGTTTCTCCCCTTGGGCACTCATCCCAAGGAAATATTAGAGCTCTGCTCATAGGATATAAGAGAGGGTGGCTAGAGGCCCTGGCTGAGAGGTCCCACCCAGTGAGGATAAATAGATCCAAGTCCTGCTTAAAAAAGCAGTCTGAACATGTTCTGGTAAAGCAGCCAGGTTGTGCTGTGGGGTCCCCTCGTCTTCTGGACCATTTGAACTCTCCAAAGCCCATAGACTGGAATGAATGAGTCATCCAAACAACAAAGGTGGTGGCCCACCCCTACCCTCAGGCACTTGGTTCTGGGGAGAGATCAGAGTTCTGACCATGGAGGTGGCTAAAGGACACAGCTGAGAAGTACCACTCAGTGAGGAATAATGGATTGAGGTCCCACTTAAAGAAGCAGTCTGGCCATATTCTGGCAAAGCAGCTGTGCTGTACTGGGGTGGGGTTGTCCTATCTTCAGTCCAGATTTTACTTGGACTCTCCAAAGCCCACAAGCCAGAATGGCAGAGTCATCCAAACAGCTAAGATGGTAGACCATCCCTCTCCCCAGGGGCTCTGTCCCATCTCAGGCAGGCTCCACTCTCTTGCCAGTTGCTGGCTGGAATTCCCAGCCAGTGGGTCTTATCTTGTGAGGTGCGGTGGAACTGGGGCCAGCAGAATGACACTGCTCAGCCCCCTTCCTAGCGGTATGTAGGGACCTTCTGCTTTGCTTGAGTTGCAGTCACCTTTATCAGGCATTACTGAGCTGAAGTATGTAAAACTCCTGGGTGTCTGTGCATGCCTGAGCAGCTGCTCTGCTGAGACTCCACACAGCTCTGTGTGTTGGGCCCAAGGTTCGGATGGAGTGGACGCAGGAGGGGATCTCCTGATCAGAGGGTTGCAAAGATCATTGAGAGAAGTGTGGTTTTCCAGGGTCGTACATTTACTCCCCACTTCCCTTGCCTGGGAATGGTAGTTTCCTTGGTTCCATGTCGCTCATGGGTGGACTGTTACCCTGAGCTGCTTTTCTTTGTTCTCTATGGGTAGAGATGTTTCCCTGATTAGTACCAATGCAAGTACTTGGATATTTCAGATGGAGGTGTTGTATTTACTCACCTATTTCCTTCCTCTCCATGAGTTTCACACCTAGAGAACTTATTATGTGAAGGAAGATGAGATGCATATAATGACAACAAGGCTGAAAATATAGACTGAAGCCAGATTGGGAAGGATCTTGATTTCTGTGCTGAGTAAGAAGAAATTATATTCTATACATTACTGGGTTCCAAACTGTACTCCAATAAGGTATGAGAGTTTCTCAAAATGTCTTAGCTGCATTGGAGGGAGCAGGTAGGAAGATAGACTATAACAAATATTGGAGACTATTTTTATGGCATAGGGGAGACATTGAAGGGTCTTTTAAGGGTAACAAAATAAAGGCATTTTTCCTTTTAGGGAGGAAACAGTAAGAGCAGCAAATAAAGATGAATTTTTGTCAGGAAATACTGTATTCAGAGACTTCAGTCAGACAGCTCTTGCATTGTCCACACAAGAGGTGATAAATGCCAAAAGTAGCGGAGTTATTCAGTTAATGAGAGACAACATTTATCTATCTTTTCAGTACCACAGCATAACCATTTTAAAGTATAGTATATCAAATCTTTGTATTATAAGGATTTCTTCTATACTCTAAAAGTTCACCTAAGATCTCTTATCTCTCTCTCTCTCTATATATATATATATGCCTATGCACATAATAACTTTTAAAATAAATAATTACCAGGATTTGGCTTCATCTATCTTTCTTGTGACACTTTTTTGGAGGAGGGGAAGGTAAAATAAATATATCAATTAAGAATTAATATAACTTCCCAGAATGATAAGGTAATGCTATGCCTATTACAATAATGGCAAGTATTGCATATTGTGAACCTTTGCCTATTTCAGTTACTCATCTATATTTGTATAGGTAATTCTCATTAATCTCGGTAATGCAGTATGTTTTCTAACTCACCTCCTATTTCAATACCATTTCATTTCAAATTGTCCATGTCATATATTTCACACCTACAAGCAATTATGTGTGAACTGCCCTTTGGTTAGAATAATGTAAGAAAAGAAGAAAATTAATTTTAATACTATCTTTCATAATCTTTAGAATATTAAGTTTAACAACTTTTCAGATATTTATATTAGGACATAAATTGACAATCTGTTAGTCTTGGTAGTTAATTAGTGCTCTAACTTATGAGAATTGAAAAAATTATATATTGATCTCTGGAATCATGGTTGCATGACATAAATGCAAATGATCTTGTGATATAAACTACAATACATTTTAAAAGTTTCTCAAGTTTTAGAATACAGTAGCAGTCATGAGTAAAATGAAATATTTAAAATATTTTATTACATATGTCTGTAACTGAAAAAGAAATTAAAATATTCCATTTACAATAGCTACAAATAAAATTAAAAACCTAGTAATTAACCAAAGAAGTAAAAAATCTCTACAATAAAAACTATAAAAAACTGATTAAAGAAACTGAAGAGGGTACATAAAAAATGAAAAGATACATTATGGTCATGGATTGGAAGAATCAGTACTGCTAACATATTCATACTATCCAAAGCAATCTACAGATTCAGTGTAATCCCTATCAAAATATCAATGCCATTTTTCACAGAAATAAAAAAAATGGTAAAATTTATATGGAATCGCAAAAGACCCAGAATAGCCAAAGATATCCTAAGTAAAAAGAACAAGACTGGAGAAATTACATTACTTGAATTCAAATTATACCATAGAGATATAGTAACCAAAACAGCATGATACTGGCATAAAAGCAGACATATAGATCTAAGGAACAGAATGGAGATCCAGAAACAAATTCATGCACCTACAATGGACTCATTTTCAACAAAAGTGCAAGGAGCACACCTTGGAGAAAAAACAGTCTCTTTAATAAATGGTGCTGGGAAAACTGGCTCTTCATATGCAGATGAATAAAACTAGACTGCTCTCTCATGCTCTAAACAAAAATCAAATCAAAATAAATTAAAACTGAAATTTAAGAGTTCAAGTTATAAAACTGCTACAAGTAAACATTGAGAACACTCTCTAGAAAACTGGTCTGGGAAAAATTATTGAGCTATATCCCACAAGTACAGGCAACCAAAGTAAAAATGGGCAAATGGAATCACATCAAGTCAAAAAGTTTTTGCACAGCTAAAGAAACAATCAGCAATGTAAAGAGAAAATTCATGGAATGAAAGAAAATATTTGCAAACTACCCATCTGAAAATGGATTAATAACTAGAATATATTAGGAGCTCAAACAACTCTATAGGAATAAATCTAAAAATGTGGTTGAAAAATGGGCAAAATATTTGAACAGACATTTCTCAAAAGAAATACAACTGGTAAACAGGCATATGAAAACGTTATCAACATCATTGATCATTGGAGAAATGCAAATTGGAACTACAATAAGATGTCATCGCACCCCAGTTAAAGTGGCTTTTATTTAAAAGTCTGGCAATATCAAATGCTGGCAAGGATGTGGAGAAAAGGAAACTCTCATACGCAGTTGTTGGGAATGTAAATTGGTACAAGCACTACAGAGAACAGATTGGAGGTTCATCAAAAAACTAAAAATAGAGCTACCATATGATCCAACAATCTCACTGCTGGGTATATATCCAAAAGAAAGGAAATTAGTATATTAAAGAGATATTTGCTCTCCCATGTTAGTTCCAGCACTGTTCACAATAGGCAAGACTTGGAAGCAACCTAAATGTCCATCAACGCATGAATGGATAATAAAAAATGTGGTACTTACACATATTAAAGTATGATTCAGCCAAAAAATAGGGAAATTCTGTCATTTGTAAAAACATGGATTTAACTGGAGGTCATTATATTAAGTGAAATGAACCAGGCACAGAAAAACAAACATTGCATGTTCTCACTTAGTTGTAGGATCTCAGAATTAAAACAATTGAACTCGCGGAGATAGAGAATAAAAGGATGGTTACCAGAGGTAGTGACAGGGAGAGGGGACGTGGAAATGGCTACAGGGTATAAAAAATGGTCAGAAAGCATGAATAACACCTAATATTTGATAGCAAAGAGGAGAACTATAGTCAATAACAATTCATACATTTAAAAATAACTAAAAAGTATAATGGCTTGTTTGTAACACAAAAGACAAATGCTTGAGGGGATGCATAAGCAATTTTTCATGATGTGATTATTATGTTCATTACAAAATTAGATGCTAGAGTAAAATTATCCATTGATTGAAGACAACCTTCTTCATTAGATGCTAAAGAACTTTGATCTTATTTCTCCTTTAAAGTAAAAATGGTGTTTCTTGCTTTAAATGAATTATTTCTGTGGTTGCATAGAGATGGACTGGCATCGGCTTTCTTTTTTAAGATGATGGTTGTATCTATCGTTGATGATGCAAATATCTTGCACATAAATCTTAGCTCTGTGAGCCAATTCTTTCTCAAAAGACTTTTGATTTTTAAATGAAGCCCTCAAATTATACTTTTGAAGCACAACTGTCTACAAACAAATTGTGATGTTAAAAAGGTGCAAAAGGCTTGGTGAGAAAATATAATGGAATTTATTTTTAACAAATACTTCTGCACACTCTTTCAGGTTTACTTCTGTCATAAACTCACAGGCATGCAAATATCTCTGGAAAATATGACATTGTCCTAAGCCTTTCTGCCTAGGAACTGATTATGACATGAATCTACTCCCATGTGAATAATTAAGATTACCTAATTTCCACTTCCTGCAATTTCAACAGATGGAATTTGAATGACATAGTTTGTTCATATGGCTTTCCCTTTTGAAGACAACTTTTTTCACATCTGTAAACCTACAAATGTAATTTATGTGAAAACACTCCACTTCAGAAGTTGATATGTCTTGACTGATGTTAAGCTATTGTAGAAAATAGATGTTTATGACAACCGTTCTCTGCTAAGCTATAATATTGCATTTTACTAAAATCTAACTCTTTAAAGTTTGTGGCATGTGGGAGAGCATCATTAATTAAAGAGCACCTTTCCCTTGGGCAATTTGAAATGTCAAATTTGGTTCAGTCAAATGGTTTCACAAAATGAAGAATACAAAGATTTGTATATGGAGAAATTGGGGAAGGACATTTTAGGTAGAGACAATATATATTTGAGGACTGGTGGGTAGTTTGATGTGTCTCAAGCATGAGATGTAAGTTGGTTAGTGGTAGGAAATACGTTAATAAAGAAAGTTGAAATTTTAATTCATAAGCAATAAGAAAATACAAATTTTCGAGAGTGTGATATGACCAGATTTATGTCTTAAGAATTCAGCAAACTACTATTCTAAGTCAGAAAAAGCATCTCTGAAGCACCAGATTGCTAACTTCATTTGTGAAATTGAGATATCTGGACAGTGACTGATGTGCTAGTGAGAAGTATAATTTTAATAATTTGATTTAAGAGTCTAGAGTTAGGTGAAACAGGGATGATAAGAAACTTTGTCATAACAGAGGTTGAAGTTTTACTTCCATTTATGTGAGCAAATACGTGAAGCACCTCACCTTCAATGAGGACATTTTCTAACATAGGAAATATTAAAAAAAACATGAAAATTTCTTCTCCATAATTCTAAAATAACCTTAAATTGGCTTCTCCAGCATGTCTAATTTTAAATAATACTGACACTTAAAGGAAACTACTAGAATAAGAGAGCAACAACACTAAAAATGTCAACCTACTTTAGGTATTTCTTTAGAATCATCTATTGAAGACTAGAGATCTTTTACTCTAAAATCATGATAATTTTAGTAGAAATGGTATTGAACTATTTCTTCTGGTAGTAATTAAACACAAGTATGACTGCTTTTGTAAATGTATACCCAGCTTATGATTTTAAAAAAGAAGCAAGACAAGGAAAACAAGCCAACAGTTTAATGCCTGCATTGGACCAGCTGTCCTTTTTGTGTGTGTGTGTGAAGGCTACTAGTTAAAAATGTGAGTTTTGATTATTACCTTTACATTAGTAAAGGATTAGAAAAAGAATGATAAAAAGAAAGTTGACGAGGAGAAGGAGGAGAAGGAAAGAGGAAATAAGAGGATTTGATAGAGATTGTATGCAACCCAGAAGAGCTAAAATATATATCTGACTACTTATAGAAAAGATTGCTGGACAATGACCTAAGGATACTTGTTTACAACTTTCCATGAGAGGAAGACATACATTGTTAATATTTATATTAACAAAAAACTTTATAGGGTTATTTAAAAAGAAGTATATAACAAATATTAAAGTCATACACGCTGGTTTTAGGGATTTTATTTTAGTATGCTTCAAGATAAAATGAAAACTTCCCAGCATATGAATTTATAACATAAAAAACTTCAAAACACTCATAAAGCATTTATTTGTAAGGAAAAATATACTACATTTTATAGAATAAAGACTTTATTAAATTGTTTAACTCTAGTACTAAAAAATAGATTATCTGCTCTTAAAGAGTTTTCAATATCTCAGCCATTGCTAGAATATGATGTATTTAGAAGGTAGAAAACAGAACAACAGGAGCTGTTGTTCACCAGATAATTCCTACTAAGGGAGAATAAATATGTATTTTGGGTAAATTCTCCTTAGAAACTCTGAAGCATGCAACTACCAAATACTAAGAGAAATAAGAAAAAACATAACTTTTATTTATATGTTGATTTACTGTCTTACAATTTTACTTTATTTATTAGTTCTAAAACTTGTTTGTGGTGTCTCTAAAGTTTTTCTACATATAAGACTGTCATTTACAAACAGATATTATTTTAGTTATTTTCTGATTGGAATAACCCTTACTTATTTTACTTGCTTAATTGCTTTGGCTAGAACTTTTAGTAGTATGTTGAACACAACTGGTGAGTGTAGACATCCTTGCATTAATGCTGATCTTAGGCAATGTGATGGTTAATACTGAGGGTCAACTTGATTGGGTTGAGCTATACAAAGTATTAATCCTGGGCGTGTCTGTGTGGGCATTGCCAAAAGAAATTAACACTTGGGTCAGTGGGTTGGGAAGGCAGATCCACCTTTAATCTGGTGGGCACAATCTAATCAGCTTCCAGTGAATATAAAGCACAAAAGACCAAGAATACCCAAATCTATCTTGAACAAAAAGAACAAAATGGAAGAATCCCGTTACATTACCTGATTTCAAATTATACTACAAAGATATATTAACCAAAACATCATGGTACTAGAATTAAAATAGACACATAGACCAATGAAACACAATACTGAACCCCAAAATAAATCCGTACATCTACAGTAAACTAGTTTTTGACAAAAGTATGAAAAACATACATTGGGAAAACAACAATCTCTTCAATGAAAGGTGCTGGGAAAACTGGATATCCATATGCTGAAGAATAAACTGAGACTTCTGTCTCCCACCATATAAAATCAAATTAAAATGGATGAAATACTTAAATTTAAGACTTCAAACTCTGAAGCTACTACAAGAAAACTTTGGGGAAACTCTTTAGTACATTGGTCTGGGTGAGAATTTATTGAGTGATACCCCACGAGCACAGACAACAAAGCAGAAATGGACAAATTGGATCACATCAAGTTAAATTGCTACTGCAGAGCAAAATAAACAATCAACAATTGAAAAGATAACCCACAGAATGGGAGAAAATATTTGCAAACTATCTGGCAAGGGATTAATAGGCAGAATATACAAGAAAGTCAACAACTATATAGAAAAAAATCTAAAGATCTGATTTTTAAATGGTCAAAAATCTGAATAGACATTTCTCAAAAGAAGACATAGAAATGGCAAATAGGCATACGAAAAAGTGCCCAACCTCAGTGATCTTCAGAGAAATGTACATCAAAACTACAACGAGATATATCACCCTGGTTAAAATGGTACTTATCCGAAAGACAGGCGATAACAAATGCTCCTGAGGGTGTGGAGAAAAGGGAACCATCATACTTGCTTGTTGAGACTGTAAATTAGTACAACCACTGGAAGACAATTAGGAGGTTCTTCAAAATACTAAAAATAGAGGTACCATATGTTTCAGCAATCCTGCTGCTAGGTATATTCTGAAAAGACAGGACATCAGTATGTAGAAGAGATATCTGCATGCCCAAGTTTTCTGCAGCACTGTTCACAATAGCCAATATTTGGAAGCTACCTAAGTGTCCATCAGCAGATGAATGGATAATGGAAATGTGGTACATATAGACAATGGAGAACTATTCAACCACAAAATGATATTCTCTCATTTGCAACAATATGGATGAAATTGGAAGTCATTATGTTAAGTAAAATAAGCCAGACACAGAAAGACAAATGTTGTATGTTCTGACATATTTGTGGGAACTAAATATTAAAGCAACTGAACTTATGGAGATTGAGAATATAATAATGGTGACCAAAGGCTAGGAAGGGTAGTTGAGGGGGAAAGAGAGAATAATGAATGGGTACAAAAATCTAGTCAGAATAAATAAGATCTAGTATTTGATAGCAGAACAGGGTGACTACAGTCAACATTAATTTATTGTATAATTTAAAAACAACTAAAACAGTATAATTGGATTATTTGTACAAAACAAAATAAGATAAATCATTGAGATGATGAATACCCCATTTATCCTGATGTGATTATTACCCATTGTATGCCTGCATGAAAATATCTTACATATCCCATGTGTACCTACAAAAATTAAAACTAAAAACCTACTATATACCCATAAAAATTAATGATAAAAACGAATTTATAAAATAAAACAATTCCATTTAAGTAAGGTAACATGAAAAAATAATAAAATATATAGGAATAAACTTAACCAAGAGGTGAAAGACTTGTATACTTAAAACCACAAGGCATTGATAAAATAAATTAATGAAGACACAAAAGAATAGAAAAACATCTTAGATTTATGTATTGAAAGACTTTGTATTGTTAAAATGTCTATGCTATTCAAAGCAATGTGCAGATTCAATGGAATCATTGTCAAAATTCCAAAGCATTTTTACAGAATTAGAAGAACAAATAGTCTTAAGATTCACATGGAATCATAAAAGACCCCAAATAGAAAAAGAAAAGTATTGAAAAAACAAGCTGGAGGCATCACATTTTCTGATTTTACAATATATGACAAAGTAATTAAAACAGTATGGCACTGGCATAAAAATAAACACATAGACCAGTGGAACATAATAGAAAATCCAGAGTAAGGAAACATGCACATTGAGTCAATTGATTTTTGACAAGCATGCCAAGGATACAGAATGACAAAACTAGAAACTTTAACAAATGATGTTGGAACAATTGATGGGCACAAGTAAAAAAAGAAAGAAAAACTAATTAGACGTTTTTCTCACACCACACACAGAAATCAATTCAAAATGTATTAAAGACTTTAAAAAATATGAAAATATATAACTCCTTGAAGGAAACGTAGGGAAAATCTTCATTGATGCTGGTCTCAGCAATTATTTATTGGATATGACACCAAAAGCACAAACAAAAAGAAGTAAAAATAGATAAATAAGATTATATCAAACTACAATGCTTCTGCACAGCGATGGAAACATTCAAACAAGTGAAAAAGCTGCCTACAGAACAGGAAAAACCTTTTTCAAGCCATAAATCTGATAAGAGCTTAATATCCAAATTATATAACTAATTCTTACAAGTCAATAGCCAAAAAGAAAAAAAATTGGGAAAATGAATTTAATAAGGGTTCACCCAAAGAAGACATACAAATGGCTTACAGGTATACAAAAAGATTTTCAACATCTCTAGTCATCAGAAAACGCAAATAAAATCAAAATGAGTTATCACTTCATATCTGTTAGGGGACTGTTATCCAAAACTCAAAAGATAGCAAGTGTTGGTAAGGATGGGGAAAAATTAAAACCATTGTACACTGTTGATTGAAATGAATTTTGGTGCTGCTGCTGGGGCAAATGGTATTCAGATTTCCTAATAACTAAAAATGGAATTACTATATTGTCCAGAAATCCTACTTCTGCACAACAATGGAAACAATCCATTGAAATATAAATTTCAAAATAATCAAAATAAGTATACTAAAGACATATCTGCTCTCCCATGATTTATTGCATCATTATTCACATTAGCCAAGATGTAGAAACAACCTAAAAGTCTACTGATGGATAAATGGATAGAGAAAATGTAACATATACATACAATGGAATATTACGAAGCCTTTATAAATAAAAAAGTCTTTCTATACATGACAACATGGATAAATCTGGAGGATATTTTATTAAGTAAGATAAGCCAGTCACAGAAGGATAAATTCTGCATAATTCCATTTTTATTAGATACTTACATTGTTTTATTGGGCATCTAAACTAGTGAAACTCATAGAAACAGAAAGTAACGTGGTATTGTCAGGAGCTGTGGGGAGAAAAAATGGGGAGTTGTTGTTCAACATGTATAAATTTTCAGTTATATAAGATGAATAATTCTAGAAATCTGATAAACAACATTGTGTTTATATTTAACAGTTCTGTGTGTGCACTTAACATTTGGTTAAGGGGGGAGACTCAACTGTTTTTACCACCATAAAACAATAAAATAAAAGCAATGAAACAGCACCCAACCACAGTGCCCTTCTACACACACTCATGAGTACCCTAAGAATAATAAATGATTGACACCATTAATATTTTAAATTATACTAAATGTGGCATGGTTTACAAGAAAGAGAATCATCTTTGAAATCATACATGCTCTGCTCCCAATCTTGGCACCACCACTTGTTAGCTGCATGATATTAGGCTACTAAGTTTAAGCTCTCTGAGACTCAGTCTCTTCTGCATAGTGGATTCTGTAACTGTCGAATGGCTTCATTGAAATTCATGCTTATGAAATTATGGTATAGTATAAGAAATATGGCAAACCTAATCCAGCAACATATCAAAATTTTATCTACCATGATTAAGTTGTTTTCATCCCTGGGTGGGATGCAAGGCTGGTTCAACATACACAAATCAATAAACGTAATTTATCACATTAAGAGAACTAAAGACAAAAAACACATTATTATTTCAATCGACCCAGAAAAGGCCTTCAATAAAATTCAAAATCCCTTCATGTTAAAAACTCTCAATAAACTTGGTATTGATGGAACATACCTCAAAATAATAAGAGCCATTTACAACAAACCCACGGCCAATATCATACTGAATAGGCAAAAGCTGGAAGCATTCCACTTGAAAATTGGTACAAGACAGGTTTGCCCTCTCTTATCACTCATATTCAACATTGTATTGGAAGATCTGGCTAGGGCAATCAGACGAGAAAGAAATAAAAGGGTATTAAAATATGAAGAGATAAAGTCAAACTGTTTGCAGATGACATGATCCTCTATCTAGAAAACCCCATCGTCTTAGCCCAAAAGCTTTTTAAGCTGATAAACGACTTCAAAAAAGTCTCAGAATACAAAATCAACATGCTGAAATCACAAACTTTCCTATTCACCACTAATAGACAAGCAGAGAGCCAAATAGTGAATGAAATTTTATTCACAATTGCTATAAAGAGAATAAAATACCTAGGAATACAACCAACAAGGGAAGTGAAGGAACTCTTCAAGGAGAGCTAAAAACCACTACTCAAGGAAATCAGAGAGAACACAAACAAATGGAAAAATATTCCATACTCATGGATAGAAAGAATCAATATCGTGAAAATGGCCATATTGCTAAGTTATTTATAGATTCAATGCTATTTGCATTAAATTACCATTGACATTCTTTACAGAATCAGAAAAAACTACTTTAAAATTTAAATGGAGCCAAAAATGAGCCCATATAGTCAAGATAATCCTAAGCAAGAAGAAAAAGCTAGAGGCATCATGCTACCTGACTTCAAACTATGCTGCAAGGCTACAATAACCAAAACATCATGGTACTGGTGCAAAACCAGACACATAGACCAATGGAACAGAATAGAGAACTCAGAAATAAGACTGCACAACTACAACTATCTGATTTACAACAAACCTGACTAAAACAAGCAATGGGGATAAATTCCCTATTTAATAAATGGTACCAGGAGAACTGGCTAGCCATATGCAGAAAATTGAAAATGAACCACTTCTTTACATTTTATACAAAAATTAACCCAAGATGGATTAAAGACTTAAATGTAAAACTCAAAATTGTATAAACCTTAGAAGAAAACCTAAGCAATATCATTCAGGATATAGGCAATGGAACAGAACAGAGCCCTCAGAAATAATGCCACATATCTACAACCATCTGATCTTTGACAAACCTGACAAAAACAGGAAATGGGGAAAGGATTCCCTATTTAATAAATGGTGCTGGGAAAACTGGCTAGCCATATGTAGAAAGCTGAAACTGGATCCCTTCCTTACACCTTATACAAAAATTAATTCAAGATGGATTAAAGACTTAAATGTTAGACCTAAAACCATAAAAACCCTAGAAGAAAACCTAGGCAATACCATTCAGGACATAGGCATGGGCAACGACTTCATGACTAAAACACCAAAAGCAACGGCAACAAAAGCCAAAATTGACCAATGGGATCTAATTAAACTAAAGAGCTTCTGCACAGCAAAAGAAACTACCATCACAGTGAGCAGGCAACCTACAGAATGGGAGAAAATTTTTGCAATCTACTCATCTGACAAAGGGCTGATATCCAGAATCGACAAAGAACTCAAACAAATTTACAAGAAAAAGACAACCCCATCAAAAAGTGGGTGAAGGATATGAACAGACACTTTAGTACCTTTAACATGCTGTGGTTTTCTTGTTTGTTTGTTTGTTTTCTATAATACTACGGTTTTATATGCATGACTTTCAATTAGGCCGTTTTAGAAATGTCACAGAAATGAATCTAGAGAAGGTTGAGAGATAAAACCAGGGATGTAGGATTAAGATGAACACTAAATTTACAAGTACTTTGTGTATTATCACTAAAAAGCCCAAAACTTCTGAAGTATAGCCTTCTTTTAGAATCAAATTCTACTATAGTGTACTGACAATTAGCCATGTCCCAGTGAAATTCTTAAAGAGTACCTAAATCCAGGGTCTCTTATTGTGTCTTTCATTTTTATAACCTGTGCCTCTCATTCAGGAAATTGTAATGTAGATAATACATACATAACTGCATCTGTCATGCAACACCATTCTTTAGAATGCAGTATAAGGTTCACATCTCCCTGAAAGCTTTTCATGATTAACATCTTTTTTTCTAGAAATTGCCAAGAAAGAACGCCATATGATCTTTCATCATAGGTATTAATCATCTTAAGACAGGATCAATCAACTGTGGTATCTTCCCTCCACAAAAAAATCGCAAAACTTTGACTTCCATGTGTATTCCATGTGCCATATCACACTCATGCCTTTATAAAATACATGTGTATAATTCCTACTCTGTACTCCCTTTGCCTGTTGATAGTACTTTTAATTACTTTGTCTGATATAGATTGGGTATTCAACGGTCTTTTCTATAAGAATTATACGAAACTTGACGGCAGGCATTAAGTCCTAAAACCATGGGAGATCGCTTTCTTTTAGGCAATATCTGAATATTTTCAAACATTTAGTCTCATAATATGTATAAATTTAACTGACATTACCACTGCCCACTACAAATCAAAGCAATATTTCACTCAGCCAACTGACATTTTTTATGGAATTATTAAATTCTGTCTTTGATGGTTCACAAAGAACAGAATTTTTTGTCGTAGGATATTTTAAAATATACATTTCTAAGGTGTATACTTCTCTGACTATGTTTAGGAAAACTTTATGATTTTTTGCATCATTCTTAGTTCATCAAGTAATGAACACACTTACACTAACCCAGTATTTGTGTTTCCTAACATTAACAAATGACTATCAACTTTTACGTATTTAGGCATATATTTCTTTTTGTGTTTGGAACTCCAACACATAGTTATACACATACAGGGATCACTGTGGACACTGGTGAAATATGTTCTCACAGTTCACAAAAGCCAACACATGATGAGTAGCACCAGAAAGAATTGGTTAAAAAATATAAAGCATCTTCCTCTTGTACAAAGTCATATAGAACTGCAACAAGGTGTCCTCTTCTAGTTATTGTGCTTCTGCATCCAAAGCAATGTAATGAAACAGGAACAGAACAGGTATAATGATCAAGAGGATAACACAGATACAGGATAAGAACAAACATGGTACTGGTACTGTTTTTCAGGAAAAGATTCAATACACATGTATTAAATATAATTGGATTGTATAAAATTAGTTATTAAGAAGGTGAACAAGCCAAGAAAAGGCAAAAATAATCCATGGTGATAGAAGTCAAAACAGTGAGCGCTTTTGTGGAGGAGGGAATTAACTGAAAAATAAGCACGAGGAAATTTAGCAGCTAAATAAATGTTTTAGTCAAGTGTTAGTAGCACAGGTGTATATATTTGTTTAGACTCATTGACCATAAACTCTGTGCATTTTCCTGTTTGAGATTTTGCCTCACTGAAAAAGAATGAAAAAATTGAATAGCCTGAAACACACTTATTCACCAAATATAAATGTTCCAGGACATTGGATCATTCCCTTCAGACTTTATTAAACAATAATTTTCAGGACAAATAAAGAAAGCTTTGCTACATATGGGCTAGAATAAATATATAAGGCATGTGGCAGGCCTTATCCTACAGTTTGGAAATGGAAACATTTTCTATTAGGTTGGTGCAAATATAACTGTGGCTTTTCCCTTTAAAAGTAATGGCAAAAACCACAATTACTTTTGCACCAACCGAATACTTTGAAAGGTCTGGATTTATTTTACAATGAAGGGGAGAAAATATTGATATTGAAAGTAATTTATTTTCTATTAGGTTCAAGTAGCATTTTAGTCTATCCTTCAAAGTTTCTGATCTGTAACCTCTCCTCCACAAACTAGTTTCCACATAAAAGGTTATTATCCTGTGCCTTTCCAGACAAACACTATTTAGAACTTCTGATATAGCTTACAAATAAATGCAGAGCAGGTGATTTCAGAAAGATAGAGTTTGGTCATTTTGTAATTTTTGCGCAAAAAAACCTCCACTAAAAATACTATGGATTTAAAAACCGTACAGAAAAGAACAATCATAATGAATAAAGCTATAAAGAATAATCCTTATAAGTAAGACCTAAAGGTTTGGAATATCCTTAACTGTAATATAAAATTTGGGGCTAGGGAACAATTTGTTAAAGCATGAAGTATTACAACCGAATTTTTCTGAATCTGTCCTAAATTAGAACAAAACCCTGAATATGAGGACTGTGACACTATTTTAAAAATGTTACTAATGAGAAAGAACAAATATCTCCTCTGTTAACATTTAAAACTAGAGATAACAATTCTATGTCTAGGATGTTCATAACAACATTTTTGAAGATATACAATGAGATGATTTCTAGGGGGATCTTATTAGCTTTATGATTCAATGATTCTAACAAAATGATCACTAAGTGCATACAACTTAACAAGTAAAGGCATTTCTTACTAGAAAATTATAATACTTAAATACTGAAATTATTTTGAGGTATAGTAAATTATTTTAAGTCCCCTATCACCCTACAGAAGTTTATTTACAAGCTAATTCTATTTCATTTTAGTCTAAAAGATTAAGACCAATTTTACATTATTTCTTATCATACTCAATTCACTCACTATAAGCAATAATATACCCTCATTAATTTTTAAAAATATATATACTTTAAGAATTCCGATTCATAGTTTAATATATTTTAAGAATTCTGATTCATAGTTTAATTGAATATCTTCATGTTTGCTTTGATCAAATGATTCTAAAGCACATTTAGTATTAGATCACTTAACCTAATTATATGTCAAGAAATTTAAATTTTGAGAGACAATCAAAACCCAGACAGAGAAATGAAAAAAAAGTAAATATACACTTCAGAGAAAAATATGTAAATTGGCTCTTAAATATACAAAAATAGGTTCAAATTCATTTATACGAAGAAAAATGCAAACTGAAACAACACTGAAATACTACTTCTTACATAGGAGATTGATGATAATTTAAAACTATGAAAACAAATTCTGTTGGTGAAGCTGTAGGAAGGCAAGTGATTTTGATTACTGTTGGTGGGAAAGAAAAGAAATACACCATTTCAGGAGGAAAATTTGACAATGCCTGAGGAGACTACAATGTTTAGCCCTTTTACCAAGAAATTTTAGTTTTAGGAATTTTCCTTGAAATACATAAATCAGACAATATGAAAATGAGTATGCACAATGATACTCATCGCAAAGTTGTTTGTGATTTTAAAAAATATGAGAGAAAAATTTCCACATGGGAGAATAGTTGAATTAATTTTAGTATATCCTCAAAATGCATTATTATGCAGTTGTAAAATAAGAATGAGAAATATCTTTATGAGTGTACACTGGGAAGTTCCAGGTATATGATAAGTGAAAAAGACAACATGCAGAAAGTATCTAGAAAGAAAGCATATTTCATAAGGAGGTTGTATAAGAAAATATTCATATAGTAGTTATCGTGCAAAAATATAATGCAGATGGACAAGCCAGAAATTAAAGAGATAAGTTACCTAACCTGGGCTAGGTGGCAACAGGGTGGAAATATTGGGGATTGTGAAAAAGATTTAAAGAATAAAAGTGGGGGAATAATATGTCGCTGAGTATTATTTTTTATGTAGTTTGACTTTCAGAGCAATGGTAATATTTCAAAAACACAAAAAGTAAATAAACAATCAAAATCAATCAGCATGGAGGAAACCCAAAATGAAATAAAAACAGCAAAAGAAGTAATTAACTGTATTGTGAGCAGTATGAGCACACTGAAGATAGAAGAAAAATAGTTAACCTAGGTAACATTGGAAAACAAAATTCAATTATATAAAATAAGAATACTGACAAAAAGTACTAGGCAAAAATGTGTTCTCTGGTTTTTAAGTGTGTTTCCTTATTTTCATTATTTTATTTTTAACAGCTTTAACAAGACGTAGTTCAAATATCAAAATGTAGGCATAAAGGGGTACAACTCAAAAATATTACTAAGCAAATTTGTTTACTCACAGCATTGTACAATCATTATAACAATATAATTTAAAAGCATTTCCATTACCACCAAATTAAATATTATTCTCACTAACAGTCACCTCTACCATCTCATCCAGCCCTAGGTAAGCACTATTCTACTTATTACCTCTACTGATTAGCCTGTTCTGTACATTTCTTACAAACTGAATAACACAGTTTATGACTTCCATTACTTAGTCCAATGTTTTCAGTGTTCAGCCATATTTGAGCAGGAATCAAACATCATTTCTTTTTATAGTCGTTATACTTTTTTAGGACCATTGTGAATGTGTGTGCACATGCAAACACACACACACACACATTGTTAACTATCAGCCAATGAACATATGAATTGCTTCTACCTTTTGACTAGAAAAAAATAGTATTACTATTAATATTTGTGTGAAAATTTTTGGGCAGACATATATTTTAATTTATATTGGATATATATTTAAGAGTAAAATTGCTGGGTCATACGATAACTATAAGTTTAACCTTTTTAGTAACTGTCGGATATTTTCCAAAGCAGCTACAATAGTTTACGTTTCCACCAACAATGTATGGTAGTTCCAATTTTTTCACATCTTCATCCGCATTTGTTACTGTCTTTTTTTTTTCTTGGAAACAAAAATGGATTTTTAAATTAGAATAATTGTTTTAGTTAATTCTAGATTCAATGCTATCTTAAGAAAAATGTATGGAGAAATCTCATGTACTGGTCATCTATTTCCCTGCAATGGTATAATTTTGCAAAACTATAGTATAATATCACAACCAGAATATTTATTTTAAGGTAGGCAAAATACAGAATATATTCATTACTACACAGGTTACTGTGTTGACATTTTATAGCCACATTTTTTTCCCTCTTGACCCTGCCCCTTAAACTCTGAAAACCACTAATCTTCTCCATTGCTACTATCATTATTTCAATAATATTATAAAAATAGAATTAGGCCGGGCACAGTGGCTCACGCCTGTAATCCCAGCACTTTGGGAGGCTGAAGCGGGGAGATCACGACGTCAAGAGATCGAGACCATCCTGGCCAACATGGTGAAACCCCGTCTCTACTAAAAGTACAAAAATTAGCTGGGCGTGGTGGTGTGCGCATGTAGTCCCAGCTACTCGGGAGGCTGAGGCAGGAGAATCACTTGAACCCGGGAGGTGGAGGTTGCAATGAGCTGAGATGGCGCCACTACACTCCAGCTTGGTGACAGAGTGAGACTCCATCACAAAAAAAAAAAAAAAGAAAAAGATAAAAGAAGAAAAAAATAGAGTGATACACGTTGTAACCTTTGAGATTGGATCATTTTACTCATTATGATTCTCTGGAAATTCATCCAGATTTTTGCACATATTAATAGATTATTTAATTTTAGAATTGAGTAATATTGTATTTACAGCAGTCAGAGTTCTCCAAAGAAACAAAACCAATATTAGTTATATATCTATATCTATCTATCTATATATACAAAATAGGTTCAAATTCATTTATACTAATGATCTATCTATCAATCTGTTTATCTGTCTATCTATCTATCTAATAAATCTCCAGAGAATTATGCTGAATGAAAAACAGCCACAATATATATGTTGTGGGGGTCAAAAGAAAGCTTCCCCTCTGCCCTCTAAAGGTTTGCTGAAAATGAACTGACAATAGGCAGATTCATAGGAGAAAAGGCATAAAAATTTATGTAATGTGCATAAGCATGAGGAGATTGAAGGAGAATAATTATGGAATGAGCCAGTTAGGTCCAAATCCTTTTGTATGCCCTTCTTCATAACAGAAGAGGAGATGGGGAAAATGTGACCATTTTGTAAGGGGTAATAATGACTTTTAGGTGGAATAATTAAACCCAATGCTCAGACAATGATTAGTAAATAATTCTCTTTATGTATTATATGAAACCTGAGACAAAGTTCATCTGGGCTCTAGGTGTAGGATTTAAATTTCAGTCTCTTGCTCTGTGATATGATTTGTAATATTCTCTGGTTAATAAAGTTTCAGAAGAGAATCAAAAGTAATTGTCTTCCTCTTTAGCAGGTCTAGTTTCTAAGTGGATATGGGAGCTTCAGAAAAGAGCCTCATCCTGTGCATGGGGAGAGATAGAGGATTGAGAGACAGAAGTCAGGGAAAAGGTCAGAAAGACCTTGAGGGAACTTCTTTAGTTATCATGTCAAACTACCACTTCTTAGGATACCAATTTCTGAGCCCCAACAATATATAAATTTGAATATTATATTTATTATATATAATAAATATATAAACCTACATATTGTATATCTATATTATATACAGATACAGAATACCTATTATCTATATTATATACAGATATAGAATATCTATTATCTATATTATATACAGATATAGAATATCTATTATCTATATTATATACAGATATAGAATATCTATTATCTATATTATATACAGATATATGATATCTATTATCTATATTATATACAGATATATGATATCTATTATCTATATTATATACAGATAATATCTATTATCTATATTATATACAGATAATATCTATTATCTATATTATATACAGATAATATCTATTATCTATATTATATACAGATAATATCTATTATCTATATTATATACAGATAATATCTATTATCTATATTATATACAGATAATATCTATTATCTATATTATATACAGATAATATCTATTATCTATATTATATATAGATAATATCTATTATCTATATTATATATAGATAATATCTATTATCTATATTATATATAGATAATATCTATTATCTATATTATATATAGATAATATCTATTATCTATATTATATATAGATAATATCTATTATCTATATTATATATAGATAATATCTATTATCTATATTATATATAGATAATATCTGTTATCTATATTATATATAGATAATATCTGTTATCTATATTATATATAGATAATATCTGTTATCTATATTATATATAGATAATATCTATTATCTATATTATATATAGATAATATCTGTTATCTATATTGTATAAGATAGATAATATCTGTTATCTATATTGTATAAGATAGATAATATCTGTTATCTATATTGTATATAGATAGATAATATCTGTTATCTATATTATATATAGATAGATAATATCTGTTATCTATATTATATATAGATAGATAATATCTGTTATCTATATTATATATAGATAGATAATATCTGTTATCTATATTATATATAGATAATATCTGTTATCTATATTACATATAGATATATAATATCTGTTATCTATATTACATATAGATATATAATATCTGTATCTATATTACATATAGATATATAATATCTGTTATCTATATTACATATAGATATATAATATCTGTTATCTATATTACATATAGATATATAATGTCTGTTATCTATATTACATATAGATATATAATGTCTGTTATCTATATTACATATAGATATATAATGTCTGTTATCTATATTATATATAGATATATAATATCTATGATATGCTACATATAGATATATAATATCTATGGTATGCTACATATAGGTATATAATATCTATGGTATGCTACATATAGGTATATAATATCTATGGTATGCTACATATAGGTATATAATATCTATGGTATGCTACATATAGGTATATAATATCTATGGTATGCTACATATAGGTATATAATATCTATGGTATGCTACATATAGGTATATAATATCTATGGTATGCTACATATAGGTATATAATATCTATGGTATGCTACATATAGGTATATAATATCTATGGTATGCTACATATAGGTATATAATATCTATGGTATGCTACATATAGGTATATAATATCTATGGTATGCTATATATAATAATATATATCTGGAGATATATAAAATATATATAGATTCTCTCTATATATTTATATATAGATATCTATATATAGTATATGTTATATAATAGTATTATATAGTATATATTATATGATAGTATTATATAATAGTATATAATATATAGTATTATAACATACTATATATTATATACTATTATATAATATGTAATATACATTATATTATAATTTATCTATATATTTATATATACTATATCTATTCGATATAGATACTATAGATATTATTATATATGTAGTATATATATAAATAATATCTCTCCCTCCCCCAGATTTTTATATAAAAAATCTGGAAATTATGTATACATATATATATAGAGAGAGAGAGAGAGGGAGGGAGGGAGAGATGTTTTCAGAAATTGGATTAGATTATGCAAATGTAGTGTCTGGCAAGTTGAAAATCTTCAGCATATACCTGCAGGGTGGAGACCCAGGAAGGGCTATGTGGTCGCTTAAGTTTGAATGCATTCTAGAGGCAGAATTCCCTCTTCCTAGGGGACCACAGTAATATTTGTATCAAGATATTCAAATGATTAAATGAGGATCTATCATGTTATGGATGGTAACTGTTTTGCTGGTAGGCTACTGATTTAAATGTTAATGTTATCTACAAAACAACTTTATAGCAACATCTAGACTGGTATTTGACCAAATATCTGGATGCTGTGGCCTAGTCAAGGTGACACACAAAGCTGACCATCAAAATCCACCTCTGGTCAACCTAATACCCATACATCTCCTTAAATCATACTTAATCTCCAAATAAAGACTATTAAGGTCATTCTTTCGCTTAAAATGATATAACTATCCTGTGTACAGTTGAAAATACACTAACCACTTTCCCAGAAAAGAATATGAAGTCCTTGGGCTATGTTCAGTCTTCTTGATATTTTGTAATTTAAATAACATAGTGTAAAGTTAATAATATTTAAATACTATAAAGTCAATAATCTTCTAAGGGTATAAGAAAGGTAAGGAAATATTTATTTGACATGTATTCATACAAATAAACATATTTATAACAAAATTAAAAAAATTCATGACAATTAGGTCCTCAATTCTGTAACTGGCCACATGGTGGTAGCTTGTATTTATAACTATTTCCTTCCACTACCTCTGCCATATTTCCTTGAGCCTCAGGAAGCACTTCAATGGGTAATGGTTTATTAGCTGGTGAGGTGATCCAAAGCTTCATTGCTGAAGGGTCTGGACCATTAGTAGTCCTGCCTCAATTGGGTTCTTGTAGTTTTCCATTGACTTTAATCATAGGGCCTGATAATACTAAAAGACACTATAAGAGCTTGCCTACATTCTGGAAATACTTGTCTTTACCTACACTGTGAAGTAGTAGCCAAATTTCCCCTTGGTAATCATAATCCATCACCCCAGGGGGCACAGTAACTTCCTTCTTTGTTTTTTGATTAAGGGGCTTAAGGAGCCCAATGTGGCCAGGTGGCAGCCTTAAAATCCGGTCTAATGGAATCACTGTTGTGGCTCCTCGTGGAATCATTCTTTCCTTTAAAACTAAGACCTCTAAGACAGCAGAGCATAAGGCCATGGATACAAAAAGTGCAAAATTTGCTAGTGGATTACTAGTGGTAGTAGAAAGTGGTGTCATTCCCATTGTCACTCCTTGATTCCTGGGCCTATGAATCCTAGCAATAGAGAGACAGCACCATATACTGAATGCTGATTCAGAGGTGATACAACCTCCTGGAAAAATTTATCCCAACCCAACAAGGAGTTTTTACTTAGCTTGCACTGTACCTAGGTCTTCAAAAGGCCATACCTGAGGATTAATTTTAGCCATCAGTTTGACGGGTTAGGAGATACTCAGATAGCTGGTAAAGCATTAGTTCTGGGTATGTCTGTAACAGTGATTCCAGAACAGATTGGCAATTGGATTAGTGGAATGAGTAAGGAAAATCTGCCTTCCCCATTGTAGGTGGGCATCATTCAATCTGTTGAGGGCTCAGGATAGAACAAAAAGACAGAAGGAAGTTGAATTTGCTCTTTCTTCTAGAGGTGGAACACTGATACTCCCTTGCCCTCAGAAATCAGAATGTTAGGATCCTGAGCCTTTGGAATCTGGAAATTACACTAGTTGTCCTGGACTGAGAGTTATACCATCAGCTTGGTGTAACTAAGATTGACTCATCAGCTTGGACTCAGATTGAATTACACTGCCAACTTTCCTGGTTCTCCAACTTGCATATTGTGAGACTTCTCAACCTCCATGATCACAAAAAACAATTCTCATAATAAACATCCTTGTAATCTATCTATGTCTGTCTATCTATCTATCTATCTATCTATCTATCTATCTATCTATCTATCTAATCTATCTACCTACTTACCTATCTTCTATTGGTCCTGTTTATCTGAAGAACCTTGACTAATACACAATTCTATAATAGTTTCAAACAAGCTCCATCAGGATAGTGGGGGACATGTTAACATGGGTGAATTCACTTACCATGAGCTCATTACTACACTTTATTTGCTGTGAAGTAAGTTTTTTGATCAGTAGCAATACTGTGTGAAATATCATAATGGTAGATAAGGCATTCTGTAAGTCCAGAGATGGTAATTTTGGAAGATGTATTGTTTACAGTGTTGTTTACTTTGCTGTCCAGAAGTTTGATGTCATTCCATTTGTCTATTGTAGCTTTTGTTGCCTATGCTTTTAAGATCATCTTCAAAAAATCAATGCCCACCTACTGTCATGGAGCTTTTCTCCTGTTTTCTTTTACTAGTGTTAGAGTTTCAGGTCTTATGTTTAAGTCGTTAAGACATTGTGAGTTGATTTGTGTATATGGTATAACATAGAAATGCAATTTCATTATTATGCATGTAGATAGCTAGCTTTCCCAATACCTTTCATTTAAAAGGTTGTCCTTTCTCATTGTGTGTTTCTGGCACCTTTGTCAAACAGTAATTGACGATAAGTACATGTGTTTATTTCTGGGCCTTCTATCCTGTTTCTTGGGTTGATGTGTCTGTTTTTATTCCAGTTCCATGTTGTTTTGCTTACAATTCCTTTATAGTATGTTTTCAAATCAGGAATTGTGATGTTGCCATCCTTGATCTTTTTGCTCAAGTTTGTCTTGACCAGGTCTTTTGTGCCTTTATGTAAATTTAAGGAATTTTTTTGTCTAATACTTTGGAAAATGACACTGGAATTTTGATAGAGATTGCATTAAATCTGTAGCACATCTTGCATGGTATAGATATTTAAGCAATATTTATTCTTTCACACCATGAATACAGGTCATCTTGCCTTTATTTATGTTTTCTTCAATGTAATTTATCAGTGTCTTAAAGTTTTCAGTATGAAAGTCTTTCACCTCCTTGGTTAAATTTACAACAAAGTATTTTTTTGTTGTTGTTATTGTAAATGGAGTTTTACATTTTCTTTTTAGATGGTTCATTATTACTATATAGAACTGTTACTAATTTTTATATGTTTATTTTGTATTCTACAATTTTACTGAGTTTATCAGCTCTCAGTTTTTTTGTGTGAAGTCTTTACCATTCTCTACATATAAGATCATGTCAACAGCAAATAGAGATAATTTTACTTCTTTCTTTTTAAGTATAACGCCTTTTCTTTTTTGCTCTTGAGTAATTGCTCTTACTAGGGCTTCCATTACTATGTTGAATAGAAATCATGAGAGTGGACAGCCTTGTCTTGTTCTTGATCCTAGGAGAAAAACTTTCAACTTTTAACCATCAAGAATTATGTTTGCTACAAGTTTGCTATAAATGGCCTTTACTGTGTTGAAGTATATTCCCTTTATACCTGATTTAACTCTCATATTAGGGATAAAATTGCATTATACACCACTCTCACAGTATAGATGGCTCCTGACTTATGGTGGTTTGACTTACATCTTAAACTTTAAAATTATATGAAGGTGATATGCAGTCAGTAGAAATTGTACTTTGAGTATCCATACAACCATTCTGTTTTTCAATTTCAGTAGAGTAGTCAATAAATTACATGAGATATTCAAAACTTTATTATAAAATGAGTTTTGTGTTAGATGATTTTTCCCATCTGTAGGATAATATATGTGTTCTGAACCTGTTTAAGTTAGGCTAGGCTACAGTATGATGTTTGGTTTATTAGGTGTTAAAATGCATTTTCAACTTAGAATATTTTCGACTTACAATAAATTTATCAGGATGTAATCCCATTATAATTTGAGGAGAATTTGTATTAGGCAATTATGGCTATATATAACTTATTCCATTGAGTTTTTTACTTTCATATTTTTTAGTTATTAATAAGCAGTTTTTGGTTTCAGATTAAGGAACTCCCTTTAGCAATTCCTGTAAGGCAGACCTAGTAATGATGAATTCCTTTAGCTTTTGTTAGTTTGGGAATGTTTTTATTCATCTTTCTTTGAAGAACAGCTTTGTTATTCAAAGTATTTTTGGTTGACAGGTTTTTTTTTTTCTTCAGTCCTTTAAATTTATCTTTTCACTCTCTCCTGGCCTTCAGTTTTCTGCTGAGAAATCTGCTGAAAGTAAGATTGGGGCTCCCCTAAATGTGATGTTTCTTATTTTCTGCTGCTTTCAGTATTCTTTCTTTGTCTTTGATTTTTGATAATTTGATTATGATGTGCCATAGTGAACTTCTCCTTGAGTTGAATTTGATTGGAGACTTCTCAGCTCCCTGTACCTGAGTGCTGTTGACTTTCTCCACACTAGGGAAATTTTCAGCCACTGTTTCCATAAATGTGCTTTCTGGGCTTTTTGTTGTTGTTGTTCTCTCTTTTCCTGCTGGAATTCCTATTATGTAAAAATTAATTGGCTTGTCAGTACCCCATAATTTCTGTAGACCTTCTTCTTTATTTTTTTTCCTTCTACTGCTCTGAGTGGATAATTTCAGATATCCTATCTTCAAGGTCATTGATTCTTTCTTCTGCTTAATCGAGTCTGCTCTTGATATTTTTTATTAAATTTTTCACATAAGTTATTGTATTCTTTATCTCTAGAATTTCTATTTTTTATTATTTCTCTTTTTCTGAAACTTCTCATTTTGTTCATGAGTTGTTTTCTAAACTTTATTCAATTTTTATAAATATATATATATTTTTAAGTTCCCTGAACTTCTTTAAGTAGATTGTTCTGAATTCTTCTCAGTCATTTTATATATGTCCATTTCTTCCAAGTCTATTACTAGACGTTGATTAGTTTCTTTTGGTGGTGTAATATTTCCTAGATTTCTTATAATTCTTGTGTTTTTGTATTGATGCCTGCTCATTTGAGGAGATGGTCATCTATTCCAGCCATTGCAGATATTCTTTGGTAGTGATTAACCTTCACTATTTAGTCTAACTAAATTTCTGGATGGGCCAGCTGGTATCGACCATGGACAGACAGACTGCAGTGTTGAGTTCTCTGTTTGGGTTGGGTAACTTCCTGTGCTCTGAGGTTGAATGTTTCTGCTAGCTGTGCTCTTCAATATGGTGGGACTACTGGCTGGACTCTGTCGTTAGGTGGAGCTGTTGACTGGGTTCTGCAATTATCTCTGATCAGGCAGGGTTGCAGGTTGCTTTCTTTGGCTGGGAAGTACTGTTGTTTGAAATCTGTAGTTTGAAATCTGCTGTGTGCTGGACTCAGAAGCTGGAGGAGGTATCTGGGGTTACTGCTTGGCCATATATGGTAAAGACAGCCAGAGGCATTTGCTCCACAGATGTACAAGGATGTGAGCTCGCTTCATGGCCTGGGGTAGGCTTAATCAAAACACAAAAGCTTGGTGGAATTGCCTTTCAGCAGCTGGAATTGGGTGGGGCTGGATGCTCTACACAATGATGTACATTTGTCTTCTGGCCAGGTAAAGGCTTAATGAGAGCACTAGAGCTGCTTTCCTAAGGTCTACTGATTTAAATGTTAATTTCGTCAAAATCCAGTCTGGCTTTTGAGCAAATATTTGAACACTGTGGCCCAGTCAAATTAACATATGAAATTAACCATCACATATCCGTATCAGTTTGCGAGGAATGCCAGAACAATGTAACAAAGGCTGAGTTATTTATTTATTTATTCGAGATGGCGTCTCACTCTGTTGCTCAGGCTAGAGTGCAGTGGCGCGATCTTTGCTCACTGCAACCTCCACCTCCCGAGTTCAAGCGATTCTCCTGCCTCAGCCTCCTGAGTAGCTGGGATTACAGGCATAAGCTATCACTCCTGGCTAATTTTTTTTTTTTTGTATTTTTCAAAGAGACAGGGTTTCACCATTTTGGCAAGGCTGGTCTCGAACTCCTGACCTCAGGTAATCTTCCTGCCTTGGCCTCCCAAAGTGCTACGATTACAGGCATGAGCCACTGCACCCGGCCAAAGGCTGAGTGATTTAAACAATTTATTTTCTTACTATTCTGGAGGCTTGAAGAATGACAAAGATGTTGGCAGGGCTGACTTCTTTTGTTAGCCATTAGCGAAGAGGATCTGTTCCAGGCGTCTATCTTTGGCTTGTAGGTGGCCATCTTATCCCTGTGCCTTTAAATCATCTTTTCTCTATAAATGCTTTTGTCCAAATTTTCTTTTGATTTTGGGACATCAGTCATATTGGGTTAGGTCACGCCATAATGACTTTATTTTAACTCTATCATCTATTTAAAGACCCTTTATCTGTCTTAGTTTCTCTGGGATAAATGCCCAGGAGTGCATCGCTGGGTTGTATGGTAGTTGATGTCTACTTTTTTAAGAAACTGTCAAACTGTTCGCCACAGTCACTGTAGCATTTTATATACTCACCAGCAATGCATAATAATCCAATTTCTTTACATTCTGGCCAGTATATGGTGTTGTCACTATTTTTTAGTGTAGCCATTTGGATAAGTGTGTAGTAGTATTTCATTGTGATTTTAATTTGCATTTCCCTAATTTCTAATGATGGTAAACAACTTTTCATATGCTAATTTTTCATCTGCATATCTTCATTGGTGAAATGTCTGTTCATATCTTTTCTCATATTCTAATTGAATTGTTTGTTTTTCAACTGTTGAGCTTTGAGTATTATTTACACATATTACATAGTAGTCCTGTGTCAGATATGTGATTTAAAAATATTTCCTCCCACTCTTTAGTGTGTCTTTAGATTCTCTTAACAGGGTCATTCACAGAGCATTTGTTTTAATTGTGATGCAGGCTAATATATTAATTTTATTTGCATGGACTGTGCTTTGATATCAAATCTAAAAACTGTTTGCTTAGTCTTAGGTTTCAGATTTTCTCCTTTTTTTAAAAAGAGCCATATGTTTTAATTTAAGTCCATGATACATTTTAAGTTAACCTTTATATAAGTTGTGAGGTTTAGGTTAAGGCTTATATTATTTGCCTAATCCAATTGTTTCAGCACCATCTGTTGCTTTATTGCACTAGCTAGACTGTCCAGCACTATGATAAATAAGAGTAATAAGTGTGAACATTCTTTATTTGTTCCTAATTATAAGGGAAATACATCCAGACTTTCACCATTAGGCATAATATTAGTTGTAGGATTTTTTTAGATTTTCTATAACGGTAAGAAAATTCCTCTTTATTTATAATATTCAGAGAATTGTTATTATGAATGGGTGTTGAATTTTGTTTTCCTGAGCTCTATCCTCAGGAAAACTAAAAGGAGGGTCAAATAGACTTTCCCTGATCAAAATTTCTTTCTTTCTTTTTTTTTTTATTTTTGAGACCTAGTCTTGCTCTGTCACTCAGGCTGGAGTGTAGTGGCGTGATCTCGGCTCACTGCAACCTGTGCCTCCTGGGTTCAAGTGATTCTTCCGTTTCAGCTTCCCGAGTAGCTGGGATTACAGGCGCACGCCACCACACCCGGCAAAGTTTTGTATTTTTAGTAGAGATGGGGTTTCGTCATGTTGGCCAAACTGGTCTCGAACTCCTGACCTCAGGTGATCCTCCCGCCTTGGCCTCCCAAAGTGCTGGGATTATAGGCGTAACACACTGCCCCTAGCCTCAAATGCTTTTCTTTGTCAATTGACATAGTTATATTTTTTTTCTTAGCCTGTTAATATGGTGGATTACATTGACTGATTTTGAATTATTAAACCTTTCTTGCATCCCTGAAATAAAGCCCACACAGCCATGGTCTGTAATTATTTTTATATATTTCTACATTTTATTTGCTGATACTGTGTTAAGGATTTTTAAAATCTATAGCCATAAAGTATAATGCTTTGTATTTTTTTTTTTCTTATGTTGTCCTTTTCTGGTTTTGGCATTGGGGTAATATTGGCCTCATGGAATGAGAGTGTTTAGAGAGTGTTCTTATATTATTTTGTCATATCTTAAAATGTTTTGTGAGTAATTTGTATTCATTTTTACTTAAGTATTTGATAGAATTTCTCAATAAAGAAATATGGGCCTGATGTTTTCTTTGTGGAAAGTACTTTTATTACTAATTCAATATCTTTACTTGTTAGAAATCTATCAGTATTTTCTATTTTTTCTTGAATCAGGTTTAGTATTTGAGGTTCTTCCAAAAATGCATATATTTTATCTAAGTAGTCTAATTTATACACATGCAACTGTTCAAAATATTTCCTTACATACCACTTTATTTCTGTAAGCTAGTTAGTGATTTCCCTCTTTCATTACTGATTTGAATAATTTAAGTCTTATCCTTTTTTTTCTTTCTTGGTCACTCTGGCTAATTGTTATCTCTAAACAAGTTTTGATTTCATTTATTTTTTCTAATTTTTTATTCTCTTTCATTTTTTGTTGTAGCTTTTTTTTTCCTGCTGCTTGCTTTGAGCTTATGTTTCTCTTTATTTTCTAATTTATTGAGGTGGAAGCCTAGGTTGTTGATTTGAGATTAACTTCCTTTGCGAAATCTTTATTTACAGCTATAACTATGCCCCTAAAAACTGCATTTGCTACATCTTGTTAATTTCTGTATGTTTTGTTTTTATTTGAATTCATCACCAATTATTTTGAAATTTTCTTTGTAATTTTTTTCTCTTATCCACTGGTTACTTATACAAATATTGTTTAAGTTACAAATATTTGTTAATTTTCCAAACCCTTTTCTGTTGTTGATTTTTAATCCCATTGTTTGATTTACATTTCTTTAATTATTGCTTCATGTGGTTGTCTTTTAAATTATACAGGAGAATAAAAGAGTTGCAAAAAGTACGTATATATTGTCTTTTATTTTTTATTATTATTATTTTTTTGAGACAGAGTCTCACTCTGTCGCCCAGGCTGGAGTGCAGTGGCGCGATCTCAGCTCACTGCAAGCTCCGCCTCCAGGGTTCACGCCATTCTCCTCCCTCAGCCTCCTGAGTAGCTGGGACTACAGGCACCCGCCACCACGCTTGGCTAATTTTTTTGTATTTTTAATAGAGACGGGGTTTCACCTTGTTAGCCAGATGGTCTCCATCTCCTGACCTCGTGATCCACCTGCCTCGGCCTCCCAAAGTGCTGGGATTACGGGCGTGAGCTACCGCGCCCGGCCTTGTCTTTTATTTTCACCTGTCTAGTTACTTTTTCCAGTGCTCTTTATTTCTTTATGTGTAATAATATTTTTGTTGTGTCCTTTTAATTCGTCCCGAGAGTCTTTCTTAATATTTATTGTAGGGTAGTTCTGGTAGCGATGAACACCCTCTGTTTATTTGTTGTGTTTTGTTTTGTTTTGATCAGGGAATGTCTATTTGACCCTCCTTTTAGTTTTCCTGAGTATAGAGTTTTTGGGTGACAGTATTTACCTTTCAGCATTTTTAATATGTGATCTCACTGCTTTCTGGTCTTATGGTTTCTGATGAGAAGTTAGAAGCGTCCTTGTATGTGATAAGTCATTTTTTATTTTGCTACTTCTATGGTTTTCTTTGTCTTTTCACAGTTTGATTTGGGTGTGTCTATGTGTGGATCTTCTTGAAATAATTCTACTGTGAGTTCACTGAGCTACTTCAATTGGTAAATTAATGCTTTTCATCAAATTTGGGGAGTTTTTGCCCATTCTTTCTTCTGCCCTTTTCTCTCCTCAACTCTCCCTCTGTGATTTCCATAATATGTATGTTGGTACATTTGATTAAAACGCACATTTATTTGAGATTCTGTTTATTTCTCTCAATATTTTTCTTTTTACTCCTCAGACTATATGAACTCAATTTTTCTATTTACAAGTCTGTTGATTTTTTCCTTCTTTCAGCTAAAATCTGCTGTTGATTGCCCTAAGTTAGTAGCTAATATTTTGCTACCTTACTTCTCATCTTCAGAGTTTCTGAGTTATTTTCACTATTTCTGCTTCATTTTTGGTATTCTATACTTGGTAAAACATTGTTGTCATGATTTCTTTTACGTCATTATATTTGAATAATTTTAGTTGTAATTCTAGTGTCCTCTAAGTAATTATACATGGCTACCTTTAGTTCTGGTTAGATATGTATATAGTTAGAAGCAGAATATTTTATAGATAAGGTATATATATATATATATATATATATATATATATATTTGTTTTGTATATAAAACAAAAAGAGACATGGTTGTATATCTGAGATAGTTCTGTCCACTTACAGGTCCTAGAAATAGTGAAACCCAGTGGCAATGAGCACACTTGCCACTCAGATATTAGTTTTCTAAAATCCTAAAAATACCTAATAAAAAAGCCATGGATATTTGTAGCAATAATTGTTTCCAGGATTAATGCAAGCATAGGTCAACATTAGCCTGGGATAACTTGTGGTTTCAGAGAATAATAAAGAGCTCAAAAGATTATGATGTCATGTTGAAAGGAGATAAAGCCAATTTGAAGTAGCTTCCAATATCCACATCTGGAGCAATTTGGGCACAAAAATAAATAATAAAAACAATGACATAAACCATAGAAAAACAAATAACCATGAGACTATACACACACACACACACACACACACACACGTATATAATTGTAAAAATAAGTAGATGGGTGAGGAAAGACAACTGATTTTAAAATAGACACTTAAATATGAAAAATGGAAATAGAGAATCACAATTATCTCAGTCTACATTACAGTACTAATTGTTGCAGGCAGTAAACATCTATGGATGTTAAAATGGGAAAACATGATAAGAAATGGGATATTTGCATTTCTGAGAATATCTTATTAAGAGATGCTTATTAGCTACAAAAAAACAGTAACTTTGAAATAGTACTAGAAGACAACAACTTGATTGTCATTGAAGTTAATGTTTTCAATAATGAGCCATATTAACATCATTTACTCCCTGATATAATACAGGAATTGTACACTTCTGCATAAAACTAGTTAAATGTGCGTAACATCAATCTAATTGTGAGAGAACCTCAGCCAAATTAAACAACAAAAAATAGTAACCTTGAAATAGGCAATATTAGAAGGCAACCACTTGTCATTAAGGTTAATATTTCCAGTAATGAACCATATAGACATCATTTACTCCCTTATATAATACAGGGATAATACACTTATACCTAATGCTTGTTAAATGTGTGTTCCATCATCTATTTATGAGAAAATGTCAGACAAAACTAAACTGAGGGATATTCTACAAAACAAATTGGTAAGTACTTTTCAAATATGTCAAGCTCTGTCTCAATGTCTCAGTCTGTTTGTGCTGCTGTAACAAAATATCACATACAGTAATTCATATAAACAATAGACCTTTATTTCTCATGGTTCTGAAGGCTGGGAAATCCAAGATCAAAGTACCAGCAGGATTGGTATCTAGTGCAGGCTGCTCTCTTCTTCCAAGATTGTGTGCTGTTGCTGCATACCCTGGAGGGGAGGAACACTGTGTTCTCACATGATGGAAGAGGTGAAAGGGGCAAAAAGAGATGAAATCCCTTCATCGAAGGTTTTATGAAAGAAATTAATCCAGCTCATGAGGGCACAGTTCTCATGACTCAATCACCTGCTAAGGCCACACTTCTTAATACCATTGGATTTGAAATTAAGTTTCAACATGAATTTTAGAAATAACAAAAACATCAAACCATAGATTTCAACCCCTGACCCCCCAAATCCATGTCCTTCTCACATACAATATACATTTATTTTATCCCAGCAGACCCCAAAATCTTAATTTGTACTAGCAGCAACTCAAAAGTCTAAAGTTAGCACCTCATCTAAATATCTAAATTAGATATGGATGAGAATCAAAGGTGTGTTTCATCCTGAGGCAAATTGCTTTCTAGATGTGAACGTGTGAAATCAAACAAGGTATGTGCTTCTAAGGTACAATGGTGGGACAGGCACAGAAAAATGATACCATTTCAAAAGAGAGAAATACGGCAGAAGAAAATAGCTGGTGCCCTGTATGTCAAAACCCAATAGGGCAAACCACATTAAATCTTAAGGCTTGGGAAAAATTTTAACTCCTTGTCCCATCTTCTTTACACTCTTGGAAGAGTTTGGTTCCCCAAAGCACCAGGGGACTCCACCCTCATAGCTTTGCTAGCTGCCGCTTATGTCGCAACTTTCACAGGTTGAACTCTCATTACTGCACCTCTCCCAGGCTGGTGGCTGTACAATTCTGAGGCCTCAGGATGACCCCAACCCACAACTCCACTGTGCATTTCCCTAGTTCCTCTCCATGGTGGCCTGAGCTCTGTGGCATTCTTGCTTGAGCACCAAGGCCCTCTGAGGCATCTTTTGAAATACGGATGGAGGTAGCCATCCTTTCATAGTTCCTTCATTCTGTGCACCTGCCCAGTTAACACCATGTGGATGCTGTCAATGTTTATAGCCTGTACCTTCCAGAGTGGTAACCTGAGTTGTACCTGGATCCTCTTGAGCCACAACTGAGACAACCAAGGAGCACTGCACTGAAATGCAGGGAGCAATGACTTGAGGCAGTAATGGGCAGTAAGTTCTGAGGTCCTGTGTTCCCGAGAGGCATCTCTTTTGACATCTTTCTGTTCCCCAAGTCTTGGCACTTTGGGCCTGTGAGGGAAGTGGCAGCCAAGAAAATCTCCTAAATGCCTTTGAGGTCATTTTTTCATTGTCTTGATCAATAACATCTGGCTTCCTTCTATGCATACTAATCTCCTTATCAACAGATTGCTTAGCCACACACTTGGTTGTCTTTCCTAAATATGTTTTTAAAATATTTTACAAGCCATGCTGAATTTTTCCAATCTTTACACTCTGCTTCTCTTTTATTAATTTTTAATAATAATTTTAATTCATTTGTCTCTTTAACTCATTTATCTCTTCTCACGTTACTATAAGCAGTTAAGAGAAGCCATGCGGCACCATGAACACATTGCTTAGATATTTCTCCCACCAGATATCCTAACTCATTGCTCTTAAAAATCAGCCTTCCACAAAGCTCTAGGTTCTGGACTCAATTCAGCCAAGTTATTCTTGTCTCTTTGTAACAATAATGTGCTTTCCTCAAGTTGCTAATAATATACTTTTTTATTTCCATCTAAGACCTCATGAGAATTGCCTTTACTGTTTGTATTTGTATGAACATTTTGATCACAACCACTTAGATAGTAGGTACGACTAAAGCTTTCATTAGAACACTCCTCCTCTTCTGATCCCTCATCACAATGCTCCTTAATGCTTCATTTACATTTTCAATATTGACTTTGAAACTGTTCCAACATCTATATTTTATCCACTTCCAAAGTTCCTTTCACATTTTTAGGTAGCTGATAGAGTAACAACCTACTTCCCTGGTACCAATTTTTGTCTCAGTTTGTTTATGCTGCTAAAAAATACCATAGACTGGGTAATTTGTGAACAGTACAAATTTATTTCTCATGATTCTGAAAACTAGGCAATCCCAGATCAAGACGCTGGTTATATTGGTGTCTGGTGAGAGCTGCTCTATGTTTCCAAAATAGCATATTGTTGCTGCATCCTCTGGAGAGGAGGAACACTGTTTCCTCACATGGAAGAACAGACAGAAGAGGTGAAATGGGACAAATTACCTTAATTAAGACCTTTTATAATGACAGCTAATTTCATTCATGAGAGCAGAGCCCTCATTAGTGATAATTGTATCATTATTAATGCAATTGAGGACCCTGAATTGCATTTTAGCTAGAAGAATATTAGTTTTTCTAATGTTCAAATTTCACCAGTGGTGAAATTTGAATAAGTTTTGCAGATTAGGTACTAGTAAAACACAAATAAAGGAGGATTACTGTACACAGAGAATTGTTCTATTTTCATGCACAGGAAAGCTCAATATTGCCAATATGTCAGTATTTCCCTACTTGACCCACAAATTCAACATAATTCTCATCAATATCCTAGCAGGTTACATTGCATATATGGAAATATTGATTCTAAATTTTATATGTAAAGGGAAAAGACCCACAATAGTCAACATGACATAGAAGAAAAAGAAAAAAATATGACTACTGATACTGTCTAATTTCAGGGCTAACTGTAAAGCTACAGTAATCAAAAAAGCGATTTTGGTGAAAGAATAGACAAGTCAATGGAACAGAATATAGAGTGCAGAAATAGACCCATGCAAATATATTAATATAATATTGGAATAAATAGCAAAGGCCATTCAATGGAAAATAGTTTTTTCAACAAATGGCATTGAAAAAACTGGGCATCTACATGCAAAAAATATGAATTGTGCCACTGACTTCATACCTTTCACAAAAATTAACTCAAAGTGGATCATAGCCCTAACTGTAAAATGCAAAACTATGAATCTTTTAGAAGACAAAATAAGGTAAAACCTAGGTGACTTTGGGTTTGGCAATGAGCTTATAGATACAACCCCAAAAGTATCATCCATGAAGGTGAATATTAATAAGTTGAATTTCATTAAAATAAAATCTTTTGCTATGTGAAAGCTCCTAAGGAGAGTATAAAATGATGAGCCACAAGACAGAGGGTCAAGATGGTTAACTAGAAGCAGCTAACATGTGCCACTCTTACAGAGAGAAGAAAAAGTGGTGAGTCAATACTAGATCTTCAACAGAAACATCCAGGTGGACACATTGGGATTCATCAAGGAAATAACTGAAACCATAGAGAACAGAGATACAAGACAGGATGACCCCTCACCCAGGAGTGACAGAGAATTTGTAAGTGAGTAAGATTCCCCAGGGACACATAATTCTTCCATAGACCTTTGGAAACCCTGGGCTTAGGATATCCCCTCCTGAGCCCACCCCACCAAGGCCTTCAGACTGTCACACAGAGCTATGTAGAGTCTTGGCAAAGCCGCTCCTCAAGCACACGCGGAGTCTTGGATACACTGGATCCCCAGGCATCCTGGAATTAGTGGCTGCAGTTCCAGCAATGGGAGAGCTCTGGCTCACTTGCACACCCCTAGGAAAGGGGCTAACTCCAGGGGGCTGAGCAGCAACAGACTGCAGGTTTTCCATCTACTGCACCTCACAAGATAAGGCCCACTGACCCAGAACTTCAGCCACCCTCCACCAGGGCCCTCGGGCCAGTAGTAGTGCTTCACTTCTCTGGGATGGATTTCCCACAGGGAAAGGCAAGCCACCGTTTTGCCGTCTTACAGCCCTTGTCATTGCTGCGTTCAGGCTCCACAGGGTGTGCAGTGACTAGGGACTGGTGTGGCTCCCCAGTACAATGCAGCCACCCCACAGAAAAGCAGCCAGATTGTTCTTTTACATGGATCCCCTCTTCTACTTCTCCTTATTGAATCTCCTGAATCAGGGCTCCAGCCACCCTCCACTGGGGCTCTCAGTCCAGTAGCAGCTCTGCACTTTCCCAGGACAGAGCTTCCACAGGGAAAGGCAAGTGCCTTTTTTTGCTGTCTCACAGATCTCATTGCTGCTTCCTTCAGGCTCTGGAGGGTGCACGGTCACTAGGAACTGGCATGGATCCCTAGCAGAATGCAGCCACCCCACTGAAAAAGCAGTCAGAGACCATTTTCCACAAGGGTCTCTGATCCCTCTTCTTTTAGTGGGCAGGGCCTCCCTATCTGGGATGCCAGCACATATACCCTGTCTCCATCTGAACATTTTAGTTGGAGGCGGCCCTGAAGTACTCTGAGGAGGAAATCACAGAAACAACTCACAACTCCTCTGCCATTGCAGCTTTAGTGGTGACACCATAATCTCCCTCAGACTGGGGAAAGAACAAAGAACTTTGACTGTATGTTGGCACCTCCAGCCACCACAGCCACCATACAGAGAGGAATTCAGTCCCTCTTCCTTGTGAGCCCTAACCCCTCATTACTCACCAAGCAGGGCCTGGCTCAGGACCTCTCATCAGCCAATCCCCTCATGGCTGAGCACACCCACTGACTGGCTCTGAGTTTCCCTGGGAAAGGGCTTCCAGCAGCAACTAATGGCTCCTATTACATTGCCACAGCTGTGGTTCTGCCCCTGCTGCTCTCAGTCTGGGGAAAAAACAAAAAACCTGATGACTTCACCTGTGTTTTCATCATGCCACAGTCACCATATAGAGAGGAGCTCAGTCTCTCATCCCTGTGAGCCCTTGAACCCTCACTTCTCAACAAGTAGAGCACCCAGCTCGGGCCAACAGTGCAGCTTCCCCATCCCCTGGCTGAACATCCCCAGTAGCATTAGCTCTGTGTTTCTCTGAGGTAGAGCTTCCAGAGTCAACTGAAATCCCCTTTTTCACTGCCACTACAGGGATACTGACTTGCTGCCCTCAGACTGGGGAAGGAGCAAAGATTCTGAGTGCATTAACCACACATGCAGCAAGCTGCAGGTGCCCTAAGAAGAAGCCAGTCTGTCTCCCCTATGACCCACCCAACCGCCCTCCTTATCACCAAGCAGGCCACCCGCCACCACCAGGCTTGGGTCCACAATGAAGCTACCCCATCACAGGTGAATTTCTCTGATTGATAAAGGTTTCACAGCTTTCTGGGGGTGAAGCCCCAAGAGACGTCTTAAAGACCCTCTTCCACATCCACTGCTAAGATCCCTTCCTCTGCTGCCTTCAAGATGGAGAGGGAACATAAAGCTTGAGCTCAACGCAGAGCTACAGTGTGCAGCCCAGGAGTGCCAAGCTAAGATCTGCAGCCAACACTCTATTGAGAGAAGAGCCAACACGTTCAGAGCAATGAGAGAGAGAACAGCTGCAATCGTGAAGAAGTACAGAGGAGCCACATATCTGAGCAAGAGCTTACCGACTGGCCATTATGCTTAAACACCACCTACTGGATCACAGACCAAAACTTCAACACCAAAAATGTTTTGCTAATATACAGCCCTGTGAAACCAAGGACAAATTCAGCTACAAATAGACCAGCACAAAGGTTCAGCCCTCTTAAAATATCCTGAAAAGAAATCTACTGACTATTCAAATTACACTACATTTAAAATAACACCCACCTACACAGATGGGAAAGAACCATTACAAGAACTCTGGCAACTGAAAAAGTAAGAGGGGCTTATTTCCTCCAAATGGCCACACTAATTTCCCAGAAAGGGTTTGCAGCAAGGCTGAAATGGCTGAAATGACATAAATAGAATTCAGAATATGGATAGAAACAAAGATCATTGAGATTTGGGAGAAAGTTGACACCCAATCCAAGAAATCTAAGATTTAAAACAAAATAATACAGGAGTTGATAGACAATATAGCCATTATACAAAAAGAACCAAAATGGTCTTATAGATCTGGAAAACATACTACAAGAATTTCATAATACAATTGCAAGTATTAAGAGCCTAATAGACCAAGCTAAGGAAATAATTCCAGAGTTTGAAGACTGGATCTCTGAAATAACTCAAACAAAAATAAAGGAAAAAGAATAATAAAGAATGAAGAAAACTCCTGAGAAATATAGGATTATAAAAGAAGGCCGAATGTATGACTCATTTGTGTCCCTGAAAGAGAAGAAAGCAAGCAACTTGGAAAACATATTTCAAGGTATTCTCCATGAAAAATTCCCCTACCTCACTAGAGAGACTGACGTTGAAATTCAAGAAATTTAGAGAGCCCATGAAAGATACTAAACAAGAAGATCATCCCCAAGACACATAATCATCAGATTCTCCAAGGTCAAAATTGAAGAAAAAATGTTAAATCAGATAAGGAGAAGAGGCATGTCAGCTACAAAGGAAACCTCCCTAGGCTAACAGTGAACCTTTCAGCAGAAACCCTGCAAGCCACAACAGATCAGGGCCAATATTCAGCACTCTTAAAGAAACAAATTTCCAACCAAGAATTTCAAATCCAGCCAAAATAAGCTACAAAAAGGAAGGAGAAATAATATCCTTTTCATACAAGCAAAAGCTGAGAAAGTCTATTCCACAAGACCTGCCTTACAAGAGGTCCTGAAAAAAGTGCTAAATATAGAAAAGAAAGATTTGTACCAGCTAATACAAAACCAGACTTAAGTTCACAGACTAGTGACACTATAAAGCAAGTACATAAATAAGTCTGCATAATAACCAGCTAATAATATGACAGGATCAAATGTGCATATATCAATACTGACCTTGAATGTAAATGAGCTAAATGCCTCAAATAAACATCACAAAGTGGCAAGTGGTATAAAGAAAAAAGACAAAATGGTATTTATCTTCAAGGGATCCATCTCACATGCAGTGACACCAATAGGCCCAAAATAAAGGGATGAAGAAAAATCTACCAAGCAAATGGAAAACAGAAAAAAAGCAGTGGTTGTTATTTTAATTTTGGACAAAACAGACTTTAAACCCACAAAGGTCAAAAAAGACAAAGACATTACATAGTGATAAAAGGTTCGATTCAACAAGAAGACCTAACTATCCTTAATATATATTCACCAAACACAGGAATACCTAGATTCACAAAATAAGTTCTTATTGACCAAATAAGAGATACAGATTAACACACAATAATGATGGGAGACTTCAAGGCCCCATTGACTGCATCAGACAGATCATTGAGGCAGAAAATTAACAAAGATATTTAGGACCTGGATTCAACACTTGACCAAACTGACCTAAAAGACATCCACAGAACTCTCCAACTGATACAGTTTGGCTCTGTGTTTTGATTCTGTGTCCCCACCCAAATCTCACCTCGAATTGTAATCTCCATAATCCCTGTGTGTCAAAGGTGGGACTAGGTGAAGGTAATTGAATAATGGGGGTTGAATCATGGGGATTGGTTTCCCCCATGCTGTTCTTGTAATAGTGAGTGAGTTCTCTCAAGATCTGATGGCTTTATAAGCATCTGGCATTTCCCCTGCTTTCACTCATTCTGTCCTGGTGCCCTGTGAAGAAGATTTTTGCTTCTCCTTTGCCTTCTGCCATTATTGTAAGTTTCCTGAGGCTTCCCCAGCAATGTGGAACTGTGAGTCAATTAAACCTCTTTCCTTTATAAATTACCCAGTCTCAGGTATTTCTTCATAGCAGTGTGGGAACAGACTAATACACCATCCCAAAACAAGAGAATATGCATTCTTCTCATCTGAACATGGAAGAAACTCTAAAATGAACCACACGATCAGACACAAAACAATCATCAGCAAATTCAAAAAACTGAAATTGTGCCATCCACACTCTTGGACCACAGGGCGATGAAAAGAGAAACCAATGCTAAGAAAATCATTCAAAATACCACAATTACAGGGAAATAAAATAACATGCTTCTGAATGACTTTGGGGTAAAAAATTAAATAAGGCAAAAAATAAGAAAAATTTTTAAACTAATGCGAACAAAGATACAACATACCAGAATCACTGGGACACAGCTGAATTAGTGCTGATAGGAAAGTTTATAACACTAAATTTTCACGTCAAAAAGTTAGAAAGATCTGAATTTGAAAATCTAACATCACAACTTCATGAACTGAGAAGCAAGAGCAAACCAACCGCTAAGCTATCAGAAGACAAGAAACAACAAAAGTCAGAGCTGAAGTGAAGAAAATTGAGACATGGGAAATTATACAAAAGATCAATGAATCCATTAGTTCTTTGTAAACAGTAATAAGATAGATAATCTGCTAGCTAGACTAGTAAAGAAATAAGAAGATTCACATACACAAAATCTGAAACAACAAAGGGGACATTACCATCAGTTCCAGAGAAATACAAAAAACTTTCAGAGACGACTATGAACACCTCTATGCACAGAAACTAGAAAGCTTAGCAGAAATGGATAGATTCCTAAACACATAGAATCTCCCAAGACTAAACCAGAAATAAATTGAATCCCTGAACAGACGAGCTCTGAAATTGAGGCAGTAATAAATAGACTACCAACAAAAAAAGCCCAGGACCAGATGGATTCCCAGCCAAATTCTACCAGATGTGCAAAGAAGAGCTGATACCTTACCAACTGAAATAATTCCAAAAAAATGAGGAGAAGGAACTTCTCCCTAACTCATTCTACGAGGCCAGCATCATCCTGATACTAAAATCTGGCAGAGACACAACAAAAAACAAAACTTCAGACAAATATCCTTGATGAACATAGATGCAAAAATTCTCAACAAAGTACCGGCAAACCGATTCCAGCAGTACCTCAAAAAGCTAATCTACCGTATCAAGTAGGCTTTATCTCTGGGAAGCAGGGTTGGTTCAACATATGAAAATCAATAAATGTGATTCTTCACATAATCAGAACTAAAGAGAAAAACCACACAATTATCTGAGTAGATGCAGAAACAGCTTTTGATATAACTCAACATTCCTTCATGTTGAAAATCATTAATAAACTAGGAATTGAAGGACTATGCTTCAAAATATTAAGAGCCATCTATGACAAATCTACAGCCAACATCATAGTGGGCAAAAGCTGGAAGCATACCCTCTGAAAACTGGAATGAGACAAGGATGCCCTCTGTCACCACTTCTATTCAACACAGTACTGGAAGTCCTGACCAGAGCAATCAGGCAAGAGAAAAAAATTAAAAAGCATCCCAATAGGAAAAGAGAAAGTCAAATTATCCTTATTTGCAGATTACATGATTCTGTATCTAGAAGACCCTACAGTCTCTGGCTAAAACCTGTTATCTGACAAACAACGTAAGCAAAGTTTCAGTATACAAATCAATGTACATACATCAGTAGCATTCTTATACAGCAGTGCCATCCAAGCTGAGAGCCAATGCCACTAAAAGAATAAAATACCTAGAAATACAGCTAACCAAGGAGGTTAAAGATCTCTACAATGAGAATTACAAAATGCTGCTCAAAAAATCAGGGATGACACAAACAAATGGAAAAACATCCCATGCTTATGGATAGGAGGAAGCAATATCATTAAAATGGCCACACTGCCTAAAGCAATTTATAGATTTGCCACACTGCCTAAAGCAATTTATAGATTCAATGCTATTTCTTTCTTTCTTTCTTTTTTGAGACAGAGTCTTCCTCTGACACCCAGGCTGGAGTGCAATGGCACAATCTCAACTCACTGCAACCTCCGCCTCCTGGGCTCAAGCAATTCTGCTGCCTCAGCCTCCCAAGTAGCTGGGATTACAGGCGTCCACCACCGCAGCCAGCTAATTTTTGTATTTTTAGTAGAGATGGGGTTTCACCATGTAGGCCATGAACTCCTGACCTCGGGTGATCCACCCGCTTCGGCCTCCCAAAATGCTGGGATTACAGGAATGCTATTTCTATCAATGTACCAATGACATTCTGCACAGGATGAGAAAAAAACTATTTAAAAATGCATATGGAAATGAAAAAGAGCCTGAATAGCTAAGGCAATCGTAAGCAAAAAGAACAAATCTAGAGACATCACGTTACCTGACTTCATACTCTATTACAAGGCTACAGTAACCAAGACAGCATGGTATTGGTACAAAAACAGACACATAGACCAATAGAGTAGAATAGAGAGCCCAGAAATAATTCTGCACACCTATAATCATCTAATCTTTGATAAAGGTGACAAAAAACAAGCAAGGAGGAAATTATTCTCTATTCAATAAATGGGCCTGGGTTAACTGGCTGGCCATATGCAGAAGATTGACAATTGATGCCTTCTGTACACCACAGACAAAAATCAGCACAAGATAGATTAAATACTTAAATTCAAAACCTAAAAATGTAAAAATCTTGAAAGAAAACCTAGGATATATTATTCTGGACATAGGAACAGACAAATATTTTATGACAAATACATCAAACCAATTGCAACAATAAAAACATTGACAAATGAGACATAATTAAACTAAAGAGCTTTTTACAGAAAAAAAACAACTATCAACTGAGTAAAAAGACAACCTACATAATGGGAGAGAATTTGTGCAAACTATATATCCAACAAAAGTCTAATATTTAGCATTTATAAGGAATTTAAACAAATTTACCAGAAAAAATGATCCTATTAAAAAGTTGGCAAGGGATATGAACAGACACTATTCGAAAGAAGACATACATGTGGCCAAAAATCTTATGAAAACTAACATCACTGATCATAAGATAAATTCAGATAAAAAGCACAATGTGATACCATCTCACACCAGTCAGAATGGCCTTTATTAAAAGTCATAAAGTAACAAATGCAGGTTAGGTTGCAGAGAAAAAGGAATGCTTATAATGTGTTGGTGGGAGTGTAAATTAGTTCAACCATTGTGAAAGACAGTGTGGCGATTCCTCAAAGACCTAAAAACATAAATAGCATTCAACCCTCCAACCCATTACTGGGTATATACTCAAAGGAAAATATATCATTCTATCATAAAGACACATGCACACATATGTTAATGGCAGCACTACTCACAGTAGCTAAGACATAGAATCAACCCAAATGCCCATTAATGGTAGATTGGATAAAGAAAATGTGGTACATATGAATCATGTTATACTATGCAGCCATAAAAGAGAACAAGATCATGTCCTTTGTAGGAACATGGATGAAGCTGGAAGATGTCATTCTAAGGAAACTAACTCAGAAACAGAAAAATGAATATCACATGTTCTCAGTTATAAGTGGGAGCTAAATGATGAGAACACATGGACACAAAGAAAGAAACAGACACTGGGGCCTACTTGAGGAGGGATGGTGGGAGGAGGCAGAGGATAAGAAAAAAATACCTGTTGAGCACTATGCTTATTACCTGGGTGATGAAATCCTCTTTACACCAAATCCCTGTGACGTGCAGTTTATCTACATAACAATCCTTCACATACACCCCTCAATCTAAAATAAAAGTTATAATTAAAAAATAAAGATTAATTAAAAAGTGAGAGCCAATGCCTCTAATACATATCAGATATGTATTTACAAAATACATATATGACAAAAAGTTTGCATTCGAAATGCTCAAAGAACCCTTAAAATCCAATAATAAGAAAACAAACAACCCAATTCAAAAGTGTGCAGAAGGTCTGACCAAACACCTCATCAGTAAAGATGTATAGATGGTAAATATGCAAATGAAAAGCAACATATGCGTCATTAGGGAAGTGCAAATTCAAACAAAAATGAGATACCACTGTATAGGTGTGAGAAATGCTAAATCACAATTGCTGACTATACCAAATTCTGGTTAATATGTGCAGTAAAAGGAATTCTCATTCTTTCCTGTTAGGAATGCAAAGTGGTACAGGAACTTTGGAAAATAGTTCAGAAGTTTCTTTAAAAACTACATGTAGAGTCTTGTAGTTCTACCCAGCAATTGTGCTCCTTTGTATTTACCCAAATGAATGAAAATGTGTGCCTAAACAAACACCTACTTGTGAATGTTTTTAGTAGCTTTATTTGTAATTGCTAAAAATTTGATAAGATATCCTTAAATAGGTAAATGGATAAACAAATTGTTGTATATCCTTACAATGGAATGTTATTCACTAATAAAATAAATAAGCTATCAAGCCACAAAAACATATAGAGGAACTGTGAAAGCATATTATTAAGTGAAAGAGGCCAGTCTGAATAGGCTACATACTGTATCATTCCAACTACATGGCATTCTAGAAAGTGCAAAGATATGGAGATAGTTAAAAGATCTATTGCCTCTAGACATTTGGGGTGGGAGGGGCGCGATTAATAGGTAGAGTACAGGGAATTTTTATGGTAGTAAAACTCTTCTGTATGTTACTATAACATTCACTGGATATAGGACATTATCTATTTGGCAAAAGCCATATATCTATACAGCACAAAGAGTAGCCCTGAAATAAACTATTGACTTTAGTTAATAATAAAGTATCAATATTGGTTCATCAATTATAACAAATGTACCACTCCAATGCAAGATTTCAATAATAGGTTAGTTGTCAGCAGGAGGGGTTCGGTGGAGAGGGAATATATGGGGAATCTCTGAACTTCTTAATTTTTCTGTACACTTATAAATGCTCTTAAAAATAAAATCCATTAATTAAAAAAATGGAAAAACAGTCATTTGATTACCGTAAAGTTATGATTGTTAGAGAAAAGAGAAAGTTCAGTCCCTATAAAAAATAGTTTGCTTTTGATTTTCTCTTCTGCAAATTATTTAACATTAATCCTTTGTCGAGAGTGCTGTTTTAGCTGAAAAACATATTTTTAATTGTGTCTTTATGCTGAGAATTTATCCAGAATTTGATTATTAGTTATTTCCTATTTAGATACCCCAGAAAAATCTCAGAAAGATAAAAAGGACATATTGCTTAGTAGAAATGAGAATCAGAGGGAAGAAAGGATACTAACATATCCATTTACCTAATGATACGAATTGAATTTACGGTAGTTGTCTAAGAGATGTGATAAAATAAAATAAGGTTAAAATAATTCCAGCCTCAATGATTTTAATGTAATATAAACAAGCCAGCAAGTAGGTATACACTATTCATTCATTTTCAGTAGGTTTAAGAATAATGACTGGTAACAAAACCTTAAATGTTTAGATGATATTTTTTGAGGCAGTCAATAATCTTAAAGGTAGCAGTCTTGGGAACTTATTATGAGATAGATAAGTCATGATGGACCAGTTGACTGACTTAATATCTAAGGACACACAGTTATAGGAAAACTTTTCTCAACTAGATTATAACTCAATTTTTTCTTTACTTAGTTTAGTTAAAAGCAAGTAACGTGATAAACCAGTATCAAATATTTATTTTAAAAATTTAACTTCTGTTACACTTAACAATCAGAACATTTAGACTAACATCATAAACCTATTTTCAGTGTCAAAACTTTATGCACAAAATAGTGGGCCCTCAAAGCACTGGTTAGTCTGTCATAAGAAATATTTAAAGTAAGGTATATATAGTGACCGTAAATATAGTGCATGAAAATACAGGTATCTTTTCATGAAAGAAATTATAAGATTTTAAAAAGTGGGATTAAAAATTATTTATCAATAATCTATTATGCATATATTTCAAATTGCATAACATCTTGTCATTTGAAATATATATATGACATGTAAGCCTATTAAACTGTACATGTATTTGAATATCAAACATAAGAAATCATCCTCTAATTTCAAACTGTCATTAGCATACTTTCATATTTCATCACAATCTAGAAAATAGAATTCACATGTCACAGACATTTTCTAAATAAACTTTTACAGAGGTGAAATAATTTGTATTGTTATAATGTGAACATACTGGGCATTCTATGAAATTGGTATTATTTTAAAAGGTTGTCCCCGTTTAAAAAGAGAAAAAAATTCCCTGAAAGTTTTTGAGCTCCACTCTTAACCTGATTTATCATTATTATTAAGAAAATGTATGAAAGAATATAATGAATTTTAGAAAGCTTTGCTTATTCTGTGTAGTGCCATAAAGTAAAATAGAAAAAAATAAGATTAAAGTGGTTATGTGCAGAAAATTTGCAAATATCAACTGAAATTTACTAAATTAAACTTCCTGTTGGTTGTGCAAATCTTAGTTCACACTGTAATTTTAATTCCCTGCAGTTCACACCTATATTAATACTTGAATTTCTAAATATGTGTAATTATTAATTTTTAGAACAAATTTACATCTAAATATTAAAAATTGGAAGTTTTCCTACTAGGAATAACTGTACACACACACACACACACACACACACGGACTTAACTCTAAGTTTCATCCACCTCCCCAACTCCCAGGGAGAGCTAAAGCATTTTGAAAAAAATATTTTTAAAAAGGCCCTTCTTTCAACTAGAAAGGTTGAGGATTCCTGCACATATATATATATATATTTACTTTAAAAAGCCCCTGTCAAATAAAAAGGTTGAGGATACTACTTTTACTCTGCATTTAACCCTCAAGCAATATGAAGTAGCATAAAAAGTATGGGGAACATAATATTTCAGTTCTGGTTACAGTTCTGCCTATATCATTCCCCTCTACAAGTCCCTTATCATTTGGTTTCTTCAGAGAAATGGAGTTCTCAGACTATAACCAAACTTCAATCTCATTTATGCTTCTATGAAATAAACCTTCTATAATCTATGACAGTATGTATCTATATTTCTAAGGTATCTTCTAATATACTGTCATAGGGTGCTGTATTTGACAAAGTCTCATGAGCAAATATTATTTTTCCTCGGTTTATTATTACATTTTATCACAAGGACTCAACTAGATCTTTGAGCAGAAATACTGGAATTATGTTCGAATATGAGCTGTGTGATTTTTTTCTCATTTTCATAGCCACAATAAGGTGACCCAGAACTAAATCAGAACATTTCACAATATTCTGAGGAAGTATCACTAGGACTAAAAAGAATGATGGCTAAACAAATACTGCCAAATTCAGGCACAAAACTATTATTTATACCATATATCTGTCAAGTTTTTTGCCTTAGAACAGAAGATTGTACCTAAGGAGAAGCTTTTTTTCCAGTTACATGTAATCGGGCACATTGTACCCAAACAACTTTGGCAAAAAGGAGGAGGAGATTCTGAGAAGTGGAAAGTGTTGCTGTTTCCTAAAGTCGACAATTTCATTAGTATGAGAAATGCTAGCACAAGCTTTATAATTGTTTTCAACTTTTCTTTCTGATAGAATTTATGAACAATAGCTATACTATGTTACTGTGTCAAAAGACTTAGGGGATGAGAACTTGTGAGTTAAACAAGACTCTTAGAATAAAGCTTGTGATTTGAGCTTCATTACTTTACCAAGACAATAAAATAAAGTATATTTTACTAGGTAAATTATTACCAACTAGAGGATCCCAATGGCAACTGTTACTTCTCCCTGGCTTGTCTCAAATTCTGCTTATTTAGTTTACCAGAAGTCTCAGCAGAGAAGAAACTTCTCTGCTCCACATTTTAGACCAGGATACATGAGTACTGGTATATTTGCAATAGCTCATGCACATGCATTCACATGTTCACAGCGTGCGTGCGGATGCACACACACACACACACACACACACACACACACACACACACGGACTTAACTGTAAGTTTCATCAATCAAATCATCCATCTCCCCAGCTCCCAGGAAGTGCTTAAGCATTTTGGAAAACAATAATCAAAAACCTCCGTCTTTTAACTGAAAAGGTTGAGGATTCCATCAGTAAATGAAAACTAAGACGTTAACTGCAAAAACTATTTTTTAAATAGCACTGCGTTTTAAAATAGGAGATCTATTCAATTACAGCTATAACATTTTTCACACATCAGTTTACTCAAACAGCTTTGTTTTACAGGTGTGAAAATTAAACATACTTCAGTAATACATTACTACAATGTTTAAAACATAATAATAATTCACTTTTTCACATTTTGTGAAAATATGACAGGCCTCATCAGAAAACTGTAGTAAAATGTACATAGAAAACTCAGATGATATTTCATATTTATCCACTCTCAGGAGCTTACCAACTATATTTTCTTTTATTTTTCCTTAGTCTAATTCCGGCCAGTTGCCTATAGCTCTGCAAATGAGTCAATCAGCAGTCACCGAACACTAATAACATTTTTTCAGTCCCAATAGCCTTCAAATTAGAACAGTAATGGTCATGAATGCTATGCCACAGAAATAAAAACTATAAAAAAGGTTCATAATTATCATATGAAAAAATGTTTGATTGTAACTTTACATAAAATCTCTCATTTTCTTCTGTCAAACTACAGAAATAATTTTATATTGCCATAAAATACCACAATCACATAAAGCAATATTTGATCAATTAGAGGCTTTCAAACTCTTTTAAAATGACATTGTTCTCTGACATTTTCAGCTTATATGTTTTCCATATTCTAGATTAATATTAAATAGAGTGTCTTACGGTACATAATTTACTTTGTTTTTTTACCTGCTAGAAAATCATCAATGAAAATACAACCTAATTGCATTGACAGGGAAACAGCAAAATCTCTGATAATTAATGTGCATGAAAGTTTCTGTTTATATAGATGAGGAGAAAAAAATTTACCTATTGCACGTGGTTAGACCCTAGAGGAAATATATTAAGAAAAGTAACTTATTTGAAAAATTACTTCAAACACATAAATGAAGAATTAATTGAGTGACTAAAAGTAGATATAAAGTGTCATCAATTCAGTCACAAAACTCTAATTATTTTTACTCATACTGGTTTTCCAGAAATATTATGTGTGAATTTTGTTGAATAGTTTTTGGGATATCACTCCTCCAAAATGAAAAATGTGATTGGTACAAGAAGTATTATGAATAATTCTGAATAAAAGAGAGAGGGATACAGGTCAGTCCCTCAAGTCATATTGGTTAAACTCTGAGGATATGTAATGTGTGTGTGTTTGTGTGTAATCTTGAATTATTCATATAATAAAGTATGACATATTTTAAATTATTTTGGATAAGTTCAAAAATTCTCCTATGATGGTTTATAGATAAGTAGAGCATTTGGTAGCAATCTAACTGAAACCAGCATATTCGGATGCTAGTGATGTCGCTTGTGGTCATTTAAAATACAATACTCGTCCAGGCGTGGTGGCTCAAACATATAATCCCAGCACTTTGGGAGACCGAGGTGGGTGGATCACCTGAGGTCAGTAGTTCGAGATCAGCCTGGTCAACATGGTGAAACCCCGTCTCTACTAAAAATACAAAAAAAAAAAAAAAAGGCTGGGTACGGTGGTGCGTGCCTGTAACTCCAGCTACTTGGGAGGCTGAGGCAGGAGAATTGCTTGCACCTGAGAGGTAGAGGTTGCAGTGGCCTGAGATCGTGCCACTACATTCCAGCCTGGTTGACAGAGGGAGACTCTGTCTGAAAATAAATAAATACATACATACTCAAGTAACACAGTACTATAAATCAAACATCTTTAATGTGAATAAATACTTCTAAAGTTGAAACAATATATAGTCAGTCACTTAGAAAATGAAGATATTTAGTTATTGCGTTGCTTGAATCAAGTAACAGCTTAACATGCTCTTACAATATATACCAATAATCCCTTCTATTTTCATCAAAGCCCATGAAGACTTTCTGGAAATAATAAAACTGCCACATTTGGTCATTCTATTGTATTTTATCAAATATGTAGGTCTTGCTTAGGAGCTATGCAAAGAAAGACTATACTACGGGGTCTTTTATTTATGTCTTTCTTTCAATATATCTTTCACATTTTTTGGTCCATGAAACTGGGGCTTTGTGTAGTTTTACCAAAATTGCATCTGACTCTACACTATGGCCTCATGACATACCTATCTTTCAACAGAATATAGTTTTGTTGGGTTGATATTGATTCATTCAAGGAGTACAAAACTATCTTTCTCCACATATGTGTTTGCCAAAATATTAATAAATATTAAAAATGGGAAAAAAAGAAAAATTTCTGATCTCAGGCCCACAGCATTTTTCCATATACGTGTTATTTCAAATATATTACAAAACCATGACAGTATAGCTGAGAGGCTGCCAATAACTTTAGATAATTTTCTGAAAATCATTTCTTGAGGATCACACTGACTCTGTGGTTTTATAATAATTATATACAATAGTAGATTACACCTAAACTTAGTCTTTCTTTTCATTCTCTAACAAATAATTTGTAGGAATTAAAGAAAATATTGCTGACTTTTACATTTTTGAAAAATCACCTAGACCCTTTTCACTATTTTTGGCAATGTTCACTTAGTTTAAAGTGACCACATTATGCTCAATGTGAACTTTATTTCTTTCATCCAAAAGTTAGGGCACTTAATTATTTCTTAGTATCTGTTAACTGAGGCCTTGACTTCTCCTCTGAGACCTCCTGCTTTCTGCAGAGGGACCAATTCATACTGTTGTTTGGTGCTTCTATTCATTTCATTCTGACTTTTCCCTGGTCATCCTTCTTGATAAAAAATTACGTTTTATTGATACTCAGAGGCTGTTCAATGAAACAAAGGATTTTGTATCTTGTAATGAGTTGTATACTATAAAGTAAAAGTCTAAGATGAACTTTGGGACTTGGGAGATGAAGTTCAGCATCAACAAAATGAGAGTAGCATACAGAAAGGACATTTTGAAAATTATATTTAGAATCACAATTCAGTTTGAGCTGCTTTCTCATTTTTTAAACTTTGCCTTCAATTTAACCAAGTTGCAAAATACCAATTTAATACTCTGGCCATGGAATATAATTAAGATCTTACACTTAGGTGTGATAACTTTTAGCCCAAAGGATGAAAAAGAACCTTAAGTTTATAAAGTGAGTAATGGACATATTAGAGGTGAAACCCCATCAACCAGGACGAAACAGTGATACATGGATTAAAATGCTCCTAAACTAAAACTTTAATGTGTGCAATTCATATTTTCAAAATTGCATGGGGGCATTAATCTCTATACAACAAGTTTTCTGGATTAAAACTTCCACTTCCTGAAGTAGTTAAATGTAAATCAAAGCTGAGGTAGTGATCCTTCTTAGGAGGTAATGAAAATTTATATTGTTTAACTATGTCATATTTTCAAATGGAACCTGAAAATTGAGGTTCCTAAAGATACAAGAGATGAACATCCAAGCCAGGAGACTAAAGCAGTGTACAAAAATAATTATTTAGCTAAGAGAGCCATAAATAGTCAGGTATAGGGTTGAAGTAAAGCAATGGCTTAGAAAGGATATAGCCATTATTTTTGTGGCATCCTATAACACCAACGCTACTAATTATATCTTGCCTGTCCATCTGCCACACTCTACATACACAGAACTTCAGGTGTCCAGTATGCATTAAGGACAAACATTGTGGTGACCCATTCCCAACATTCAATAAATCTGCCAATTTTGTGAAGGCAGGAACTGTGACTACAAACCTTAACAACTAGCAGGTGCTGACATATAGTAGGTGCTTAATAAATATATTTTAATTGAAAGAAATTAACAAATGTATCCAAAATATTACAGTTATCAGCAATTTTCCAGAGTAATCTTTTTAGGTACTTTTCCTTCGGTTCTGGCACTGACCTGTTGACTAGTAGGGTCACATTTGAATGGTATGATCAGAGTGTTAGATTTACTTCAGATGAAGGGAAGAAAAGAAACTTAGGCCTGGTGTGGTGGCTTATGCCTGTAATCCCAGCATTTTGGGAGGCTGAGGCGGGATGGATCACCTGAGGTCAGGAGTTCGAAGCCAGCCTGGCCAAGGTGGCAAAACCCCGTCTCTACTAAAAATATAAAAAATTAGCTGGGCGTGGTGGCATGTGCCTGAAGTCCCAGCTACTCAGGAGGCCGAGGCACGAGTATCGCTTGAACCCCAGAGGTGGAAGTTGCAGTGAGCCAAGATTGTGCCACTGCACTCCAGCCTCGGTGACAGAGTGAGACTCTGTCTTAAAAAAAAAAAAAAAAAAAAAAAACCAGGAAAATTAAGGTAGTTTCATTTTATTTTAAAACATTGATTAGGGCTATATAAAACAAAAATTTTGAAGTGTATCTGCTATCAGTTTCTGCTTCATCAATGAGCTGATTTATCTCTATTAAACAAACACGCTCAAACCTTACCATTCTCTTCTCTCCTTCAGTTTTTCCAAAGCTGTTTATTTACCTCTGGTTGGCTATTTCAGTTTTCTCCTGATTAAAGCATAAGTGATAAATATATATTTGATGTCTTTTTAAAGATGGGATTTTGAGCCCTAAATATCCTTAAATTTACTCAGCATAATTCTACTTTCTACTGCCTCCCAGTTCCATAGATACTATATCATGTGGCTTTCTTTCTACTTTAATTAGGGAGATCGATGGGGAGATTACCATTTCAACAGTACCTAATTTACTATTTTATGGTGTGAAAGGAAAAGAAATCTTGGGACCCCAAAATCACTCAGCCAAAGGGAAGAGTCAAGCTGGGGACTGCATTGGGAAAATCTGCCTCCCAGTCTATTCCTAAGTAAGATAGCTACAAAGATAAAAAAGCTGCACATCTCCTTCACAATTTGCTCACAAAGAAATTCCTTATGGACAAAGGACAGACAGAATTCAAAGTCATCCCTCTGCTGACGTGGGACAAATGCATATCTCATTGCTTCCTTTGCCCTATTGTTTCACTAAGCCAGACTAAGGCATAAGTGACTGTAAATTGCATATTCAGTGGAAGGCTAATCAGAGACTCAAAAGAATGCAACCCTTTGTCCTTTGTCTATCTGTGACCTAGAATCCCCTCACTTCTGGTTTTCCAACCTTTCTGGACATATATTGATTGATGTCTCATGTCTCCCTAAAATGTATAAAACAAAGCTCTGCTCCAACCACCTTGGGCAAATGTCGTCAGGAACTCCTGAGGTTGTTTCACAGGTGCGTCCTTAACCTTGGCAAAATAAACTTTCTAAATTGATTGAGACTTGTCTAAGATACTCATGGTTTACAACGGTTACCTCCCAAGTAAATAATATCACATGGCTGCTTAGGGGCACAACTCTCTTATTCTTTCTGCACATATAAACAAAACAAAATATCTTGAACCTGATAAATAGGCTTCTTCACAGCTTATAAGAACTCTAGTCTTCTTTGCTAATGGCAAAGTGTTTGAAAGCCTCAAATTCTGGTGATGCTAGAAGTACAAATGACAAACTAAAATAGCCTTGACATACTTGCTAGCTAAACCACAATAGGAATTAATATGCCACACACAAACACTATTATTTTGATGGCATGCCATTTTTTGTTTTATAAAAAAACCTTAATCATTTTCCCAATCAGTGGCTCTGAAATCGGAAACATCCCAAAACATTTTCTGATATCTGCAAGCCTGGTAATGGCTGTTGAAGGTTTTGAAGGAAATGGCATTTTGCATGAAAGTATTTTAACTCCCTTTCAACTAAATCATGTAACAGATGGAGGTGAGGAAGGGTGTTTGTACTAGTAGAGAAAATAATTGAAATGAGAACAGAAAAAAAGGCAGATGATTTGTCGGGAGCTCATACAATATTTTAGAGTACCAAACCAACAACTAAAAGGAAGAATTGCATTTCCAAATTGTTTGGTATGATTGTAAAGCAATAAGACAATTTTCTAAAGCTAGTGTTTCCTAACATTTTTATTTAGCAGAGCCCCTTTATCTACCAAAAATCACTGTCATAACCCAGGTTCTAAACCTTCTCCAAGAAAAGTTTTCCTTTAGGAACTATGCTCCTCGCCTCACTTTATTTCAAGTCAGAATAGCACCTATAGCTCTTCCCAAGGACTCAAAAGCTCAGAAAAGCATGTTAGCAAGAATTTCTACAATTTTATCATAGATATACCGTTGGTGGATGAACAAATTGAAATTTATGTTTCACTGTGACCACTGGTTTCTGCACATTTTTGTCGATCATTGACATAATTTTTAAAGATAACTAATATTGAACAAGTTTAGCACTTATCTCAGGTTGATTACTAGTATCTAGTCTCCTTTCTTAATAGAAAAATGAATGTGTGTTTACCTCAGTTTTTCTTTTTAAATTCTTTCAAAGTTACTCAAGCTCATAGACTGGTTAAAACTGGTTTTAAAAGGCAAAAGCCAAAACTATAAGAACCCTAGAAGACAACCTAAACAATGCCGTTCTGCAAATAGGAAAGGGCAAAGATTTCATCATAAAGAAATCAAAAACAATTGCAACAAAAGCAACAATCGACAAATGGGATCAATGTAATTAAAATAAAGAGCTTCCGCAGAGTAAAGGAAACTACCAAGACAGTGAATCGACAGCATACATAATGGGAAACATTTCTGCAATCTATACATCTGGCAAAGGTCTAATATCCAGCATTTATAAGAACCTTAAAAAATGTCCAAGAAAATAAAAACAAACACCAACATTAAAAAGTGGACAAAGAACATGAGCAGACACTTTTCCAAAGAAGACATGCATGCAGGCAACGATCATATAAAAAAAGCTCAACATCACCGATCATTATAGAAATGCAAATCAAAACAACGAGATACCATCTCACACCAATCAGAATGGCTATTCAAAACTCAACAAACAGCAGTTTCTGGCAAGGTTGCGGGGAAAAGGGAACACTTATACACTCTTGGTGGGAGTTAAATTAGTTCAACAATTGTGGAAGACAGTGTGGTGATTCCTCAGAGACCTAAAAATATAACTACCATTTGGCCCAGAAATCTCATTACTCGTTATATACCCACAGAAATATAAAATGTTCTATTATGAAGACACATGCATGCACTCATATGTTCATTGAAGCACTATTTGCAATAACAAAGATGTAGAATCAACTCAAATGCCCATCAGTGGTAGGCTGGATAAAGAAAATGTGGTACATATACACCATGGAATATTATGCAGCTATAAAAAAAAGAACATGTTCTTTGCAGCACCCTGGGTAGAACTGGACATCATTATCTTTAGCAAATTAATGCAGGAACAGAAAACCAAATACTGCTTGTTCTCACTTATAAGTGGGAGCTAAATGATGAGAACAAATGCGCACATAGAGAGGAATGACACAACACTAGGGTCTATAGGAGAGAGAAAGGTGGAAGGAGGGAGAGGATCAGGAAGAATAACTAATGGATACTAGACTTAATACCTGGGTGATGAGATAATCTGTACAACAAACCCCCATGCAATAAATTTACCTATGTAACAAAGATGCACATCTATCCCTTAACTTAAAATAAAAGTTAAATTGTAAAAAAGAAAAAGAAAGTGATTCCTTGCCACCTTATCCCCCAAAGACATTCTATTTTCAACTATTTGACTGATTTATTTGGTATTTAAATGAATACATGAAAATAACTTGCTTATATTACTACTTGATGATTTTCAGCTTTAAACATTATGTAATAATTTTTTCACTAAAGATAAGAAAACCTTAATCCTCTTTTTCCTGTCTGTTCCCAACACTAATGCTGAGTTAAAATAATATATCCTCCCATTGTACCTATATGAATATTTGATTGATATCAATATCTGTGGCTTATATCACTATGAAAACTATGTACCGTACCATTTACAATGCAGCCATGTAATATACTATGAATATCTTTTATTTTATGCCTAAGTTTTTAAATTCTTATTGGATTTAATCATTATATTGAATTTTTAGTTGCTTAATTTATTGTGTTATTATTAGTGTCTTAAAAGGCAATGCCTTCCCTCATTTTGTAATTAGCTTCCTAGTCTATTCCAACACTAATAATCCATTGTCTTCTAATAATCCATTGTCTTCAAGTATCTCTAAGGGCTTCTGGCCTATTAAAGTCGGGAGTGGCTGCTCTCTAAACCCACTGAAAGCACTTGTCTTGTAATTTCTCTTCACCCTCACCGTGGGTTTTTCTATTTCTCTTTTGAATCCTCTCTTTCTTAGATACTAAGTCTTCTGTGTCTTGGTAGAGCCCATCCCATCCATTAGTAATTTCCTGGAAAGAGTGCATGAAAGTTTATTTTCAGAGACAATGCCTATGTGTAAGTATACTAATTCACCCTCACACTGGACTAGTAGTCCATATTTAGAATTCTAGACAGGCAATTATTATTCTTGAGAATTTTGATGACACCTTTCATGTATTTTCTAGCTTCCAATGTTACTATTGGGAAGTTTAACCCCTTTCTGATTATTTTTTGAATTAAATGAAGAAATATGTTTGTCTATTTTGCAAGTCTCTGAATGCTTTAGGGTTATATCTTTGTCTTTAATGTAATACAATTTCAAAATAGTAGTTAAGATTCCTTGATATGGTTTGGCACTGTGTCCCCACCCAAATCTCATGTTGAATTGCAATCCACTATGTTGAGGGAGACACCTGGTGGGAGGTGATTGTATCATGGGGGCGGATTTCTCCCTCACTGTTCTCGTGATAGTGAGTTCTCGTGAGATATGGTTGTTTGAAAGTGTGTAGCACTTCTCCCTTTGCTCTCTTTCTTCTGCCATCATATGAAGACATGTTTGCTTCTTCACTCTTCTGCCATGATTGTAAGTTTCCTGAGGCCTCCCAAGTCATTCCCTATACAGCCTTGTGGAACTGTGAGTCAGTTAAACCTCTATCCTTTATAAATTACCCACTCTCAGGTAGTTCTTTGTAGCAGTGCAAGAACAAACTAATAAAGAACATTGGTACCAGAGAAGTGGGACATTGGAATAAAGAGACCTGAAAATGTAGAAGCGACTTTAGAACTTGGTAATGGGCAGAGACTGGAACAGTTTGGAGGCCTCAGAAGAAGACAGGAAGATGAGGGAAAAGTTGGAACTTCTTAGAGACTTGATAAATGGTTTTGAACAAAATATTGGCAGTGATATGGACAGTGAAGCTCAGGCTGAGCAGGTCTCAGATGGAGATAAGGAACTTATTGGGAACTGAAGTAAAGGTGGCTCTTGTTATGCTTTAGCAAAGAGACTGGTGCCATTGTGCCCATGTTCCAGAGAACTGTGGAACTTTGAGCTTGACAGAGATAGTTTAGGATATCTGGTGGAAGAAATCTCACAGCAACAAAGCATTCAAGATGTGGCCTGGATGCTTCTAAAGCCTATACTTATTTGCATAAACACAGAAATTGCCTGAAACTAGAACTAATATTTAAAAGAAATGTAGAGCATAGAAGTTTGGAAAATTTGCAACCCAGCCATGTGGTAGAAAAGAAAAACCCATTTTCACAGGAGAAATTCAAGCCTGCAGCAGAAATTTGCACAAGTAAAGAAGAGCCAAATGTTAGTAGCCAAGGTAATGGGGAAAATGCCTCCAAGCCATTTCAGAGACCTTCACAGTAGCCCCTCCCATCAAAGGCTTGAGCGCCTAGGAGGGAAAAATGGTTTAGTGGCCCTGGTCCCTGCTGCTCTGGACAGCCTCAGGTCATTGTGCCCTGCATCCCAGCCACTTCAGCTCCAGGTGTGCATAAAAGGGCCCCAGATATATCCAGGCCACTCTTTTAGAGGGTGCAAGCCACAAGCCTTGGCAGCTTCCATGTGATGTTTAGCCTGGGGGTGTGCAGAGGGCAAGAGTTGAGGCTTGGGGGCGTCTGCATAGATTTCAGATCATGTATGAAAATGCCTGGATGTCCAGGCAGATGTCTGCTGCTGGGGCAGAGCCCTCATGAAGAACCTCTACTAGGGCATTGTGGAAGGGAAATGTGGTGTTGGAACCCCCACACAGAGACCCCACTGGGGCACTGCATAGTGAATCTGTGAGAAGCGGTCCACCATCCTCCATACCCCAGAATAGCAGATCCAGCAACAGCTTGCACTGTGTGGCTGAAAAAGCTGCATGCACTTAATGCCAACCTGTAAAAGCAGCCATGGGGGGCTTTACCCTGAAAAGCCACAGACTCAGAGCTGCTCAAGGCCTTGGGAGCCCACCCCTTGTGTCAGTGTGGCCTGGATGTGAAACATGGAGTTAAAAAAGATTATTTTGGAGCTTTAAGACATAAGGCTGCCCTTCTGTGTTTCAGACTTGCATGAGGCCTGTAGCTCTTTTGATTTGGCTGCTTTCTCCCTTTTGGAATGGGAGCATTTACCCACTGCCTGTACCTCTATTGTATCTTGGAAGTAACTAACTGTTTTTTTGTGGGTTTTTTTTTTGTTGCTGTTGTTGTTGTTTTGTTTGTTTGCTTTTTACAGGCTTATAAGTGGAAGGTACTTGCCTTGTCTCAGATGAGATTTGGAATTTGTTAGACTTTTGATTTAATGCTGAAATGAGTTAAGACTTTGTGGGACTGTTGGCAAGTTATAATTGTGTTTTGAAATGTGAGAAGGACATGAGATTTGGGAGGGGCCAGGGGCAGAATACATGCTTTGGATTTGTGTCCCCATTCAAATCTCATCTTTATTTGTAATCCTCAGTGTTGGGGGAGAGACCTGGCGGGAGGTGATTGGATCATGGGGGCAGATTTCTCCCTTACTGTTATCATGATAGTGAGTTCTCATAAGATCTGGCTGTTTGTAGGTGTGTAGCATCTCCTCCTCTGTTCTCTGTCTCTCCTGCCACCATGTGAAGATGTGCTTGCTTCTCCTTTACCCTTCTGCCACGATTGTAAGTTTCCTGAGGCCTGCCCAGTCATGCCTCCTATACAGCCTGTGGAACTGTGCCTCAATTAAACATCTTTTTTTAATTACCCAGTCTAAGATAGTTCTTTATAGTAGTGTGAGAACAGATTAATACAGTCCTTGAGATCAAATCACTGTTCTGTGTAATCTTGACCTAATTATTTAACCATTGTGAAGGTCTTACATGTAAATTAACCTCATCTTTAAAAATGAGCATCATAATAACATGCACATCTTGGAGATGTTGAGAGCATTAAAGTGGGTTAATTACATGAAAAGTGTTTAGAACAATGGCTGGCATGGGGTAAGTACTTGGTAAACATTGTAAGTGTTCATATGGGTCCATTTTCTATCATTGTGCTGGAACTTGATGAACCCAAATAATATGGAAGCTCATATATTTTAGAGTGGATAAAATTACCTGAAAAAAACTTTTTGGTAATTTTCTACTCTCTATTTTCTGAGGTCTCCCTCTCTGGAATTTGGACTAACCTCTAATTGTCTTATTTACTTCTCTTACTGTTTAATCCATCTGTTTGTTTTATTTTCTAAGATACATTCTCAACTCTATCTCTCAACCACTTTTTTCATTTTTTTCTTCATTTCTTTTCATTTCTCTTAATAAAGTTTTAATTTCTAGGACATTTAAATTTTTTTTCTGAATGTTTTACTTTTATTCCATATGTTCTTATTTCACTCATATATATATATATATATATATATACATGTGTTTGTAAATTTTCTTCTATGTTCATGATCTGTTTCTGCTAATTTGATTATTTGTATACTTTTGGTTTGCTTGTTATGCTCTCTTTCAACCTCTTTGCTTTACTCAAATGCTTGTTAATGCTCACTACATAATTATATTTATGAGTGAAGTGCTGAAACTGATTAGAAGCTCTCTACACAAGGATATGGTTTTTAGACTATGTTCTTCAACGTAGAGTGGTCTGTTTAAGCCAATTTTTAAATTTATCTTAGTTTTTAATTGGTACATAAAATTGTACACATTTATGAGGTGCAGTGTGATATTTAAATACATATATACATTGTATAATAATCCATTCACGATGTTTTGCATGCTTATAGGGAAACCCAATGTCCATATCAATAGATCTCTTTTCTAGGGCAGTATAATCTTCCAGAGAAGTGTGTCCAGTATTTTTTTTTTTTGTGGGTCTTATCCTGGCGGCCATCATTATGGGGTAAGAACCCTGGGGGTCTCAACATTCATTTAGTACATAGCTCCCTGTATTCAAGATCATACAAGTTCACCTCTGCTAGATGTACCTCAGTCATGATACCTCTATTTCATCTTTTCTAAAGAATAAAACTTCAGCCTTCTGCTGAAGTTGGGAAGACAAAGGTTTTGTACGTTGAGAGGAGAAATAAGATTTTATTTTATTTTATTACTATTTTATTTTACTGTATAGTTTTTAGATCTACCCTGCCATTTTCAGCTCAGCTTGCCTCACTACTGCCAGAGGTACCTGATGTTTGCAATTCCTAAACTTTGGGAAGATATCTCCACTTTTCCAACTTCTACCTTAAGATTCAGGTTTCCTGGGCCTGCTAAGTCAGTTGTCAATCACCCACCTCATTTTCAGCTTCCAAATTTGTCACTATTTTGTCCCTTTCTATCTTTTTTGTCAATGTATGAATTTTAACAATTTTAAATATTATTATAGGGAGGTTTTATGAACTAGCAGAAATAAATGCATATATCTTGTCTACCATCTTTATCTGTAAGTCTTTCAAAACTACTTTGCAAAATTTTTTGCTGTAATAATTTTATCTTCAATTATATTTGATATATGGACAGAAGTTTAAAGACGTTTCCTATATGCGTCCTTAAACTTTGATTCAGTATGCTATCTAAAGACAAAATAAGCCAATTTCCTGTAACCTGTATGGTAGGTAAAAACTACTCCTTTACTTGGAAGAGGTGTATGATGATTTACATTGCTCAAAACTAAGAACTCTGGTTCACAGTAACAATGCTGTAGAAAACTAAACATGTAAGTTAAAAGAAGTACTAGATTTAACAAATTAAACATAATCAGGGCTCAACAATCTCTTTAGCATACATGCCTTGTAAGCAGAAATGCTAGGAGCATCAAATTTTTAAATTTAACCTGGTTATTATGGTTCTTAAATTAACTATTATAATAATATTTCAATACGGTTATGTTTTGAACTTTTAATAGATAATTATGAAAAGATGGTAAGTAAGGCAGATGCACGGCAAATTATAAATTGATACAACTAATAATGTTATAGTTTCTTAAAAGGACAAATGAAGTGCCTAGATAAAGAAAAAGGTTTCTAAGATTAGAAGGTATATTTCAATAACAATTAAAATATTATATTTCCACTATTTATTTTTAAAAATAATTGTTCCTAAGTTCCTTGATGAATATGCTATGCTGCTTATCTCTTAGCGACTTCAAGCGGCATAAAAAATACATTTTTTCAAACCTCTGAAAATGAATCAAATCTTAAACTAAGTAATTTTTCCAATCTTATTTTCTCTCATAATAATTTTCCTTTAAAAGCAATCCCACTTTATAGGTTTCTTTTTGCTAATGTCTAGTGGCAAAGCAAGACTTTTTTCAAAGTGAAAATTTTAAAAATCACTGATTTGTGGCCAGTAATAAAGACCATTCACCTGTAAAGGGTTATCATGATTAATTAAGTATTAGCTCTGCAGAAAATAATAACCCTCTGTGAAGTTTCTAGTAGTATTAAAGATAAAATCACTAACAGAGTAAAAATCAGAAATAGTTATAAATGCAGCACAACTTTTCATGTCTAATCCATTGTCATCATTTAATAATCATGTGCAAAGAACATATTAACAATAAGAACTGTAAGGTTATTTTTCTATGAACTGGACAAAAATTCAACCCTATTAAGTTCACTTTGGTTTAAAAATGAAATTCAGTATCATTCATGAAGTGTTGGAGGTGTTGCTACCGCTGTATAACCAATTAGTAAATGTGTTAAAATAAAGGATAGTATCCTCTGTCACACTCTCTCTCATTGCCAAAGTTTAAAATCTGTACATTTTTTTGTAAGTAGTATATATTTGGAAGTTTATAAAGATAACTTTTTGGGTCCTTCATATTCTGCATTAAAAGTTATAGTTTAAATATATTTTAACAGCTTAATTGTGACCGATTACCAATTAGCTGAGAACTCTATTTGTTTCACAATTGAGGTCAATGGAGTTGATCATTGAATGCCTTTAAACATTTTGGTCTGACTTGCAGTTTTCAGATGCTAGTGTTATTCAATGACATTAGTATTGTTTAAGGAACCCTCTGTTTGTAGAAATGTTTAATGGCTTTATTTATTTATTCACTTAAAACATTTTTTTGCTGGATGCAGAGGGTATTTTTTATGAATAAAGAGGCTGGCTTAGGAACTTTGGCTTAGGCACCCAGGCCCGGAAGGATTTCAACCACCTAAGCTAAGCAATCAAGTACTTAGGGTTTAGTTTGTCTTCCCTCAAATAATGTACTTGAAAGGCTCAAAGAGTAATTCTGATATCTTAGTAGATATTATGTAGATTTAATTGTTTTCATAATAAAAAAACATTTTGTCTGATTTGGTTTATCGGTTAAAGTACCCTAATTCCGTATGTTGTCATTTTAAGCTTTTTATTGTTGCTGACAGAGGACATTCAGAAGTAGAATGGGAAATAAATGGATAATAAAAATGTTAGGAAATTAGAAAACTTGGATAGCTTTATGGTGCTGATAGTTAATTAAATTAGAAAAAAAAGGCTACTGATTTTTATTTTTATTTATTTTTATTTTTTTGGAGATGGAGTCTCGCTTTGATGCCCAGCCTGGAGTGCAGTGGCGCAATCTCAGCTCACTGCAACCTCCGCCTCCCGGGTTCAAGCAATTCTCCTGCCTCAGCCTCCCGAGTAGCTGGGACTACAGGCCCCTGCCACCACACCCAGCTAAATTTTTGTATTTTAGGAGAGACAGGGTTTCACTGTTGTTGCCCAGGCTGGTCTCGAACTCCTGAGCTCAGGCAATCCACCCGCCTTGGCCTCCCAAAGTGCTAGGATTACAGGCGTGAGCCACCGCTCCTGGCCAAGGCTACTAATTTTTAAAAAGTACATTTTAACTTACCAATAACTTTACTCAGTGTTTCTCCCGGTTTTTCTAATCTTTCTTTTATTCTCCAGGACAACAACACTTTCTTAACATAATGCTTGTTGTTCACTCACAAGTTCTTTTATTCTTGAACTCATAAAGTATAGAAAATATTTTCAATTGCAGTATTTATGTGTGCTTTCCATACTGAGCTGAAAAATAAGCTGATCTACAAAAACAATATTCTATACAGCTATGCATACAATTTAGTTAATAAAGAAAGTGGATTAATAGTCATATAGTGCTGAATGCAATCATTTTTTATTAGAAGTTAAATGCATCTACTAGTTTCAAAGCTTATTATTTCTGTGTATAGTGCGATAATTAGATAATATTAGTAATTGATGAGCATTTAATATGTGTTAAGCAATATGGTAAATGCCTTCCATGAATTATATCTTGAAATCTATGAATGCATTTTTCATTTCACCTATAAGTGATTGAAATTTAGAGGTTGCTTAGGTTAAACAGCTTGTTTAAGGCTGCTCAGCTAATAAATGACAGAGGCAGAATTTGAACACAGTATATAAAATTAAAGAATCCATGCTTTTAAGCACAATACTAAATTATGTTTAGATGATAATATGGATTGAATATGCATCATTCAGATATAACTCTCTCAACTTGTACTTTTATGGAAACAAAGAATTGAATATTCTGATGGAAAACATTGATAATTATGATAATTATCAATGAAATGTCCCATTGATGGAACTTGAATAAAATGCTTTTAAGTTGAAAATGTGCAGTATACTGAAAACTTTTTGGATATATTTTCTACACTTTTTCTGTTAAAGTTAAATGAATTTAATAAACTCATTGGGTTGATATAATCTCAGCTATAAGTATTGCAAGTGAGGAACTTTATTGTCATATCTGGAAATAAAATGAAAATTAACAGGGATCAATCATTGTTTATAGGGATGAGAGGCACACCTAGGACTTATTAGGCAAGGTTATGCTGCTTTAAAATTACCTTGTAATATTGGTTTTACACATGTCAGAAATGTTACTAATCTATTTTATAATTAAAGTGGTAAGTTTTCACAAATTTGTGGTAGGCAAAAGAGGGATTGAAAATAAAAACATTGTTTCCTACTATTGGTATCGAAAATAATTAGTATTTTCTATGTTATCCATATGTACTTACTCAGAAAATCTTCTCTTTTTAATTAAGAGATTTGATTACAGTTTTAGTTTTTATTTTTTTAATTGACAAACAAAAATTGTATATATTTGTGGTATCCAACATGATGATTTGGTGTTTATTTAAATTGTGTAATGCCTAAATCAAGTTAATTAACATATTCCTGACCTCCTCACACACTTGTCATTTTTTGAAGTGAAAACATTTAAAATCTACTCTGATAGCAATTTTCAGTTATAAAATATGTTATTAACTATAGTTACCCTGTTGTACAATAGACCAACATGGTCTGAACTTATTCCTGCTATTGGACTGAAATTTGTGTTCTTTGACCAATATCTCTCAAATTCTCCCCTCTCCCCGAAGTTCCTGGTAACCACCATTCTATCCTCTGCTTCTATGAGTTTGACTTCCTGAGATTCGACACATAAATGAGATCATGCAATATTTGTCTTTCTGTGCCTGGTATATTTCACTTAGCATAATGTTCTTAGGGTTCATCCAGGGTTACAAATGACAGAATTTCGTTTTTTCTTAAGGCTAAATAGTATTCTATTGTGTACACATACCAAATTTTCTTTATTCTTTCATTTGTTGATGGACACATGTTGATCTTAGCTATTGTGAATAACACTGTAATAAATATGTGAGTGCAGTTATCTCTTTGACATAGTGATTTCATTTTATTTAAATTACAGACTTAGAAGAGTAATTGCTGGGTCATATGGTAGTACTATTTTTAATTTTGCGGTGTATCTCCACACTGTTTTTCACAATGGCTATAACATTCTACATTCCCACCAAGAGTGTACAAGGGTTCTCTTTCCTCCACATCCTTGCCAATACTTGTTTATCTCCTGACTTTTTTGATAATAGCCATTCAAACAGATGTGAGGTGATATATCATTATAATTTTAATTTTAATTTCCCTGATGATTAGTAATGCTGAGCATTTTATGTTTTTCATATACCTGTTAGTTATTTAAATGCCTTCTTTTGAAAAGTGCCTATTCAGGTCCTTTGAAAATTTTTAATCAAGTTATTTGTTTTTCTGATATTTAGTTCAGTTTCCTATATATTTTGAATATTAACCTCTTATTAGATGACTGCTTTGCAAATATTTTCTTCCATTCCATAGATTGTCTCTTCATTCTGTTGATTGTTTTCTTTGCTGCACATAAGCCTTTTAGTTTTATACAGTTCCATTTGTTTATATTCCCTTTTATTGTCTGTGCTTTCAGGACCATATCTAAAAAATCTTTTTCCAGACTAATGTCAAGAAGATTTTCTCAATGACTTTCTCTAATCGTTTGACAGTTTCAAGTCTTAGATTTAAGTTCTTTTTCCATTTTGAGTTGTTTTTTCTATGTGGGGAGAGATAAGGGCCCTTTTTTATTTTTCTGCATGAGGATATCCAGCTTTCCCAACACCATTTATTGAAGAGACTGTCTCTTCCTCAACTGTGTGTTCTCATTTTTGTGAAAGTCTGTTGGCTGTGGTGCAGTTGTTACAATTGATGAACCAATATTGATACACTATCATTAACTAAAGTTAACAGTTTACATTAGGGTTTACTCTGTGGTACAATTCTATGTATTCTGGCAAATGCATAATGTCATGTGTCCACTATTACAACATTATACAGAAAAAATTCACTGCCTTAAAATTCCCCTGTGCTACCACAATTCATTTGTGTGTCTTCTTTTGAGAAATGTGTATTTGAATATTTTGCCTATTTTTTATTGGATTATTAGATTTTTTTTCCTATAGAGTTGTTTGAGGTCCTTATATATTCTGGTTATTCATCCCTTGTCAGATGGGTAACTTGCAAATACTTTCTCCTATTCTGTGGGTTGTCTCTTCATTTTGTTGACTGTTTCCTTTGCTGTAAGGAAGCTTTTAAACTTGATATGATCCCATTTGTCTATTTTTGGTTTGGTTGCCTGTGCTTTTGGGGTATTGCTCAATAAATTTATTCCCAGACCAATGTCTTGGAGAGTTTCCCCCAATATTTTCTTGTAGCAGTTTCATATTTTGAGATCTTAGACTTAAGTATTAATCCATTTTGACTTGATTTTTGTATAAAGTGAGAGACAGGGATCGAGTTTAATCTTCTGCATATGGATATTCATTTTCCCAGCATCATTTACTGGATAGACTGGCTTGTCTCCAATGTATGTTAGTGGCATCTTTCTTGAAAAGGAGTTTACTGTAAGTGTGTAGATTTGTTCCTGTGTTATTTATTCTGTTTCATTGGTCTGTATTTCTGCTTTCATGACAGTACCATATTTTTTTGGTCACTGTAGTTCTACAGTATAATTTGAAGTCAAGTAATGGGATTCCTCCAGTTTTGTTCTTTTTCTCAGGATGGTTTTGGGCCTTCTGGATCTTTTGTTACTTTGTATAAATTGTAAGAATATTTTTTCCCTTTCTGTGAAGAATGTGATTAGTATTTCGATAGAGATTGCATTGAATTTAGACATTGATTTGTGTAGTATGAACATTTTAACAATATTGATTATTCTAATCCATAAACATGAAATGTCCTTTCATTTTGTTGTGTGTCCTCTTCAATTTCTTTTATCAGTGTTTTATTGTTTTTATTGTAGAGATTTGTCATGCCTTTGGTTAAGTTAATTCCTAAGTACTTATTAATACTTGCATTTTTGGCTATTGCAAATGAAGTTACTGTTTTGATTTCTTTTTTACATTGTTCAATGTTGGCATATAGAAATGCTACAGATTTTTGCAGGTGAATTTTGTGCCCTTCAGTTTGACTGAATTTGTTTATCAATTCTAATAGTATTTTGGTAATGTCTTTAGGTTTTTTCTCAATATAATATTATATTATCTGCAGCAAAAATAATTTGACTTCTCCCTTTTGTAATTTGGATGCCCTTTATATCTTTCTTTTGTCTGATTCCCCTAGCTAGGACCTCTAGTACTATGTTGAATAATAGTGGTGACAGTGACCATATTTGTCACATTTCCTATCTTAGAGGAAACATTTTCAGTTTTTCCCCATTCAGTATGATACTAGCTGTGGGTCTGTCACATATGGCTTTTATTATTTGGAGGTTGTTTCTTCTGTCCCAACTTTCTGACAGTTTTTCTAATGAAGAGATGTTGAAATTCATCAAATGCTTTTTCAGCATCAATTAAATTATCTTTTTTATCATTCATTATTTTAATATGATGTATCACACTGATTGATTTGCATATGTTGGCCCATCCTTCTATCTCTGGGACAAATCCCACTTGGTCATGATGAATGATCTTTTTAATGTATTATTGAAATCAGTTTACTAATATTTTATCCAGGATATTTGCTTCAATATTCAATGTAACCTTTTCATACTGGCTTTTTTAAACCTCTGAATAATATTCCAATTTATGGATGTACTATGGAATATTTATTCACCTCTTGAAGCACATTTTGGTAGCTTCCATGGTTTGAAAATTATTAATAAAGTAGTTACTGACTTTTATGTGCAAGGTTTTCTCTGGACGTAAGTTTTTAATACATTTGAGTAAAGACATGGGATCGTGATTATGGAATTTTATGGTAAGATTATGGTTAGCTTGTAAAAAGCTGCCAAATACCTTCTAAAGTGTCTATACATTTTTGCATCCTGCCAGCAACGAATAACAATCTGCATTGTTTCACAAACTCACCAGCATTTGATGTTGTTAGTGTTTGGGATTTAGCATTTCTCAGAGGTGTGTCTTTGTTTTACTTTTTAATTCTATTATGACATGTGATGTTTGGTGTCTTTTCATATGCTTATTTCCCATCTGTATATATTATTTGATGTGGTGTCTTTTCAGCTATTATACACAGTTTTTATTTGGGTTATTTGTTTTCTTTTTGTTGAGTTATAAGGGTTCTTTGTATATGTTGAATACAAGGTTCTGTTTTTTTTTTTCAGATATGTGTTTAACTCCAATCGGTGACTCATCTTTTAATTCTGTTACAATGGCTTTCATAGAGCAGAATTTTTTATTATAATGAAGTTTAATTTATCATTTTTTTCATGAAGGGTGCTTTCAGTATTGTAAGTAAAAGTTTATTGACAAATCCCCAGTCACCTAGATCTTTCTCTCATATTTTCATGAGATTTATAGTGTTGCATTTTATATTTAGGTATATGTTTCATTTCAAGTTAATTATCACATAAGTTTTTAAATCAGTGTCAAGATTCATTTTCTTGCATATGGATCTCTTGTTGTTTAATTACCATTATTTAAAAGACTATCCTTTCTTCATTGAATGGCCTTTTCTCATTTATCCAAAATCAGCTGACTCTATATGTTTAAATTTATTTCTGGGTTCTCCATTTTGTTCCACTATCTGTTATTTCACCAACACAATACTGTCTTGACTGTTTTAGGTTTATAATAATTTCTAACAATGAGTAGTGGGAGTATTCCAAATCAGATATTCTTAAATATATTGTTAGCTCTCTGGGGTATATTCTTTTCCATATAAACTTCAGCATAAACTTAGTAACAGGAATAGCTAACTGTTAGACATTTCATTGAGATTTTATTAAATTTAGAGATCAAATTGGGAAGCACTGATATCTTAACCATATTACAACTTCCTATTCTTGAACATGGAATATCTCCCCAGGTACTTAAATATTTGATTTCTTTTATCAGAAATTTGTATTTTGTTTCATATGAATCTTTTTAATTCCATCCAATGCATACACAATGAAGAAAAAAGGAAATGATACATTTATTGAAACTACCATTTAGAAGAAGAGAGAAAGGGAAATAACTAACATTAGTCAGGAGTTCTGTTTTTTCAATTTTTTAAAATTTGAATTTATTTTAAGTTCAGGGATACATGTGCAGGTTTGTTATATAAGTAAGTTTTTGCATGAGGGTTGTACAGATTATCTCATCAGCAAGGTATTTAGCGTAGTACCCATTGGTTATTTTTCCTCATCCTCTCCCCATTGATGCTGTCCACCCTCTGATAGGCCCAAGTGTATGTTTTTCACCTCTATGTGTCCATGTGTTTTCATCATTTACCTCCCCACTTCTAAGTGTGAATATGTGACATTTGGTTTTGTGTTCCTGTGTTACTTTGCTAAAGATAATGGACTTCAACTCAATTCATGTTCCTGGAAAGGACATGATCTTATTTATGGCTGCCTAGTATTCCATAGTGTAAATGTACCACATTTTCTTTACTCAATATACAATTGATGGGCATTTATGTTTATTCCATGTCTTTGCTATTGTGAATAGTGTTGCAATGAACATATGCATGCAGATGTCTTTATGATAGAATGTGTATTAGTCTGCTCTCACACTGCTAATTAAGACATTCCTGAGACTGAGTAATTTATAAAGGAGAAGTTTAACATGGCAGCAGGCAAGCAAGTGTGTGTAAGGAAACTCCCCCTTATGAAACTTTCAGATCTCATGAGACTTATTCACTATCACGAGAACAGAATGGGAAAGACTCACCCCTATGAATCAATTGTCTCCCACCGGGTCCCTCCCATGACTGGGGGGAATTATGGGAGCTGAAATTCAAGGTCATATTTGGGTGGGAACACAGCCAAACCATATCATTCTGGCCCTGGCCTCTCTCAAATTTCATGTCCTCACATTTCAAAACCACTCATCCTTTCCCAACAGTTCCCCAAGGTCTTCACTCATTTCAGCATTAACTCAAAAGTCCACAGTCCAAAGTCTCCTCTGAGACAGGGCATGTCCCTTCTGCCTATGAGCCTGTAAAATCAAAAGCAAGTTAGTTACTTCCAAAATACAATTGGGGTACAGACATTGGGTAAATACACCTACTCCAAATGGGAAAAATTGGCCAAAACAAAGGAGCTACAGGCCCTATGCAAGTACGAAATACAATGGGGCAATCATTAAACCTTAAAGTTCCGAAAAGATCTACTTTGACTCCATGTTTCACATCCAGGTCATGGTGATGCAAGAGGTGGGCTCCCATGGCCTTGGGCAGCTCCACCCATGTGCCTTTTCAGGGCACAGTCCTCTTCTTTACTGCTTTCATGAGCTGGTGTTGAGTGTCTGCAGCTTTTCTAGGCACATGTTGCAAGCTGTTGGTGGATTTAGCATTCTGGAGTCTGGAGGATTGTGGCATTCTTCTCACAGCTTCACTAGGCAGTGCCCCAGTAGGGACTATGTGTGGGAGCTTCCACCCCACATTTCCATTTTGCAATCCCCTAGCAGATGCTGTCCATGAGGGCCCCACCCCTTCAACATACTTCTGCCTGGTCATCCAGATATTTCCATACATCCTCTAAAATCTAGAAAGATGTTTCCAAACCTCAGTTCTTTACTTCTGTGCACCCGCAGGTTCAACAACATGTGGAAACTGCTAAGGCTTGGGGATTGCACCCTCTGAAGTCATGGTTCAAGCTGTACCTTGGCCCATTTTGGCCACAGCTGGAGCAGCTGGGACACAGAGCACCAAGTTCCTGGGCTGCACACAGCAGGGGGGCCCAGGCCTGCCCCAGTAAATCATTTTTCCCTCTTAGGCCTCAGGGTCTGTGAAGGTCTCTAACATACCTTGGAGACATTTTCCCCATTGTCTTGGTGATTAACATTGGGCTCCTGTTACTAATGCAAATTTCTGCAGCTGGCTTTAATTTCTCTCCAGAAAATGGGTTTTTCTTTTCTATTGCAGTGCCATGCTGCAAATTTTCCAAACTTTTATGTTCTGTTTCCTCTTGAATGCTTTTCTACTTAGAAATTTCTTTTGCCAGATACCCCACATTATTTCTCTCAAGTTCAAAGTTCCACATATCTCTAGGACAGGGGCAAAAAGCCACCAGTCTCTTTGATAAAGCACAGCAAGAGTCACCTTTGCCCCAGTTTCCAGCAAGTTCATTATCTCCATCTGAGACCACCTCAGCCTGGACTTTATTGTCCATATCACTCTCCGCATTTTGGTCAAAGCCATTCAACAAGTCTCTAGGAAGTTCCAAACTTTCCCACATTTTCCTATCTTCTTCTGAGCCCTCCAAACTCTTCCAGCCTCTGCCTCTTACCCAGTTCCAAAGTCACCTTCATATTTTCAAGCATCTTGACAGCAGAGCTCCACTACTTAGTACCAATTTACTGTATTCGTCTGCTCTCACACTGCTAATGAAGACATATGTAAGACTGGTTAATTTATAAAGAAAAGATGTTTAATTGACTTACACTTCCACATGGCTTCCAAGGCCTCAATCATATCTGAAGGCAAATAAGGAGCAAAGTCACGCCTTAACATGACAATAGACAAGAGTGCTTGTGTAGGGGAACTCCGCTTTATAAAACCATGAGATCTCATGAGACTTATTCACTATCATAAGAAGAGTATGGGAAAGACCCGCCCCCATGACTCAAAAACCTCCCACCAGGTGACACCCACGACACATGGGAATTATGGGAGCTACAATTCGAGATGAAATTTAGATGGGGACACAGCCACATCGTATCAGAATGCTTTATATTTCTTTGGGTATCAACCCAGTAATGGGATTGCTGGGTCAAATGGTAGTTCTTTTGTTAGCTCTTTAAGGAATCAATACATTGTTTTCCAAAATGGTTGAACTAGTTTACATTCCCACCAACAGTGTATAGGCATTCCCTTTTCTCCACAGCCTCCCCAGCATCTGTTATTTTTTGACTTTGTAATAATAGCTATTATGACTAGTGTGAGACGGCAACTCCTTGGGGATTTGATTTGCCTTTCTGTAATGATCAGTTATATTGAGGGTTTTTTTTTTCATATGCTTGTTGGCTGCAAGCATGTTTTGTATTGAAAAGTGATGGTTCGTGTCCTTTGCCACTTTTTAATAGGGTTGTTTATTATTTTTTGTAAATTTGGTTAAGTTTCTTATAGATATTGGATATTAGACCTTTGTCAGATGCATAGTTTGCAAAATTTTTCTCTCATTCTGTAGGTTGTCTTTTCACCCTGTTGATAGTTTTTTTTTTTTTTATTTTACTGCGCAGTAGCTTTTTAGTTTGATTAGATCTGGTTTGTCAATTTTTGCTTTTGTTGCAATTGCTTTTGGTGTCCTCAATATAAAATTGTTGCTTGTGCCTATGTCTAGAATGTTATTGCCTAGGTCGTCTTCCAGGGTTTTTATAGTTTTGGGTTTTCCATTAAAGTTTTTAATCCATCTTAAGTTAATTTATGTAAACGGTGTAAGAAAAGAATCCAGTTTCAATCTTCTGCATATGCCTAGCCAGTTATCTTAGCACTATTTATTGAATAGGGAGTCTTTCCACATTGCTTATTTTCTGTCAGCTTTATTGAAGATTAGATAGCTGTAGGTATGTGGCATTATTTCTGGGTTCTTTATTCTGTTCCACTGGTCTATGTGACTGTTTTTGTACCAATACCTTGCTGTTTGGGTTACTGTTGTATTGCAGTATTGTTTGAAGTTCGGTAGCCTAGTATTTCCAGCTTTTTGCTTTTTGCTTAGAATCTTATTGGCTATTTGGGCTCTGTTTTGGTTAGAGGTAAATTTTGAAATCTTTTCTTTTTAGGTATGTAAAGAATATTATTGGTAGTTCAATAGAAATAGCATTGAATCTATAAATTGCATTGGGCAGTGTGGCCATTTTAATGATATTGATTCTTCTTATCCATGAGCATGGAATGTTTTTTCATCTGTTTGTGTCATTTCCGATTTCTTTGAGCAGTGTTTTACAGTTCTTCTTCTAGAGATCTTTCAACTACATGGTTAACTGTATTCTCAGGTATTTTATTCTTTTTGTTGCAGTTGTGAATATAATTTTATTTCTGATTTGGCTCTCGGCTTAACTGTTGTTGGTGTTTAGTTATGATAGTGACTTTTGTACATTGGTTTGTATCTTGAGACTGCTGAAATTGCTTATCAACTTAAAGGGCTTTTGAGCTGAGACTATGAGATTTTAAAGATAAAGGACCATGTCATCTGCAAACAGGGATAATTTGACCTTTTCTCTTCCTATTTGGGTATCCTTTATTTATTTTTCTTGCCTGATTGCTCTGGCCAGAACTTCCAATACTATAATGAATAGGAATGGTGGGAGAGGGCATCATTTTTTGTACTGGTTTTCAAGAGGAGCACTTTCAGCTTTTGCCCATTTAGATTGATGTTAGCTGTGGGTTTGGCATAGATGGCTCTTGTTATTTTGAGGTATGTTTCTTCAATACCTCGTTTATTGAGGATATTCAACATAAAGGGGTGTTGAATTCTATCAAACCCTTTTCAGAATCTATAGAGATAATCACATGGTTTTTGTTTTTAGTTCTCTTTATGTAATGAATCACATTGAATAATTTGTGTTATTTAACCAACCTTGCATCCCAGGGATAAAGCCTACTTTGTGCAGTGTGGAAAAGCTTTTTGATGTTCTGCTGGATTCAGTTTGTATTTTGTTGAGGATTTTGCATTGATGTTCATAAAAGATATTGACCTGAAGTGTTTTTTGTTGTTGTTGTTGTGGCTCTGCCAGGTTTTAGTATCAGGTCGATGCTGACCTCATAGAATGACTTAGGGAGGAGTTCCTCCTCTTCAATTCTTTGGAATAGTTTCACCAGAAATAGTATCAGTGCTTCTTTGTACATCTGGTAAAATTCAACTTTGAATCCTTCTAGTCCTGGGCTTTTTTTTTTTTTTTTTTGGTTGGTAGGCTATTTATTGCTGCTTCAATTTCGCAGTTCATTATTGGTCTGTTCAGGGATTCAATTCCTTCCTGGCTCAGTCTTGGGACTGTGTATGTGTCCAGAAATTTATACATTTCTTTTAGATTTTCCAGTTTATATGCATAGAGGTGTTCATAATATTCTGTGATTCTTATTTATATTTTGGTTGGTTACTGGTAATATCCCCTTTGTCACTTCTGATTGTGCTTATTTGAGTCTTCTCTCCTTTCTTCTTCACTAGTCTAGCTATTGGTCAATTTTACTATTTTTTTCTTTCATTAAAAATCTCCTGGTTTTGTTGGTATTTTAAATGTTCCTTTGTGTGTCTCAACCTTCTTCAGTTCAGCTCTAATTTTGCTTTTTTCTTATCTTCTGGTAGCTTTGGGGTTGTTTTGCTCTTACTTCTCTAGTTCCTCTGTTTGTAATTTTTGGTTGTTCATTGAGATCTTTCCAACTTTTTGATGTGGGCATTTAGTGCTATAAATTTCCCTTTTAATGCTGCCTTAGCTGTATTTCAGAGATTCTGTTATGTTTTGGCTTTGTTTTCATTGATTTCTAAGAACTTCTTGATTTCTGTCTTAATTTCATTATTTACCCAGTCATTGAGAAGCAACGTACTCAATTTCCATGTAATTTTATGGTTTTGAGTGAATTTCTTAGTTTTGATTTCTAATTTGATCACACTGTGCTCCAAGAGATTGGTTGTTATACTTTCAGTTCTTTTGCATTTGCTGAGGAATGCTCTATTTCCCATTATGTGATGGATTTAAAAAATGTATCATGTGTTGATGAGAAGAATGCACATTCTGTTGTTTTGGGGTGGAGAGTTCTCTACATGTATATCAGGTCTATCTGTTACAGTGCTGAGTTTTGGTCCTAAATATATTTGTTAATTTTCTGCCTCAATTATTTATATAATATTGTCAGTGGTATGTTTAAGTCTCCCCTGTTATTGTGTGGGAGTCTAACTCTCTTTGAAGGCCTCTAAAAACTTGCTTTATAAATCTGATTACTGATTCGTTGGGTCAATATGTATTTTAGATAGGTAGGTCTTTTTGTTGAATTGAACCTTTTACCATTAACTAATGCCCTTCTTTGTCTTTTTTTTTAATCTTTGTTCATTTACAGTCTGTTTTATTTTTCTGAAATTAGAATTACAATCTCTACTTTTTTTCTGTTTTTCATTTGCTTGGAAGATTTTCCTCCATCCTTTTACTGTGAGCCTCTGTGTGTCATTGCATATGATATAAGTCTCTTGCCAACAGCATGCAAATGAGTGTTGTTTTTTTATCCCACTTGCCACTTTGTGCCCATTAATTGGAGAATTTACCCTATTTACATTCAAGGTTAGTATTGATTTGTGTGGATTTGATTCTATCATCATGATGTTAGCTGGTTATTATGCAGACTTGCTTATATAGTTGCTTTATAGTGTCACTAGTGTGTGTACTTAATTGTGTTTTTGTAATGGGCGGTAACTGTCTTTTCATATTTAGTGCTTCCTTCAGGAGTTCTTGTAAGACATGCTTGGTGGTAATGAATTCCTTTAGCATTTTCTTGTCTAATAAGGATCTTATTTCTCCTCTGCCTAGAAAGACTTTTGGTTGGAATTTCTTTTATTTAAGAATGTTGAATATTGGCCCCCAATATTTTCTGGCTTGTAGGGTTTCTGCTAAAAGTATTCTGTTAGTCTAATGGGCTTTCATTTGGAGGTGACCTGATCTTACTCCCTAGCTGCCTTTACGATTTTTTCTTTTGTTTCAAACTTGGAGAATCTGAAAATTATGTGTCTTGGGGATGATATTCTTGTGAAGTTTCTAACTGGGATTCTCTGCATTTCCTGAACTTGAATGTTAACCTCTCTAGCTAGATTGGGAAAGCAGTCTTTGATAATATTCTGACATATTTTTTCTAACTTCATTCTCCCCAACTCTTTCAGGGACATCAATGAGTTATGAATTTGATCTCTTTACATAATTTCATATTTCTTGGAGGTTCTGCTCATTCAGTTTCAATTTTTTTCTATTCATATGTGACTTTTATTCAGAAATCTAATCATAAGCTCTGAGATTCTTTCCTCCTTTTGGTTTATTCTGCTACTAATACTTGTGACTACATTATGAAATTCTTGGGATGTGTTTTTCTGCTCTGTCAGGTTGGTTATGTTTTTTTCTATACTGGATATTTTGTTTGTCAGTTCCTGCATTGTTTTATTGTGATTCTTAGCTACTTTGGATTGGGTTTTAATGTACTTTTGCATCTCAATTATCCATATTCTGAATTATATTTCTGTCATTTCAGCCCTCTTAGCCTGGTTCAGAACCATTGCTGGAAAAGTGGTGTAGATATTTGGAGGAAACAAAGTACTCTGGCTTTCTGAGTTCTTAGGGTTTTTGGTGCTAGTTTTTTTCTCATTTTTGTGGACTTATGTCCCTTGGATCTTTGAAGTCACTTACCTTTGGATGGCTCTTTTTCTTTTGTCATATATTAAAAACTTCAAGATTTGATTGTAGTTTGAGGTAGATTCAGTCAACTGAGTTCATTTCTGAAATATTTTATGGAGCCAGCACTCAGCTCCCAACCCCTGGACTGCATTCTCTAACTCTGCAAAACTTGTATTGGGCATGACTATTCTCTGACTCTTTGAGGCTAGGTATCCACTGCACTGGAGGGGTCTGAGCTGCTCCTAGTCTGCTGGTTACTATAGTCTGATAGGTGGTGTCAGCCAAAACACATTGTACTGCATTGACAATAACTTCAATCTTTGTTTGCATATGCAAGCCGCAGAAGCAGCGGCAGCATGGTGGGCCCATGCTCCTTCACTTTGGCAGGGTGCTAGCCGGTGCTGAGATGCCTGGCTCCAAGCAGGCATTCACCACAGTGGCAGAAGTAACACGGCTGTGGGACCAGGGGATCCCTGCTGTCGATGGTTGTGATGATGATGATATTTGCACAGGGACAGGGTGCTGACAGGCCCATGTCTGTGTGCTTTCCTTTGCACTGCAGGCCAGGATCTCACATAAACCTTGAATATATTTTCCTAGATTTACACCTAGGATTTGCTTGGTTTGGGTGCTAATAAAAATGGTATTGTTTTACATTTCAAATTCCAATTGCTCATTGCTTGTATATAGGAGCACAATTAACTTCTGTGTATTACCTTTGCAGTTTGTAACCTTGCTATAATTGCTTATTAGTTCCAGGATTTTGTTTATGATTATGAGAATTTTTTTTAGAACATCATCATATCCTTTGTGAACAAAGAAAGTTTTGCATTTTTCTTCCCAGTCTCTATTCTTTTTTTTTCTTTTCTTTTCTTAATACATTAATTAGAACTTACAGTACAACATTCAATATGAATCATGGGAGGGGATATGTTCACAATTTTAGAGGGTACCATCTAGTTTCTCAACATTAAGTATGAAGATGCTGGTAGATATTTTGTAGATGTTTTTATCAAATTGAGAAAATCTCTATTGCTAGTTTCCTAATAGTTTTTACCATGAGTGGGTTTTTGGGTTTTGACATTTTTTTCTGCATGTATTGATATGATCGTGTGATTTTTCTTCTTTAGCCTGTGGATGTGATTGATTACACTGACTTTCAAATATTGAATTAGTATTCAATACCAGAAATAAACCCTATTTGTTTGTGGTGTATAATTATTTGTATGCATTGTTAGAATTACTTTTCTAATATTTTGTTGAGAAAATTTTCAACTATGTTTATGAGAAATATTTTCCTTGTAATTTTATCTTCTTGTGTGTCTCTTCATCTGGGTTTTGTATTAGGGTAATAGTTATCTCATAGAAGAAGTTAGGAAGTATTCTCTTTGCTTCTGTATTTTGGAATAGATTAAAAACCATTACTATTATTTATTCCTTAAATATTTGATAGTATTAATCATTGAAACCATATGGATCTGATGCTTTCTGTTATGGAAGACTGTTAACTTGAAATTTCATTACTTTTGTAGACATAGACTTAATCAGTTTATCTATTTTTTAAATTTTTTCATAAGTTATTGGGGTACAGGTGGTATTTGGTTATATGTGTAAGTTCTTTAATGGTGATTTGTGAGATTTTGGTGTACCCATCACCTGAACAGTATACGCTGCACCATATTTGTAGTCTTTTATCCCTCACCCCCTTCCACTCTTCCCTGCAAGTCCCCAAAGTTCACTGCATTATTCTTACACCTTTTGCATCCTTATAGCTTAGCTTCCACATATCAGTGAGAGCATACAATGTTTGGTTCTCCATTCCTGAGTTACTTCACTTGGAATAAAAGTCTCCAGTCTCATCCAGGTCACTGCAAATCCTGTTAATTCATACCATTTTATGGCCGAGTAGTATTTCATCAGCTATATATACCACAGTTTTTTTTGTTTGTTTGTTTGTTTTAATCTACTCACTGATTGATGGGAATTTGGGTTGGTTTCATGATTTTGCAATTGTGAATTTTGCAATTACAAACATGCGTGTGCAAGTATCTTTTTCGAATAATGACTTCTATTCCTATGGGTAGATGCCGAGTAGTGGGATTGCTGGATCAAATGGTATTTCTACTTTTAGTTCTTTAAGGAATCTCCCTACTATTTTCCATAGTGGCTGTACTAGTTTAAATTCCCACCAGCAGTGTAGAAATGTTCCCTGATCACCACATTCATGCCAACATATACTGTTTTTTTATTTTTTTTTAATTATGGTCATTCTTGCAGGAGTGAGGTGGTATTGCATTGTGGTTTTGATTTGCATTTTCCTGATAATTAGTGATGTTGCATATTTTGTTTTCCATATTTTTGGCCATTTTCATATCTTCTTTTGAGAATTGCCTGTTCATATCCTTAATCCACTTTTTTGTGGGATTGTTTGTTTTTTTCTTACTAATTTTTTGAGTTCACTGTAAATTCTAGATGTTAATCTTTTTCAGATGTATAGATTGTGAAGATTTTCTCCCACTTTGTGGGTTGTCTGTTTACTCTGCTGACTGTTCCTTTTGCTGTGCAAGTCTCATTAGTTTAATTAGGTCCCAGCTATTTATCTTTGTTTTTATTGCATTTGCTTGGGGGTTCTTAATCATGAACTCCTTGTCTAAGCCAATATCTGGAAGGGTATTTCCAATATTCTCTTCCAGAATTTTTATAGTTATAGGTCTTAGGTTTAAGTCCTTATTTTATCTTGAATTGATTTTTGCATAAGGTGAGAGATGGAGATCCAGTTTCATTCTCCTACATGTGGCTAGCCAATTATCCCAGCACCATTTGTTGAAAAGGGTGTCTTTTTTCCACTTTATCTTTTTGTTTTTGTTGTCAAAGATCAGTTGGCTGTAAAAGTTAGGATTTATTTCTGCTTTCTCTGTTGGGTTCCATTAGTCTATGTGCCTATTTTTTATACCACTACCACACTATTGTGGTGACTATAACCATATAGTATAGTTTGAAATCAGGCAGTGTGATGCCTCTAGATTTGTTCTTTTTGCTTAGTCTTGCTTTGGCTATGCGGGCTCTTTTTTGGTTCCATATGAATTTTAGAATTGTTTTTTCTAATTCTGTGAAGAATTATGGTGGTATTTTGATGGGGATTGTATTGAATTTGTAGACTGCTTATGGCAATATGATCATTTTCACAATATTGATTCTACCCATCCATGAGCATGGGTTGTGTTTCCCTTTGTGTCATCTGAGATTTATTTCAACAGTGTTTTGTAGTTTTCCGTGTAGCAGTCTTTTGATTCCTTGATTAGGTATATTCCTAAGTATTTTAATTTTTCTGCAGCTATAGTAAAAGGTGTTGAGTTCTTGATTTGATTTACCTGTTGGTCACAGTTAGTGTATAGAAGAGCTACAGATTTGTGTACATTAGTCTTGTATCTGGAAACTTTGCTGAATTCTTTTATCAGTTCCAGGAGCTTACTGGAGGGGTTGTTAGGGTTTTCAAAGTAAAGGATCATATCGTCAGCAAACAGTGACAGTTCGACTTCCTCTTTACCAATTAGGATGTCCTTTATTTCTTTCTCTTGTCTGCTGCTCTGGCTAGGACTTCCAGTACTATGTTGAAGAAGAGTGGTGAGAGTGGGCATCCTTGTCTTGTTCCAGTTATCAGAGGAAATGCTTTCAGCTTTTCCCCATTAAGTATTACGTTGGCTGCGGGTTTGTAATAGATGGCTTTTATTACATTAAGCTATGTGTCTTGCATGCCAATTTTGCTGAGAGTTTTAATCGTGAAGGATGCTGGATTTTGTCAAATGCTTTTTCTGCATCTATTAAGATGATTGTGTGATTTTTGTTTTTAATTCTGTTTATGTGGTGTATCATATTTATTGACTTGTGTATGTCAAACCATCCCTGCATCCTTGGTCTGAAACCCACTTGATCATGGTGCATTATCTTTTTGAAATGCTGTTGAATTAGGTTAGCCAGTATTTTGTTAAGGATTTTAGGATCTATGCTTATCAAGGATATCGGTCTGTAGTTTTCTTTTCTGGTTATGTCCTTTCCTGGTTTTGGTAATAGGGTGATGCTAGCTTAATAGAATGGATTAAGGAGGGTTCTTTCTTTATCTTGTGAAATCGTGTCAAAAGGACAGGTACCAATTATTCTTTAAACGTGTGGTAGAATTCTAGTGTGGATCCATCTGGTCCTGGACTTCTTCGTGTTAGTAATTTTTTAATTACCATTTTAATCTTGCTGCTTGTTATTGGTCTGTTCAGGGTATCTAATTCTTCCTGATTTAAGCCAGGAGGGATTTATTTTTCCATGAATTTATCCAGCTTTTCCAGGTTTTCTAGTTTATGTGTGTAAAGGTGTTCATAATAGCCTTGAATAATCTTTTGTATTTCAGTGGTGTCACTTGTAATATCTCCTGTTGTGTTTCTTAGTGAGAATATTTGAATTTTCTCTCTTATGTTCTTGGTTAATCTTGCTAATGGTCTATCAATTTTATTTATCTTTTCAAGGAACTAGCTTTTTGTTTTATTTATCTATTGTATTTGTTGTTGTTGTTGTTTCAGTTTTATTTAGTTCTGCTCTGATCTTGCTTATTTCCTTTCTTCCGCTGGGTTTGGGTTTCATTTGTTCTTGCTTCTCTAGTTTCTTGAGGTGTGACCTTACAATGTCATTATGTGCTGTTTTAGTCTTTTCGATGTAGGCATTTAGGGCTGTGAACTTTCCTCTTAGGACTGCTTTTGCTGTATCCCAGGGGTTTTGATAGGTTGTGTCATTATTGTCATTCAGTTTGAATTTTTTTGATTTCCATTTTGATTTCTTTTTTAACTCAATGCTCATTGAGGAGCGGGTTATTTAATTTCTATGCATTTGCATGGTTTTGAAGGTTCTCTTTGGAGTTAATTTCTAGTTTTATTCCACTGTGGTCTGAGAGGTGATTGATATAATTTTAATTTTTAAAAATTTATTGAAGCTTGTTTTATGGCCTATTATATGGTCTATCTTGGAGAAAGTTCCACACACTGTTAAATATAATGTGTATTCTTCAGTTTTGGGATGAAATGTTCTGTATAAATCTGTTAAGTCCATTTGTTCCAAGGTATAGTTTAAATCCATTGTTTCTTTGTTGACTTTCTCCCTTGATGACCTGTCTAGTGCTGTCAGTAGTGTATTGAAGTCCCCCACTATTTTTGTGTTGCTGTCTATCTCATTTCTTAGGTCTATTAATAATTGTTTCATAAATTTGAGAGCTCCACTGTTAGATGCATATATGTTTAGGATTGTGATATTTTCCTGTTTAACAAGGCATTTTGCCATTACATAATGGGTTCTTCTTTTTCTCTTATAACTGCTGTTGCTTTAAAGTTTGTTTTGTCTAATATAAGAATAAATACGCCTGCTTGCTTTTGGTGTCCATTTGAATGAAATGCCTTTTTCCACCCTTTTATTTTAAGTTTATGTGAGTCCTTATGTATTAGGTGAGTCTTCTGAAGGCAGCAGATAGTTGGTTGGTGAGTTCATATCCATTCTGTGGTTCCATATCTTTTAAGTGGAGCATTTAGGCTGTTTACATTCAATGTTAGTATTGAAATGTGGAGTACTGTTGCATTCATCATGCTCTTTTTCACTTGGGTACTTTGGTCTTTCTATTTTTGATTTTTAACTTGTATATTTGTTTTATAGGTGCTGTGTGATTTATGCTTTAAAGTGGTTCTGTTTTGACGAGTTTCCAGAATTTGTTTCAAGATTTAGCACTTCTTTTAATAGTTCTTGTGGTGGTGGCTTGGTAAATTTGTTTGTTTGGAAGCATTTGTTTGTGTGAAAAAAACTGTATCTTTACTTCATGTATGATGCTTAGTTTCACTGGATACAAAATTCTTGACTGATAATTGTTTTGTTTGAGGAGGCTGAAGATAGGGCCTTAATCCCTTCTAGTTCATAGGGTTTCTGCTGAGAAATCTGCTGCTAATCTGATAGGTTATTTTTTATAGGTTACTTGGTGCTTCTGTCTCACAGCTCTTAAAATTCTTTCCTTCTTCTTAACTTTGGATAACCTGATGACAGTGTACCTAGGTGATTATCTTTTTTGCATTAAACTTCTCAGGTGTTCTTTGTGCTTCTTGCATTTGTATGTCTAGGTCTCTAGCAAGGCCAGGGAATTTTTCCTCAATTATTTCCCCAAATATGTTTTCCAAGCTTTTAGAATTCTCTTCTTCCTCAGGAACACCAATTATTCTTAGGTTTGGCCATTTACCATAATCCCGGACTTCTTGGAGGCTTTGTTCATATTTTCTTATTATTTTTCCTCTGTCTTTGTTGGATTGGGTTGATTTGAAGACCCTGCCTTCAAGCTCTGAATTTGTTTTCTACTTGTTCAATTCTATTGCTGAGACTTTCCAGAGCATTTTGCATTTCTAAAAGTGTGCCCAAAGTTTTCTGAATTTTTGCTTGTTTTTTCTTTAAGCTATGTATTTTCTTGAATATTTCTCCCTTCACTTCTTGCATCATTTTTTGGATTTTCTTCCATTGGGTGTCACCTTGCTTGGGTGACTCTCTGATTAGCTTAATAACTTACCTCCTGACTAATTTTTCAATTATATCGGGGATTTCTTCTTGGTTTGGATCCCTTGCTGGTGAGCTAGTGTGATTTTTGTGGGGTGCTGAAGAGCCTTGTTTTGTCATAATACCAGGGTTGGTTTTCTGGTTCCTTCTCATTTGGGTAGGCTCTGTCAGAGGGAAGGTCTAAGGCTGAAAGCTGTTGTTCAGATTCTTTTGTCCCATGGGGTGTTCCCTTGATGTAGTACTCTCCCCCTTTTCCTATGGATATGGCTTTGTGTGAGCCAAACTGCAGTGATTGTTGTCACTTTTCTGGGTCTAGCCGCCCAGAGAGTCTACACAGCTTTGGGCTGGTACTGGGGCTTGTCTGCACAGAGTCCTATAATGTGAACCGTCTATGTGTCTCTCAGCTGTGGATATCAACACCTGTTCCGGTGGAGGTGGTGGGTGGGGTTGGTGGTGTGCAATGGACTCTGTGACGGCTCTTAGCTTTGGCAGCTTAATGCTCTACTTTTGTGCTGGTTGGCCTTCTGTTGGGAGGTGGCACTTTCCAGAGAGCATCAGCTATAGTAGTATGGAGAGAGACTGGTGGTAGGCAGGGCCCTAGAACTCCCAAGAGTATATGCCCTTTGTCTTCCACTACCAGGATGGGTAGGAAAGGACCCTTAGGTGGGGGCAGGGCAAGGCATGTCTGAGCTTAGACTCTTGATGGGCGGGTCTTGCTGCAGCTGCTGTGGGGATGAGGGTGAGATTCCCAGGTCACTGGAGCTGTGTACTTGGGAGGATTATGGGTGCCTCTGCTGAGTAATGCAGGTTGTCATGGAAGTGGAGGAAAGCCAGCAGTCACAAACCTCAGAAATCTTGGTTTCTGTTCTGACTTATACTATTTCTTTTTCTACTTATTTTGGATTTAATTTGTTCTTCCCTTAGTGTTTTAGGCTTAAGATTATAAATTTTATATTTATAATTTCTCATTTTCTCATATGTTCATTTTAGGTTAGAAATTAACTCTAAACACTCCTTTTGTTGTATCCTTCAGATTTTGGTAAGTTTTATGTTAATTGGTATTTAGTTCAAAGGTGTTTTTGTTTTTCATGAGACTTCTTTGATTCATGGGTTATCTAGAAGTCTGTACCTTAAAACTTAAATACCTTGAGATTTTCCAAACATATTTTGGTTATTAATTTCTAATTTTATATTACAATAAAGTAAAAGCATTCTTTTCCGATTTCTACTCATTTACATTTCTTAAGTCTAATCATCCAGTATGTGGTTGATCTTGGTGAATGCTCCATGTGAGCTAGATAGTAAGTATTCTTTTGTTGCAAGAAGTATTCTGTTAATGTCAGTTCGATTCAGTTGATTGATGGTGCTGTTCAGTTCAACTATATCCTTACCAATTTGTTTGCTTGCTAGATCTTTTAATTATTTATAGAAGATTATTCAAGGCTACAACTGTAATAGTTAAGATGTCTGCCACTCCTTGTAGTTACACCAGCTTTTGCCTCATAGATTTTGAAGCTCTGTAGATAGACACATACACATTCAGAGATTTTATTTTGTCTTCTTGAATAATTGACTTTGTTATCAATATATAGTGAACCAATTTATTATCGATCATTTCCTTGGCTCTGAAGTCTTTTTTGTCTGATATTGATATTTTCCTGCTTTCTTTTCATTATTCTTAGCATGGTATATCCTCCACCATCATTTTACTTTTAATCTCTTTGAGTCTGCTGGGGATAGGCTCCAAATCTGGCCATAAACTGGCCCCAAAACTGGCTATAAACAAAATCTCTGCAGCACTGTGACATGTTCGTGAGGGCCATGATGCCCATGCTGAAGGTTGTGGGTTTACCGGGATGAGGGCAAGGAACACCTGGCCCATCCAGGGCGGAAAACAGCTTAAAGGCATTCCTGAACCACAAACAATAGCATGAGTGATCTGTGCTTTAAGGCCATGTTCCTGCTGCAGATAACTAGCCAGAGCCCATCCCTTTGTTTTGGCCCATCCCTTTGTTTCCTGTAAAGAATACTTTTAGTAAATCTATAATCTATAGAAACAATGTTTATCACTGGCTTGCTGTCAATAAATATGTGGGTAAATCTCTGTTTGGGGCTCTCAGCTCTGAAGGCTGTGAGTCCCCTGATTTCCCACTCCCCATGCTATATTTCTGTGTGTGTGTCTTTAATTCCTCTAGCGCCACTGGGTTAGGGTCTCCCCGACTGAGCTGTTCTTTATACTCCAAGGTATTCTTGATGGAGGACTCCAAGATGGCTGATTAGTGGCATCTCATGCTCACCTTTTCCATAAAGAATAACTAAAATAGTGAGCAAATAATCACATTTTGGATAGGTCATCTAAGAGAGAACACTATAATTCAACAGAAGAGTGACAAAAAAAATCTAAGCCAAGGAAGGAGAGGGAAGCAAGGCAGACTGCTTGGCTAGAATTAGCTGGAAGCCCAGTGACAATCCCCAGTGTAAGGAAAGGGTAAATTAGAGACCCCAAGTAGTTTATATTTCCGGTACAGACTGCTGCAATTCTGGCTATGGGAGAGTCTCTTGATCCCTGTGAGCCCTGAGACTAACATAGGGAGCTGCATGGGGACAGTGCAATGGCAATGATCCAGAGAGGAAACACACATCGTCCCACACACCCCTTGAGTCCTAAAAAAACTACAGTATGGTGCCATTTAAGAGCCCAGTTCCCGCCAGACTGCATTGTTCCCTGGGTTGCAACAGCCCATGCATCTGAAAATCACTGGAGCCCAATTGACATCCTCCACTCACTACCACTGAAACTGCTAGCTGCTACTTCCAGGACCAAAGCACAAGCCATTGACAGTCACCCCATAACACCTAGAAGCAGGGCTCTTATACATTTTGATGCATCCTGATGACAGGCTTTCCCACCCATTGCATGTGCAGGCAGCTGCAGCTTGGTACCAAAGCATAATCCGTTGGCAGTGACCCATTTTTTACAGCAGGGTGGCTGCAATACTTGCCCATATATCCTGAAGACACACTATCCTGTTCACAACAGCTGATAATACTTGTTGTTTTTTTCCAGGACTAGAGCACAAGACACTGGCAACAACCCAGAAGACCATAGCAATGAGACCACTGCAGATTTTCAAACTCCCTGAAGACATGACAGGCTAGTCCACCCACAGCTGTTACCTGGGGCTAAAGCACATGCTCACATGTCTACCTATGACTATTGCCATTGAAAGCAACCTTGCCTTCTGCAGCAAAAGGGCTGCAGCATAGCCACTGTCACTATCACATGAGCACTCCTCAGGGGCCTGGGATCACCTTGTCCCTGCTTGCTGTAACTAGTGACTACACACACCACTGAGGCCTGGGGAGGCCTACCTGGCCTGGTTCTGTCTCCTACCCTAGTGCCCAAGCACATCATCTGAAGGCCTGGGGATTTCCCTGCCTCATGCACCACTGTTGACACATGAGCACTTATCTCAGGGGCCTGAGGATGGGTCCACTCAACCTGCCACTGCCATTATACTGAAAACTACCTGCATGCACATACTGCGAGACTGAGGACTGGCTTGCCCAGCCCATCACAAGCACCACCAACATTATCATGAATAGTTTAGGACGCAGAGAGGTTTCCCACCACTGCTACACCATTGACAATGCTATGCATACTGCCAAAGGACCTTAGAATATTGCCCATCGCCATGTACACAACTGTCAATGCTAGCATTTGAGTAAGGCACCTGGAGGTCCAAGAATTGGCCTTCATAGACCCACTAACACAGAAGCCAGCATATGCCAACCTGGGACCCAAGAATAGGCAGGTGTGTTCCATTGCTTCACCACTGGAGACAAAGAGTGGCCTACCTGGTGTACCTGTTCTCAGCAAAACTTTACCACAGTCTTCACTAACAACTACACTCTAAACCGTCAAAGAAACCACAGACACAACTAATGCTGTTCACAGCTAAAGAAATTATATAAAGACAACACTACTGCATGCACCCAGAACTAAAGCCAAAGTTCCCTCCCCAACTTGAATGATGAATAAATCTTCAGGAAAAAGTCCTCTCCTTCAAAAGAAAATCCAAGGAAAGGAATAAACTGTTACACCAGATATACAAATATTAATGTAAGGACACAAGAAACATAAAAAAGCAAAAAAAAAAAAAAAATGACATCTCCAAAGCATCAAAGTAATTCTTCAACCACAGATTTTGATGAAAAATATTCTGAAATCCTGGAAAAAAAATTCAAAATGATGATATTAAAGAAGCTCAGTGAGATAATTGAGAACAGAGGTAAACAATTTAAAAAATCAGAACACTAAGTGTAAGAAAAAAAAATTTACCAAAGAGAAAGAGATCATGAAAAGAACCAAGTGAAAATCCTGAAACTGAAGAATTTATTGAATAAAACTTAAAAAACGCATTCAAGAACTTCAAATATAGACCAGATCAAGCAGAAAAACAGTTTTAGAACTTGAAAACAGGTCCTTTGAAATGACTCAGGCCAAAATAAAGAAGACAAAATTTAAAGGAATAAGCAAAGTTTTTTTGTCATATGGAAAAACATAATGTGACAAAATATTTACATTTTTAGTTCATGAAAGGCAAACAGAAAAAAAATTGAAAATCTAGTTACTGAAATTATACTTGAAGACTAAGCTTCCTCCCCCTTCAGCCCAGCATCCGAATCCTCCCTCTGTTCACTCTCAATGACTTCCCTTCAAAGAACTGCTTGGAATGTGACCGATTTTTCTAAGTCCTCATCTCTCAGTGGGAGATTCTCCACCTAACTGTATCTGGTTGGCCATCTTGGCTCCCCTTCTATGTTACCTTTATGAAACACGCTAACTGATTTCCACAACTTACTGAATTTTAGAACATAGTTGATGAAAATCTTGTGTGTCTGATTCCTTCTGTTTTGAGAAATATATTTATGTATTAGTCCATTCTCACATTGTTGTAAAAAAAAATCTGATACTGAGTAATTTATTTTAAAAAGAGGTTTAATTGGCTCACAATTCTGCAGGCTGTACAAAAAGCATAGCTGCATGTGCTTCTGGGGGAGCCTCAGGAAGCTTCCAATTATGGCAAAAGGCAAAGGGGAAGCAGGCATGTCACATGGCAAAAGCAGGAGCAAGATGGAGTGAGGAGGGATGAGGAGGGAGAGCTACACACTTTTAAATCACTAGATCTTATGAGAACTCACTCACTATCATGAGGACAGTACCAAGAGGGACGATGCTAAATCATATATGAGAAAACTGCCCTCATAATCTAATCACTTTCCACCAGGTACCACCTCCAACATTGGAGACTGCATTTCAATATGAGATTTGGGTAGGGACACACATCCAAACTATATCAACTTAGGTAGAGAAAGTAATAATTGCTCACATCTTTATACTAATTACACTTATATAATGTAATTAAATATTACATGAATTAATAAAAGATTAGTGTAAAGGGGCATTTTTGAAGTCTTTGAAAAGAATTGAGAAAAACAAATGAATAAAGTGATGTTAGCAAAATAGCTGTTTAGGAAGCCTCCTAGGCCTTGTTCCCTCATAAAAACATTAAAAGATTAATTAATTAAAACAGAAATTGGCTGGGAAAACCTTACAGGAGCTATGAAAAACAGTCAAAGTTTTATAGTAATCAAGTGAATACCCAATCAAGAAAAAAAACCCATATTCTAGATGGTAAATAACTTCGTGCCATTTCTATTCTCAATTGCCCCATCCACTTTGGGCATGATACAATCTTGGTCTGGAGAAGGTGGAAGTCCAATTACTAATTCCTAGCCTTAAACTGGAGGGAACAGAGCAGACCTTATGTGAAGTTCCTGTCTAAGAACTGCCTGAAGACTAGTCTCTATCTCACCTAGCTTAGATATCAGGCAGGGAAAAGCAGCAGTCAATCGTCATGAAAGTTCCAGGGAAACTATAGATCCACAGGTCTCTGGGGCATGAGATTAGATGGATATATATATAATATACCATTTAAACTCAGGAGAAGCTGAGGCAAAACCTTTGAGAAATTAAGGCATTTTAAAACAAATGTGTAAAAGGGAAAATGAAAAACAACTGACACACTGGCCCAGGCAAGAGGTATATTCAGAAAATACTTAAAAAGGTCTTAAGATGTCACCTTGAGCTGACCTCTAAGCTCAGAATTTTTTCAGCTAATCAGAAAGGATAGCCACAACACAGAACCATTCTACAAAGACTGGAGGAAGGGGCTATTTTTCTGAATTACCAAATTTTGTTTATTTAATGTCATGGGATACACAGAAATAGGAAAGCATAAATCATGACATTTGGTTTGGCAATAATTTTTGGATATAACAAAAAACCACAGGCAACAAAATAAAAAATAGATAAATTAAATTTCAACAAAATTAAAAACTTTTGTTCCTCAAAAGATACTATCCACAGAGTTAAAAGGCATCCCACAGAGTGTAAAAAATTTGCAGTTGTATATTTAATAGAGGTAATTGTCAGAACATATAATATTTTACAACAAAAAGCACACAAAAATTAAAGTGTGCTTCAATCGTCATTTCTTCAATGGTTGTGTACAAAAGGTCAATAAGCATAAGAAAAAATACAAAACAAACTTCATCCTTACAAAAGTGAAAATCAAAACCACACTATAATACCACTTGTCACCCATTTGGATGGCTATTATAAAATACACAAAAACAGAAAATAACAAGTGTTGGCAAAACTGTGGAGAAACTGGAATTTTTTGCACATTGATGGAAATGTAAATGGTGTAGCCACTGTGAAAACATATGGTTATTCTACAGAAAGTTAAACATAGAAATAACATGATCTAGCAATTCCACTTCTAGGTATGTATATAAAAGAACTGAAGGCAGAAGGTTGAAAAGATATTTCTACATCCATATTCATAAGCAGCTTTATCCATGGTATCCAAAAGATGGAAGCAACATAAGTGTCCATGAGTGATGGATAAACAAAATGAGTTATATGCATACAATGGAATATTATTCAGACTTTAAAAGCATGAAATTCTAACCCATGCTACAACATCAAATCTGTTAGAGACAGAAAGTAAAGCGGTGGTTACCAGGTCTGGAGGGAGGGTATAATGAGAAGGAATTGATTAGTGAGTACAGAGATTCAGTTTTGGATGATAAAAATGTTCTGGAGTTGGATGATGGTGATAATTGTACAACATTGTGAATGGATTTAACGCCACTGAACTTTACACTTGCCAAATGTTAAAATAGTAAATTTATATTATGTATATTTTAGAACATTGAAACAGCAAAAAAAAAACAGATAAATCATTGCTCTTAAATTTCATATGAGTAAGACAACTGTAAAAAATTGAATAAAGAGTAAAAGAGTGATGCGTGCCTGTAATCCCAGCCACTTGGGAGGCTGAGGCACGAGAATCACTTGAACCCGTGAGGTGGAGGTTGCAGTGAGCCAAGATCGTGCCACTGCACTCCAGCCTGGGTGACAGAGCAAGACTCTGTCTCAAAAGAAAAAAAAAAGAAAAAGAGTGCAAAAGTTTTACATTCTTAGTGTTATAAGTTGTCTTTAAGATCTTAGTCTATTAAAGGAAAAATAAAACAAACACTAAAAATAGTAGATCATTCAATATCAATATGGTAATGCAAGAAAGTAAGTGAAAAAATATTAAAACAAAATAAAGACATCAGTGAAAAGAGTGAGGAAACTTAACTAAGAAGTTGGGTTTATTTAGTAGTATGTTAATAATCTTAATTTTCTGATTTCTGTAATTTTTCGTGGTTATGTAAGATTTTAGCATTAAAGTAAGTGGGTCAGGGATTTATGGGCTCTTTATTCTTTTGAAATTCTCTCTGTGTCTAAAATAAACCTAAATTAAATATTTAAAAAATTACTAATAAATATATATGTAATTTATATGTTTCTTATACATACATACCAATCTTTGGCCTTGTTAATGTTTCAACAGGATAAAATAGAATAAATTCAGATCTGTGCTTCTAAGACTTATGGATTTTGAGAGCCAAAGGTTTATACTCACAAACTGGGGGACTAAAATAGTGCAGCTAATTTTTAATTTTAATTTTTAATTTTGTCAAGTTAAGCTATTTAAAAATATCAAGAACTCTTTCAGCCAAGAAAAAATATTTCAAAACAAATTATGAAGAATAAAATATCACAATAAAAGACAGTTCTTAATATTCTAAGTACTCATTGTAGACAATTTCAAACATATTTAAAAGTAGAAAAATAATAGTTTAATGAACCTCCGTGTATCCATCCCAAGCTTCAATGTTTCTCATCTAATAGACAATATTGTTTCATCTATATCCATCATAAGTATCCTATTCTTAATTCTAATGGATATTTTGAAGAAGGTACTAGATATTACATCATATCATTCATAAATATTTTGCTCATATATCTAAAAGATAAGGACTCATGTTTATCATCTAATAGACAATCTTGTTTCATCTATATCCATCATTAAGTATCCTATTTTTAATTCTAATGGATATTTTGAAGAAGGTACTAGATATTACATCCTATCATTCATAAATATTTTGCATATATATCTAAAAGATAATAACTCATATTAAAAGCATACTATAATACCATTCTCACTTAAAACAATAATTCCTCATTGTAAACTATCCAATTAGTTTTCAAATTTCTTCAATTATCTTATTAGTTTTTTCTTTTAATTTGCAATTGTCCAAATTATGAGCTAAATAAGGTCTACACATTTTAGTTGATTAATGTGTCTCTTAAGTCTTATTTAATTTATATATTTTCTTCTCAATCTCTTATATTTTCCTTTGAAATTTATATGTTAAAATATCTTTTCATTTGCCATAGAGATTTTCCCTCATTCTGAGTATCTTTGCTGTCATTTAACATGTTCTTCATTCCATCATATTTCCTACATGCTATTAATTGAATCTAGAGAACTGATCAGATACAGGGTCAAATTTTTGGTAAGGATACTTTATAGATGGGTCTATATATGGATCTATATATTTGTATTAAATATTCATAATGTCTAAATGCCTCTACCTTTTGTGGTGTTAAAATTAATCAGTGGTTTTTAGGTGTCATTAGTTTGATTTATTCCTCATAAAGCTACACAGCAGCTTTTCACATAATGGTTTTCTCAGGAATGTATAATTGTTGCCTAGATCCATTCTTTTTCATCAAGGTTTGCAAAGTGTTAATTTTCTTTTTCTTTTTCTTTCCTTTTTTTTTTTTCCTTTGAGACATAGTTTCTCTCTGTTGGCCAAGTTGGAGCGCATTGGAGTGACCTCAGATCACTGCAACCTCTATTTCCCGGGCTCAAGCAATTATTGTGCCTCAGACTCCCAAGTAGCTGGGATTACAGGTGCATGCCACCGTGTTTGGCTAATTTTTTTTTTTTTTTTTTTTTTTTTTTTTTGGGATTACAGGTGCATGCCACCGTGTTTGGCTAATTTTTTTTTTTTTTTTTTTTTTTTTAGTAGACATGGGGTTTCGACTTTAGTAGACATGGGGTTTCGCCACGTTGGCCAGGTTGGTCTCGAGCTCCTGGCCTCAGGTGATCCACCTGTCTCACCCTCCCAAAGTGCTGGGATTACAGGCGTGGGCTACTGTGTCCAGTCATATTTTTCTACTTTATCATTTTTCCTTTGATTATATATATACATTCACTTTTTAAGAAAACTTTATCCCCTGGCTAACACAGTGAAACCCCGTCTCTACTAAAAATACAAAAACATAGCCGGCCTGGTGGCAGGCGCCTATAGTCCCAGCTACTCTGGAGGCTGAGGCAGGAGAATGGCGTGAACCTGGAAGGCGGAGCTTGCAGTGAGCCGAGATCGCGCCACTGCACTCCAGCCTGGGTGACAGAGCGAGACTCCGTCTCAAAAAAAACAAAAACAAAAACAAACAAACAAACAAACCAAAAAAACAACTTTCTCTCATCAACTCTTCAATACATTAACCTGAGATATACTTTATTCAGTCAAAATATGATAAATGCTTTGTGAGAATCATGGGTTGGTTCCCTGGCATCTTTCAAAGTTAACCAATGAGTTTTAAAAAAATACTATAAAATCACAGATTTTAACATAATTAATGTGTCAGAATCTACTGAGTTATTTTTCCTTTATTTAGGATTATACGGTTTTGTTTATTTTCATTGATTTTTATATTTCTAAGTCTTTCATACTGAAAATCTTAAATGTTCATGACAATAATATAAATATTTTGGTTTATGTTTGCTGTGGTTTGAATGTGTCTCTCAATGATCATGTGCTGTAAACTTAGTCCCTAATAGAACAGTATCGGGAGGTGAAGTCCAATAGGAGGGACTGTGATGACAGTTCTACTCTATTGATTGGATTAATGTCATCATCACAGGAGTAGGTTAGTTATTCCAAGAATGGGCTTTTTATAAAAGCAAATCTAGCCTCCTTTTTCTTTCTCGTGCTCTCTTGTCCTTCCACATTCTGCCATGAAATGACACAGCAAGACTCCCCTCACCAAATGCAGACCCCCTGACCTTGGACTTTCCAGCCTCCAGAATTATAAGAAATAAATTTCTTTTCAGAAAAAATAAATTACTCAGGCTGTGGCAGTGTGTAATAGCAACACAAAATAAATTAAGACAATGTGACTTTCAGAATAACAATTGCAATATTATTGCTAATCATATAATTACTAAAACAGATTATTGTTTTGTTATTTTTGACCTTGAGATATATGTCACTGGGGATTTACTGATAAATTACTTTGTTTTTAAGTTTCTTGAAATAAGTTTTCTTGTGTCTTTAGGATAGACCTCACTGAGAATGTACTGCCAAATCACTATATTTTAAAGTTACTTGAAAGATGTTCTCTCTGCATAGTTGAAGTACTGAATGCATTTATTAATTTAATTTGCTCTCAAATTTTACATTTTTTATTTTGTTTTTGTATAATTAGTTAAAATATTTAGATGGCTTAGAAAACCATTCTACATTCTGTAGGTTGCCTGTTCACTCTGATGGTAGTTTCTTTTGCTGTGCAGAAGCTCTTTAGTTTAATTAGATCCCAGTTGTCAATTTTGGCTTTTGTTGCCATTGCTTTTGGCGTTTTAGTCATGAAGTCCTTGCCCATGCCTATGGCCTGAATGGTATTGCCTAGGTTTTCTTCTAGGTTTTTTATGGTTTTAGGACTAACATTTAAGTCTTATCCATCTTGAATTAATTTTTGTATAAGGTGTAAGGAAGGGATCCAGTTTCATCTTTCTACATATGGCTAGCCAGTTTTCCCAGCACCATTTACTAAGTAGGGAAACCTTTCCTCATTTCTTGTTTTTGTCAAGTTTGTCAAAGATCTGATGGTTGTAGATGTGTGGTATTATTTCCAGGGGCTCTATTCTGTTCCGTTGGTCTATATCTCTGTTTTAGTACCAGTACCATGCTGTTTTGGTTACTGTAACCTTGTAGTATAGTTTGAAGTCAGGTAGCATGATGCCTCCAGCTTTGTTCTTTTGGCTTACAATCTACCCATCTGACAAAGGGCTAATATGAAGAATCTACAAAGAACTTAAACAAATTTACAAGAAAAAAATCAAACAACCTCATCAAAAAGTGGGTGAAGGATATGAACAGACACTTCTCAAAAGACATTTATGCAGCCAACAGACACATGAAAAAATGCTCATCATCACTGGCCATCAGAGAAATGAAAATCAAAACCACAATGAGATACCATCTCACACCAGTTAAAATGGTAATCACTAAAAAGTCAGGAAACAACAGACGCTGGGGAGGATGTGGAGAAATAGGAACGCTTTTACACCGTTGGTGGGACTGTAAACTAGTTCAACCATTGTGGAAGACAGTGTGGTGATTCCTCAAGGATCTAGAACTACAAATACCATTTGACCCAGCCATTCCATTACTGGGCATATACCCAAAGGATTATAAATCATGCTGCTATAAAGACACATGCACTCGTATGTTTATTATGGAACTATTCACAACAGCAAAGACTTGGAACCAACCCAAATGTCCATCAGTGGTAGACTGGATTAAGAAAATGTGGCACATATACACCATGGAATACTATGCAACCATAAAAAGGATGAGTTCATGTCCTTTGCAGGGACATGGATGAAGCTGGAAACCATCATTCTGAGCAAACTATCACACGGACAGAAAACCAAACACCGCATGTTCTCACTCATAGGTGGGAACTGAACAATGAGAACACTTGGACACAGAGTGGGGAACATCACACACCGGGGCCTGTCGTGTGGTGTGGGGAGGGAAGAGGGATAGCATTAGGAGATATACCTAATGTAAATGACAAGTTAACGGGTGCAGCACACCAACATGGCACATGTATACATATGTAACAAACCTGCACATTGTGCACATGTACCCTAGAACTTAAAGTATAATTAAAAAAAAATACAAAAAAGAAAAGAAAACCATTCTACAAAACATATTCAAAGAAGTCTACTATCCAGCTGCTTTTCTGCTCCCAATTTTCTCCTATCAGTTACCTTATTTTTTTAACATTTTAAACATAAGGGAATGCATATATCATACCTTTCTTTCTTAGATAAATGATCACATACTATATAGAATTATCTCCACCTTACTTTGTTTGCTTAACAATGTATCCTGGAGATTCTCTCATAGCAATACATAGAAACAGACTGCCTTCTCTTTATGGTAATATTATACACCCATTTTGTGTGTATGTACCATAGTTTCTTCTATCACCCAAGAGTAGTCATTTAAATGCAATCAATTTACACCATGGAAACATATTACACTTTTCTTATTTTGGAGATTTCACATGAGAAACTTTCCTCATAGATGAGCAGTGAGTTGGGAATCAGGATATAAGAATTAGTAGTAAGACTGCTTCTCTCTCTGAATTTAGGAAGCTGAATTTTTTTCACCTCTTATTTCTATTTTTTTATTGTTAAAAATTTATGGGGTACATGTGAAATTTTGTTACATATATACAATAAGTGGTGGTCAAGTAAGTCTGCTTAGTGTATCCATCATCTGAATACAATACATTTCTGTGAACTGTAGTCACCCTAACCTGCTATCAAACACATTTCATATAGTCCTTTTATGTTTTAAGAGACTCAAGCTGCTCGACTAAACCTGTGCTTTCCAAATAGGTGGTAGTAATCCACGTAAGAAGTGGTAAATGGGTAGAGAGTGAAATGATTTACTAAGGAGTACAAACATCAAAAGTTTAGTCCATTATTTGGCATGCTTTTTGATTGCGGTACAATATACATAACAGCTGCCATTTTAGACATTTTAAGTGGGCAGTTCTGGGGCATTGAATACATTCACACTTTGTTCAACCATATGCACTAGCCTCAGAACTAGTGCAAAACATTTTCAGAACTTTTACATCTTTACAAACAAAAAGAAATCCATACCCATTAAACAATAACAGTCCATTTCTCCACAATCACCAGCCCCTGACAACCACACTTCTACTTTCTGTCTTTATGAATTTGACTACTTTAAGTACTTTATATCATTGGATTTATACAATATGTGTCATCTTGTGACGGGTTTGTTTTATATTTCACTTAGCAAAATGTCTTCAAAGTTATTCAAGGTATAGTGTATGTCAGAATTCATCGTTCAATTCATAATAAAGATGAATATCATTCTATCTTATGTATAAACATCTTGTTAATCCATTCATCTGTCAACAGACACTCAAATTGCTTTCTTATTGTGGCTATTGTGAATAATGTTGCCGTGAACATGGGTATACAAATGTGTTTGAGTCCCTGCTTTAGATACTTTAGCATATATACCTAGAAGTGAAGTTGTTACATCATATGATAATTAGATGTTTACTCTTTAGAAACCACCATGTCAGTTTCACAGTGGTTGCACCAATGTACATTCCTTACAGCAATACACAAGGCTTCTAATTTATTCACACTCTTTTTCAATACTTGTTATTGTTTGTATTTTTTGATACAACACATTTTAATGGGTGTAAAGTGATATTTATTTGTGAATATGATTTGTGTTTCCCTAAGATTACTGATTATAGGTATCTTTAAATGTACTTAACGACTATTTGTATACCTTCTTTGGAGAAATGTCTGTTCAAGTACTTTGCACATTTGTAATATCAGGTTGTTGTTGTTGTTATTGAATTGTAGGTGTTCTCTATATATTCTGAATATTAATTGATTCACAAATACAAAATACAAAATACAAAAATTAGCTGGGTGTGGTGGCATGTGTCTGTAATCCCAGCTACTCGGGAGGCTGAGGCAGGAGAATTGCTTGAACCCAGGAGGCGGAGGTTGCAGTGAGCCGAGATCGTGCCATGGCACTCCAGCTTGGGCGACCAAGTGAGACTCCATTTAAAAAAAAAAAAAAAGAAAGAAAGAAAGAAAGAAAAAGAAGAACCTAATAATTTCATAAAATAATGGGCAAAAGATTTGAATAGACATTTCTCAAAAGAAGACATACAAACGGCAAACAGACATATGAAAATGTGCTCAACATCATTGATCATCGGAGAAATGTACATCTAAACTACAGTGAGATATCATCTCACCCCAGTCAAAATGCCTTATATTATTATTATTATTATATCCAGATGTCAGGCAATAACAAAAGCTGGCAAGGATGTGGAGAAAAGGAAACCCCTGTACACTGTTGGTGGAAATGTAAATTAATAAAACCACTATGAAGAACAGTTTAGAGATTACTCAAAAAATTAAAAATTGAGCTACCATATGATCCAGCAATTCCACTGCTGGGTATATACCCAAAAGAAAGGAAATCAGTATACCAAAGAAATATATGCACTCCCATGTTTGTTGCAGCACTGTTCACAATGGTCAAGATTTGGAAGTAACCCAAGACTTCATCAACAGATGAATGCATAAAGAAAATGTGGTACATATACACAATGTAGTACTATTCCTCCATGAAAAAGAATGAGATCCTGTCATTTACAACAACAAGAATAGAATTGTAGGTGATTATGTTAAGTGAAATAAGCCAGGAACAGAAAGACAAACCTCACATATTCTCTCTTATTTGTGGAATCTAAAAATCAAAAGAGTTGAATTAATGGAGATAGAGGGTAGAATGATGGCTACTAGAGGATGGAAAGGGTAGTGGGCAGTGGGCAGGAGGGAGGGGGGAATGGTTAATGGGTACAAAAAATAGAAGGAATGAATAAGACCTACTATTTGATAGCACAACTGGGGGACCATAGTCATTAATAATTTAATTTTACATTTTAAAATGACTAAGAGTATAATTGAATTGTTTGTGATTTTGTTATTATTCACTGCAGCCCTGTACCAAAGTATCTCATGTAACCCATAAATATGCACCCCTACTGTGTACCCACAATGTTTTTTAAATAAAATGATTATTATCCCTCCCATCTTCTAGCTATGTTACCTTTGTCAAAAACCAAGGGCCCAGAGGTCTGTTTATGACTTTTCTGGATTCTCTTTTCTTAACTATGTATCCATATGCCAACAACACACTGCTTTTATTTCTATATCCTTATAATAAATTTCAATGTTGGGTGATGTATATCAGTTAACTTGTAGTACTTCAAAATTCTCCTGGACCAGCATGGTTCTTTCTGGTTTTGTACACATTGTAGAATAATTTTCTCAATTTTCATGCAGAAATTAATAGAATTTTGATTGAGATTGTATTGAACTTAAATATCATTATGGGACATTGAATTTTAGCAAGACAGCCTGGATTAGAGTTCTGTTTCTGACACTTTTGATAATGAAAAGTGAAACACTTTGTACTTTATTCTAAAAAATAATAGATACTCTCTGCTATCTTAGCATTTTTGTGAGGATTAAATATTATGGTCTAAGTAAAGTGCTTAGCAAAATACATTGTACATAGTAACCACTCAACAAATGGGTAAAATTAAGCTGAAAATATTCATAAGTTTCTTTTAAAATATCTAAATATTGGTTAAGGGAGTAGATCTCAGGGGAGGGCTTCCAGAAGGCTGATTAAAGTCATCTTGTATTCACCTCCTCCACCAAGGAAAACCAAAGTAGTATGTAGTTAATCATACTTTGAAGAGGCCATCCAAGAGAAAACACTGGAATTCAACAGAAAATTGACAGGAAAATGTAAAATGGGAAGAAAAAGAAAGTGAGACTTCCTGCTCAGTCAGGATCAGCTGGGAGCCTAAGGAGACTTCCCCATGCAGGGAAAGGGTGAGTGATAGACCCCCAGTAGTCCATATTCTCATGAAACATGCTTGCATTCCTAGCCACTGGAGAGCCCCCAGACGCTCATGGGCCCTGTAACTAACATACAGAGCTAACTGGAGATTGTGCAATGGCATTGCTCCAGGGAAGCAGCTTGTGGAGGGTCCCACCCCTTCCTTTGTTATAAGCAGCTGCAGATGCTATTTTACAGGCCCAGCCCACAACAGACCGAACACTGTCCTGGGTCCCAGCATGAGCTACTGCTGCGTTGGGGCTGACACAGAAATGAAGTGTGAACTGCCACCGCTGTACTGAAGTGTGAGGAGGGTGTGTTTTCCCCACTTGCCAGACTAGGCTATCTTTCTACTGAAGGTAGCCCCACCTTCCCCAGTAAAAGGGCTACAGTGTAGCAACTACCAGTCTCACCCAAACATTGTTCTGGGTGTCTGGGTATTACCCCACCCCTGTCTACCATGGTAGGCACCTGTATGCAACAGTATTGAGCCTGAGGACAAATCTGCTCAGCCATTTTGTCAAATACTTTATTTGTGTCTATTGAGATAATCATGTGATTTTTGTTTTTAATTCTGTGTATGTAGAGTACCACATTTATTGGCTTATGTATGTTAAACCATCCCTGCATCCCTGGTATGAAACCCACTTGATCATAGTGGATTATCTTTTTCATATGCTGTTGGATTCGCTTTGCTAGAATTTTCTTGAGGATTTTTGCATCTATGTTTATCAGGGATATTGGCCTGCGGTTTTCTTTTTTAATTATGTTCTTTCCTGGTTTTGGTATTAGGGTGACACCAGTTTCATAGAATGATTCAGGGAGGATTCTCTTTTCCTCTTTCTTTTGAAATAGTGTTCATATGACTGGTACCAATTATCCTTTGAATTTCTGATATAATTCAGTTGTGAATCCATCTGGTCCTGGACTCTTTTTTTGTTGTTGGCAATTTTTTTATTACCATTCAATCTCACTGCTTCTGCTTGTTATTAGTCTGTTCAGATATTCTATATCTTTCTTGTTTAATCTAGGAGAGCTGTATATTTCCAGGAATTTATCCATTTCCTCTAAGTTTTCTAGTTTATGCACATAAAGGTGTTCATAGTAACCTTGATAATCTTTTGTCTTTGTGTGGTATCAGCTTTAATGTCTTCCATTTCATTTCTAATTGAGCTTATTTGGATCTTCTCTCTTCTTTTCCTGACTAATCTCATTAATGATCTATCAATTTTATTTATCTTTTCAAAGAACCAGTTTTTAGTTTCATTTATTTCTTGTATTTTTTTGTTTTAATTTCATTTAGTTCTGATCTGATCTTCGTTATTCCTTTTCTTCTGCTGGCTTTAGTTTTGGATTTTTTTTGTTTCTCTAGTTTCATGAGGTGTGACCTTAGACTGTCTGTTTGTGCTCTTTCAGACTTTTTGATGTAGGTGCTTATGCTATGAACTTTCCTCTTACCATCTTGATTTCATTGTTGACCCAACAAACATTTAGAAGCAGGTTATTTGATTTCCATATATTTTCGTGGTTATAAGCATTTGTTTTGGAGTTCACTTTCAATTTTATCCCATTGTGGTCTGAGAGAGTACTTGATATAATTTTGATTATCTTAAATTTACTGAGAATTGTTTTGTGGCCTAACATATGGTCTAACTTGGACAATGGTCCAGCAAATGCAACAAAGAGAGACAAAAAGATGGGACTTAATTAAACTAAAAAGCTTCTACAAAGCAAAAAAAAAAAAAACAAAACAAAAAAACCCCCTAATAATCAGCAGAGTTAACAGACAACCCACAGAGTGAGAGAAAATCTTCACAATCTATACATCCAAAAACGTATTATTATCCAGAATCTACAAATAAACAAATCAGCAAGAAAAAAAAACAAGCAATCCCATCAAAAAGTGGGATAAGGACATGAATAAACAATTCTAGAAAGAAGACATACAAATGTCCAACAAGCATATGGTTAAACGCTGAGTATCAAAAATTATCAGGGAAATGCAAATCAAAACCACCATGAGATACCACCTTACTCCTGCAAGAATGGCCATAATCAAAAAATTAAAAAAATAATAGATGTTGGTGGGGATGTGGTGAAAAGTGAACACCTTTACATTGTTAGTAGGTATGTAAACTAGCACAACCACTATGGAAAACAGTGTAGAGATTCCTTAAATAACAAAAAGTGGATCTACTGTTTGATCCAGCAATCCCACTACTAGGTATCTACCCAGAGGAAAGTAAGTCATTATATGAAAAAGATACTTGCACACACATGTTTATAGCATCACAATTCGCAATTGCAAAAATATGAAACAAGCCCAAATGTCCATCATTCAATGAGTAGATTAAGAAATTGTTGTATATATGTACAATGAAGTGCCACTCAGCCATGAAAGGAACAAGTTAATGGCATTTGCAGCAACCTGGATGAAACTGGAGAATATTATTCTAAGTGAAGCAACTCAGGAATGGAAAACCAAATATCATATGTTCTTAGTCATAAGTGGGAGCTAAGCTATGAGGATGCAAAAGCATAAGAATAATACCTTGGACTTTGGAGACTCGGGGAAAAGGCTGGGGTGTTGTGAGGGATAAAAGACTACACATTGGGTACAGTGTACACTGCTCAGGTGATGGGTGCACCGAAATCTCAGAAATCACCACTAAATAACTTATTCATGTAATCAAACACCAACTGTCCACCAAAAACCTATTGAAGTAAAAAAAAAATTTAAAAAAGAAACTAAAAATAGAACTACCATACCATTCAGCAATCTCAGTACTGAGTACTTATTCAAAGGAAAGATATCACTATACCAAAGGTATAGCTGCACACACGTTTGTCACAGCATTACTAATAGCAAAGTTGTAGAATCAAACTAAGTGTTCACCAAGGGATGAATGAATAAAGAAAATGTGATATATATATATATATATATATACACGCACACAATTAAATATTATTTGAGCATAAAGATGAATAAAATAATGTCATTTGCAGCAACATTGATGGAATTGGAGGTCATTAAGTTAAATGAAATACGCCAGCCACAGAAAGACAAACATTGCGTGTTTTTCCATACATGCAGGAGCAAAAAAAGTTGACTTCTTGGAGATAGAGTATAGAATGATAGATACCAAAGACTGGGAAGAGTGTTTGGGTGAGAGGGGGGGATAAAAGTAAGTCAGTTACTAGGTACAGACATGCATTTATATAGAAGAAATAAGTTCTAATGTTCAATAGCATAATAGGTTGATTATAGTTGGCAACAACATATTTTATACTTCAAAGTAGCTGGAAGAGAGGACTTGAAATATTCCCAATAAATAGAAAAAATAAATACTTAAGTTTACGAATATCCCAAATACCTTGGCTTGATTATCACATATTCTATGCATGTAATATATACTCACATGTACCCCATGAATACATTATCAACAAAAATATTTAAATCTCGATTTTAAAGAAGCATATTTCAGACTTACAAATTGTGAGTCATATTCATGTGTATCATACATATTTATGTGCCATCTAAAAGTTACCAAATTAACATTTTTAAAACATCCTTTAAAGTAAAATATTTTGCATATCTAATTTCAGCAACGACAAAATAAGAGCTTGAATGTACATGACCCAATTATCAGGGATTTTTTTTTCTTAGGGCAAATCATAATTTATCATATGATAAAATAACATGAGTGGTAAACTCCAATGCAGTGGCAGAGATTTTCACATTAATTTGTTTATTTATGACAAATAAATATTTTTTACTTACTCTGGAGGAAAATTTTTTATTACATACTCATGCTTTATACTAATTATAATATTAAACATTAAATTATTCTTAACAATTTCTTAGTAATTTTTAACCCATACTTCTTGCCCAAAACTTTTTCAATGTGTACAAAGAAAGCTGACTTTAGTTCTGTGAATTGACTTATTTCAAGAAATTGTCGTTTATATTCATATTAACAAATCAACCATGAGGTGAAACAAAAATGAGACAATGCAAAAATTAGATTTGAACAATTCCATCTGAAAATCCACACTGCTTTAGATGCAAATCTAAGCTTCAGTAAATATAAGGCCAAAGTTGTCACTAAAATTCATGTTCATTAGGTAATAAATACTCATAAAGCAAGTTTAGTCATTAATACTAAAATAGTATCAAAAATGAATATTAGAAAGAAAAGTAAGGCTATTTAAAAAGGAGGGAGGGAAGAAAAGTAGATACAAGATATGCTTCTTTAGCTCTCCTTTTTAAAAAATATTAAAACTCTTATCTATACCAAACTGACAAAAAAAACCAAATTTCTAAATTCTAAAAATAAACATTAACCTTTCTTTTTTTTAAGTTATAGATATTAAAATCACATAAAAATGAATTTGAATCTAGTTTTTAGTTACAGTAAAAACATCTACAAGTCTACTTAAGTAAATTCAATCATGACAGCACAAAAATAAGTTTAATTATATAGCATTTCAACTACTGCAGACCTGCAGAGAACACATAAATATTCTATACATTGTTAATGAAAGAAAATCACACTAGGTTCTGACAACAGTGAAAGAAAATGAACTCAATTGCTTTGAACAAACAGAAGTGAAATGCTGGGAAATTCATTCTCTTTGCATACAAAATTATTTTCAATATTGTAAACTACAATTAGGGTCCCATTTTATCTATGAAACTTATCTGGACCACTCCAGCTATTCCTTCTCTAGATCCTTAGAGCATTTACTGTCAGTGCCACTCACTTTCCACATTTTTGCATGCTTTCCTTCAATGTAATTTGTATATTTTTTATGTTATAATATTTTGGAGATGGAGATCTTTCCTCTAAACTTTTCATGTATTCTTTTCTTGACAAGCCAATTGTAAGTATTTTAAAGAGAAACATTTTTTCAAAATTTAAATTGTTGTTTCAGTAGTTAATATATACATATGTGTAAAAAAATTAAAATATTACAAACGGTTTCAAGGTGACAGGTGAGTTTCCTTTTCTCTCTTTTTATTTGTCTTAGCCCCAATGATCTTTCCAACCCAATGTTCAGCAAACAGTACTTAATTTTCTTATGTTTCCTGTTGGAGATATTTGCAATACTTGTTGCATAGACAAGCACAAAAATAATGTATAATATGCTGCATATTAATATATGTCTTTTAAATATACACATATCCACTTGTCTACACACACACACACACACACATACATATCCAGTTTAAACACAAAAGGTGGCATACTATACACAATGTTATAGTTCTTTATATTCTGCTTATTGTCTTCCATGCTTCCTAAAAAGTATTAAAGAATGTAGGTTGACTACCTGATTAATTGGAATAATGAGTTTGAGAATTAGCTATGGAAGGGAAAGACTTTTAACTTAAGAAAATGACATTTTAAGTTTACCTAATTTATACTTGTCATCTGAAACTTCTTAATTTGAATATTATGCATAGTGAATTTTGTAGGGTAAAAATGTTTTAAAGCTACCTTATATTGAAACAAATAATAAATTTTGATGGCAATATCATGGGGTCACTTTCCCGATGAGACCTATTGGTTTTATTCATAAGTTATAAGTTTATTCTGACAGTACAAACAATTTTGGTGGCAGTAGAAACATATTTATTTTGAATAAGTTATTTCAACATTTCTTTATGTAAATGCTCTATACTTAACATTTGTTTCTCTAGGTTTTGTGTGACCACATTGTTTAGAACTTGGTTAATTTGTAACATAAGACAAATGTGAAAATCTGGCCATCATTAGAGTTGAGGTTTATTTTGTAGTGTTTGTTTTTATTAATATTAACAAACAGTACAGTATAACTTAAATTAGTTTATGCTCAAAAATTAATTTTTCCCAAAAAGCAAAATCACAGGTAGAGTCAAAGACCTAAGTTCCGCATAAGCATTTGCTTGCCTGAAATCAATAAAGTAGGTTAAAAAGTTTAGCCTTGCTGTTGGCAAGATGGCCGAATAGGAACAGCTCTGGTCTGCAGCTCTCAGCGAGACCAATGCAGAAGATGGGTGATTTTGGCATTTCCAACTGAGTGGCACCTGGAACCCCAGTGAGACAGAACCATTCACTCCCCTGAAAGGGGGCTGAAGCCTGGGAACCAAGTGGTCTTGCTCAGCGGGACCCACTCCCACAGAGCCAAGCAAGCTAAGAACCACTGGCTTGAAATTCTCCCTGCCAGCACAGCAGTCTGAAATTCATCTGGGATGATAGAGCTTGGTGCGGGGAGGGGCATCCACCATTACTGAGGATTGAGTAGGTGGTTTACCCCCTCACAGTGCTAAGGACTGGGGGGAACTCAACACAGCGCAGCAAAAGGGCTGTAGCCAGACTGCCTCTCTAGATTCCTCTTCACTGGGCAGGACCTCTCTGAAAGAAAGGCAGCAGCCCCACTCAGGGGCTTATAGATAAAACTCCCATTTCACTGGGACAGAGCACCTAGGGGAAGGGGTGGCTGTGGGCTTAGCTTCAGCAGACTTAAATGTTCCATTCCTGCCTGCCAGCTGTGAAGAAAGCAGTGGATCCTGACAAGGAGGGTTCTACCAGCACAGCACTGGAGCTCTGCTAAGGGACAGACTGCCTCCTCAAGTGGGTCCCTAACTCCCATGCCTCCTGACTGGGAGAGACCTCCCAACAGGGGTTGACAGACATCTCACACAGGAGATCTCCAGCTGGCATCAGGCCAGTGCCCCTCTGGGATGAAAATTCCAAAGGAAGGAGTAGGCATCAATCTTTGCTGTTCTCCAGCCTCCACTGGTGATACCCAGCCAAAAAGTGTCTGGAGTTGACCTCCAGCAAACTGCAGCAGACCTGCAGCAGAGGGGCCTGACTGTTAGAAGGAAAACTAACAAACAGAAAGCAATAACATCAACATCAACAAAAAGAACCCCCACATAGAAACCCCATCCAAAGATCATCAACCTCAAAAATCAAAGGTAGATAAATCCATAAAGATGAGGAAAAACCTGGGCAAAAATGCTGAAAATTCCAAAAACCAGAAGGCCTCTTAATAGCAAACTCCTCTGAGCTAAAGGTGCATGTTCTAATTCAATGCAAGGAAGCTAAGATCCTTGACAAAAGGTTACAAGAACTGCTAACTAGAATAACCAGTTTAGTGAAGAACATAAATGACTTGATGGAGCTGAAAGACACAGCACGAGGAAAGTGAAGGGGAGAATGGAACCAAGTTGGAAAACACACTTCAGGATATTATCCAGGAGAACTTCCCGAACCTAGCAAGACAGACCAACATTCAAATTCAGGAAATACAGGGACCACCACTGAGATACTCCTCAAAAAGAGCAACCCAAAGACACATAATCATCAGATTCTTCAAGGTTGAAATGAAGGAAAACAATGTTAAGTGCAGCCAGAGAGAAAGGTCAGGTTACCTACAAAGGGAAGCCCATCAGACTAATGGCGAATCACTCTGGAGAAACCCTACAAGCCAGAAGAGAGTGGGGGCCAATATTCAACATTCTTAAAGAAAAGAATTTCAACCCAGAATTTTATATCCAGCCAAACTAAGTTTGATAAGTGAAGGGAAAATAAAATCCTTTACAGACAAGAAAACACTGAGAGATTTTGTCACCACCAGGCTCCTGAAGGAAGCACTAAATATGGAATACAAGAGCTCCTGAAGGAAGCACTAAATATGGAAAGGAAAAACAAGTACCAACCACTGCAAAAACACACCAAAATATAAAGACCAATGACACTATGAAGAAACTGCATCAACTAACGTGCAAAATAACCAGCTAGCATCATGATGGAAGGATCAAATTCACACATAGCAATATGAACCTTAAATATAAATGGGCTAAATGCCCCAATTAAAAGACACTGACTGGCAAAATGAATGGAGTCAAGAGCCATAGGTGTGCCATATGCTGGAGACCCATCTCATGTGCAAAGACACACATAGGCTCAAAATAAAGAGACAGAGGAATATTTACAGAGCAAATGGAAGGAAAAAACAAAAAGCAGAGGTTGCAATCCTAGACTGATAAAACATACTTTAAACCAACAAAGATAAAAAAAGACAAAGAAGGTCATTACATAATGGTTAGGGGATCAATGCAACAAGAAGAGCTAACTATCCTAAATATATATTCACCCAATACAGGAGCACCCAGATTCATAAAGCAAGTTCTTAGAGACCTAGAAAGAGACTTAGATTCCCACACCATAATAGTTAGAGACCTTAACATCCCATTGTCAATATTAGACAGATCAACGAGACAGAACATTAACAAGTATATTTAGGACTTGAACTCAGCTCTGGACAAAGCAGAACTAACAGATATCTACAGAACTCTCCACCCCAAATCAGCAGAATATACATGCTTCTCAGCAGCACATAGCACCTATTCTAAAACTGACCACATATTTAGAAGTAAAACACTCCTCAGCAAATGCAAAAGAATGGAAATCATAACAAACAGCCTCTCAGACCACAGTGCAATCAAATTAGAGCTGAGTATTAAGAAACTCACTCAAAACTGCACAAATACCTGGAAACTGAACAACTTGCTCCTGAATGACTACTGGAAAAATAACAAAATTAAGACAGAAATAACAAAGTTCTTTGAAACCAATGAGAACAAAGAGACAATGTATCAGAATCTCTGGGACACAGCTACAGCAGTGTTAAGAGACAAATTTATAGCACTAAATGCCCACAGGAGAAAGTGGGAAAGATCTAAAATCAATACCCTAACAGCACAATTAAAAGAACTAGAGAAGCAAGAGCAAACAAATTCCAAAGCTAGCAGAAGACAAGAAATAACTAAGATCAGGTCAGAAATGGAAGAGATAAAGACACACACACAAAAACTTTCAAAAAAATCAATGAATCCAGGAGCTGGATTTTTGAAAAGAGAAACAAAATAGATAGACCGCTAGCCAGACAAATAGAGAATAAAAGAGAGAAGAATCAAATAGACAAAATAAACATAGTAAAGGGGATTTCACCAGTGAATACAAACTACCATGAGAGAATACTATAAACACCTCTAGACAAATAAACTAGAAAATCTAGAAGAAGTGGATAAATTCCTGGACACACACACCCTTCCAAGACTAAACCAGGAAGAAGTCAAATCCCTGAATAGACTAATAACAAGCTCTGAAATTGAGGCAGAAATTAATAGCCTACCAACCAAAAAATGTCCAGGACCAGACGGATTCACAGCCGAATTATACCAGAGGTACAAAGAGAAGCTGGTACCCTTTATTCTGAAACTATTCGAAACAATAGAAAAAGAGGGACTCCTCCAAACTCATTTTATGAGGCCAGCATCATTCTGATTCCAAAACCTGGCAGAGACACAACAAAAAAAGAAAATTTCAGGCCAATATTGCTGATGAATATCGATGTGAAAATCTTCAATAAAATGCTGTCAAACCGAATCCAGCAGCACATCAAAAAGCTTATCCACCACAATCAAGTCAGCTTCACCCCTGGGATGAAAGGCTGGTTCAACATGTGCAAAACAATAAACGTAATGCATCACATACACAGAACCAATGACAAAAACCACATGACTATCTCAATAGATGCAGAAAAAGCCTTTGATAGAACTCAACACCCCTTCATGCTAAAAATTCTAAATAAACTAGGCATTGATGGAACGTACCTCAAAATAATAAGAGCTATTTATGACAAACCCACAGCCAATATCATACTGAATAGGCAAAACCTGGAAGCATTCCCTTTGAAAACCGGCACAAGACAAGGGTGCCCTCTCTCACCACTCCTATTCAACATAGTATTGGAAGTTCTGGTGAGGGCAATCAGGCAAGAAAAAGAAATAAAGGGTATTTAAATAGGAAGAGAGGAAGTCAAATTGTCTCTGTTTGCAGATGACATGATTGCATATTTAGAAAGTCCCATCATCCCAGCCAAAAATTCCTTAAGCTGATAAGCAACTTCAGCAAGCTCTCAGGATACAAAATCAATGTGCAAAAATCACAAGCATTCCTATACACCAACAATAGACCACCAGAGAGCCAAATCATGAAAGAACTCCCATTTACTATTGCTACAAAGAGAATAAAATATCTAGGAATACAACTTAAAACGGATGTGAATTACCTCTTCAAGGAGAACTACAAACCACTGCTCAAGGAAATAAGAGAGAACACAAACAAATGCAAAAACATTCCATGCTCATGGACAGGAGGAATCAATATCGTGAAAATGGACATACTGCCCAAAGTAACTTATACCTTCAATGCTATTCCCATCAAGCTACCATTGACTTTCTTTGCAGAATTAGATAAGACTACTTTAAATTTCATATGGAACCAAAAAAGAGCCCATATAGCCCAGATAATTTTAAGCAAAAAGAACAAAGTTGGAGGCATCATGCTACCTGACTTCAAACTATAAGGCTACAGTAACCAAAAAGCATGGTACTCATACCAAAACATGTATATAGACCAATGGAAAGCAACAGAGGCCTCAGAAAGAACACCACATGTCTACAACCCTCTGATCTTCGACAAACCTGACAAAAGCAAGCAATGGGGAAAGGATACCCTATTTAAAAAATGGTGCTGGGAAATCTGGCTAGCCATATGCAGAAAAAAGAAACTGGAACCCTTCCTTACACCTTATACAAAAATTAACTCAAGATGGATTAAAGGCTTAAATGTAAAACCCAAAACTATAAAAACCCTGGAAGAAAGCCTAGGCAACACCATTAAGGGAATAGGCATGGGCAAAGACTTCATGACAAAACAGCAAAGCAATTGCAACAAAAGCCAAAATTGACAAATGGGATCTAATTAAACTAAAGAGCTTCTGCTCAGCAAAAGAAACTATCGTCAGGCAACCTACAGAATGGGAGAAAATTTTTCAATCTATTCATCTGACAAGGTCTAATATCCAGAATCCACAAGGAACTTAAAAAAATTTATAAGAAAAAACAATGTCATCAAAAAGTGGGTGAAGAATATGAACAGATGCTTCTCAAAAGAAGACATTTACGTGGCCAATAAACATGTAAAAAAAAAAAAAGCTCATTATCACTGGTCATCAGAGAAATACAATTCAAAACCACAATGAGATACCACCTCACGCCAGGTAGAATGATGATCATTAAAAAGTCTGGAAACAACAGATGCTGATGAGGATGCAGAGAAATAGGAATGCTTTTACATTGTTGGTGGGTGTGTAAATTAGTTCAACCATTGTGGAAGACAGTGTGGCAATTCCACAAGGATCTAGAACCAGAAATACTATTTGACCCGGCAATCCCATTACTGGGTATATACCCAAAGGATTAGAAATCATTCTGCTATGAAGACACATGCACACGTTTGTTTATTGCAGCACTATTTACAATAGCAAGACATGGAACCAACCCAAATGCCAATCAATGATAGACTCAATAAAGAAAATGTGGCACATATACATTATGGAATACTATGCAGCTATAAAAAATAATGAGTTCATGTCCTTTGCAGGGACATAGATGAAGCTGGAAACCATCATTCTCATCAAACTAACACAGGAACAGAAAACCAAACACCACATGTTCTCACTCATAAATGGGAGCTGAACAACGTGAACACATGGGGCACAGGGAGGGGAACATCCCACACCAGGGCCTGTTGCCAGGTGGGGGGAAAGGGGAGGGAGAGCATTATGACAAACACCTAATGCATGAGGAGCCTAAAACTTAGATGACGGGTTGATAGGTACAGCAAACCACCATGGCACATGTATACCTATGTAACAATCCTGCATGTTCAGCACATGTATCACCGAACTTAAAGTAAAATAAACACACACACACACACACACAATCAAATAAAAAGAGGAAGAAGAAGAACATATACCCTTTATAAGAGATCATTTTTGTTTTTACTGAGAGACAGTACATATATATATAAACACACACTATATATACATATATATATATATATATAATTATTATTTATCATGAAGAATTGGCTCATGCGGTTATGGGAACCAAGAAGTCCCATGATCTGCCATCCATATGCTGAAGACCCAGGAAAGCCATTCATGTAGTTCCTCCAGTCCAAACTCGAATGCCGGAGAACCTGTCCAAGGCCAGGAAGAGATGAATGTCCCAGCTCAAGCAGAGAGAGAGAGAATTCACACTTCCTTCTTTTTGTTCCATTCAGGCCCTCCACAAACTGGATGAGGCCCAATACATGGGTAAGAGGGGGATCTTCTATACCCAGTCTACTGACGCTAATCTCTTTCAAAAACACCATGAGTCACAGACACACCCAGAAACAATGTTTTACCAGCTCTCTGGGCATCCCTTAGCCCAATCAAGTTGACACATATAATTAACCAGCACCAATGGGGAGTTGCTAATTCATGGGTGTAAAGTTTCAGTGAAGCAAGATAATTAAGTTCTAGAAATTTCGTGTACCATGTTGTACCTATAGTCAGTGATGTTCTATTGTGCACTCAAAATTTTGCTAAAAGGGTAGATTTCACATTAAGTGTTCTGACCACAATAAAATAAAATTGAAAAAAAAAACAAAGGGAATAGACATTTCAAATGTGCAGTGGAGGGAAAGAAAGGGGAGAGTCACAGTTAGGCTAGGGGCTGCTCCTCATTCAGACAAGTGTCCTCACACCATCCACTAAGTCTCTGGGCAGAGATGACAGACGATTGTGCAAAGAAAAACCTAAGGGCTTTATTTTAAGACCTTCTGTCAGGAAAGGCCTTTGGAGGAGCTTCAACGACTGGACTGCATTCCTGAAGGTCAAACAGCAGTGACATGATCTGCTGGATTTGGGGAAGCATTTTTAAAAAAGAGGAATAATAAGAAGAACATATACCCTTCATGAGAGATGATTTTTATTTTTTACCAAGAGACAGAGAAAGAGGCGAGAAAGTTCTGGTAGGAAGGAATTAAAGGGAGATGAGCACCTGCCTCTTCAGCTTCTGTTGAAAGTGCTCTTAAAGCAGCGGTTTCCAGACAGGGCCAGGTACTTTATTACAAATATTGGAATTTATTTCAATAAGCTCTGTCATTTCTTAGCAGCTGTTTCACTTTACAGCAAACTAACCAACAGAGGTGTAGGAGGCAGCTTGTCTTTTGTCTTTCATTTTGATGAACTTGATTTTTTTTTTTTTTTGGTGTGATGCTTCTGGCTGAGGCTCACAGGAAGAGAAGACTCTGTTTTTGTTTTTTGTTTTTGCTTCAGCAGAGGGAATGAGGAGGAGCAGGCGGTGCCTGTGAGCAGCCTACCTTCTCAAGGGTCCCGAGTTACAAAGAGCAGACATCACGCCCTGTGTCTCTAGTTACAGAACCAGAAGGAAGTGACTGTATTATTCTCCCACATTTATCAGCCCAGGGAAGCCATTCGTGTGTTCTGAGAGGATCCTATCTTTTATTCTCATAAAAACATCATTCTATTTTCTTTCTTATCAGGACTTGAGATTAGCCAATTACATTATTGTGTACACCTTTTCCTTTTCCACTACCAGAATGTAAGGTCCATGATATCAGGAATTCCGACTTATGTATCACTTATGTCTAGAACAGTTCCTAGTACATAGTAGGTAACCAGAAAATGATTACTGAATTAGTTACACTTTCCATAAAATCCCAGGTTTTTCTTCCTCTAGGAAGCTTTTGAGAGTTGTCCCAGTACATGTTAATTTTACTTACTCCAAGATTGATGGGAATGTAAATTAGCTCGACCATTGTGGAAAATAGTATCTTGATTCCTCAAAAAGCTAAAAGCAAAAATACCATTTAATTCAGCAATCCCATCGCTTGGTATATACTCAGAAGAATATAAATCATTCTACCATAAAGACACATGCACACGAATGTTCATTGCAGCACTATTCACAATAGCAAAGACATGGAATCAACCTAAATGCCCATCAATGACAGATTGGATAAAGAAAATGTTGTACAAATACGCCATGGAATACTATGCAGCCATAAAAAAGAATGAGATCATGTCTTTTGCGGGAACATGGATGGAGCTGGAGGCTATTCTCCTCAGCAAACTAACACAGGAACAGAACACCAAATACCAGAGGTTCTTGCTTATAAGTGGGAACTAAATGTTGGGAACACTGGACACGAAGAAGGAAACAACAGACACCAGGGTCTACTTGAGGGTGGAGGATGGGAAGAGGGAGAGAAGCAGAAAAGGTAACTATTGGGTGCTGGGCTTAATACCTGAATGATGAAATAATCTGGACAACAAACCTGTGTGACACAAGTTCACCTGTGTAACAGAACTTCATATGTACCTTGAAACCTAAAATAAAAGTTTTTAAAAAATTCAAAAAAAGTTTAGCCCTGAACAAAACAACAGAAATGTTTTTTATAAAATTTTCTTTATGGAAAAGAGATAATATATTTATTCACATAACATCAAGCAAACAATCATTATGAAGCAGAGACTAAGAATGGAGGAAATATAATTAATACTTCTACTGATCGCTGTTAACAATAAGAAAAATTTACTGAATATGTACTATGTGTTGAGACTATTTTGCATGCGTAATCTCAGATACTCCTTATAATAATCTGCTGCAATATGATATTAATACTCACAAGTTAAAGATAAAAACTTTCTGTTAGTATAAAATATCCTGCCCACTGCCACAAGCTGGAAAGGATGCAAATCAAGTATGTCTGTGTAAAGCATTTTCAGCCCTCAAGTAGTTCGCATTTCTTTGACAATGATGAACAGAAAGTGTCATAGTAAGAAAGTGGAAGAGCGCCTAACCTAGACTAGCCTGAAAATGATGGGGGTCAGCTAATGAGATCAATTTTGGAAGATGGTAAAAACTGGGTAGTATTGAACAGAAAAAATATTTTTTCACAAAAGCAGCAGCTTGTAAAAAATACTCATAGGGGAAAAAACCTCATCGGCATGAAAGACTCATACATAGATAAATAAGAAAGATGTGAATGATGATAAAATTAACATAATGAGGCAAATATAACAGATTGTTAGGGGCTTTAATAAAAGATAAGAAGTTTGTGTTTTGTCATTTGATCAATAGAGGGTCACTAAAGTATTTTAAGTGGGGATGACACAATTAGTCTTGAGTTTCATAAAGACTACTCAATCATCAATATGGAAAATGGACTAAAGAGGGTTTTATCAAAGCAGGCATTACTACAAAAGAGAGCATAGGGTCTTAACTAAAGTGATAATAGTGGGGATATAGAATGGACTGATTCAAGAGGTATAAATAAAGTAAAAATTATCAAGAACTTCAATGGCTGTTTGGAGCTGAAAAAAATTTATTGAGAGCACATTACTGCTTTAGAGTCTAGATGGAGAAGTCTGGTTGCAGTCCCAGATTTCCAATCAGGGCAACTGAGTGCTACTCACCAAGAAAGGAAATGCAGAAGGAGGAGCACTGATTTGACAAAAAGATAATGCATTCAGTTTTGATGTATTGAGTACTACCAGGAAAGCTAAGTGGGGATATCCAGTATGCAGTTTGATATACTTAAGACTTAAGATAAAACTCTGAGTTACTCTAGGCTTAGGAGTAATCTGTAGAAAGGTGAATACACGGTAGATGCTGAGATGTCCTTAATAAAAGTTGTATACAGTGTATTGACAACAGAAGAGAGTGAATGAGGGCATTTTAAAAATTTTCATGATACCTGTTTTTATGTTTATTTCTTTTATTCTGCTTTCTTCAGATTAATTTATTTATTTCACTCTTTTTTTCTTGTTCTTTAAAGAGGAAATCTAAATAATTTGTGACTATTCTTTTTTATAATGTGAATATTTAGTTATAGAAATTTCCCCATGGCACTGTTTTTTTCTGTTTCATACATTTTGATATAATGTATTTTCCTTTTCATGTGGTTTAATGTAGTTTTGATTTCCCTTGAGACTTCCTATTTGACCCATGGATTATTTAGAAAAAAAAAAAATATATATATATATATATTTTTTTTTTTTTTTTTTTTTCTGAGACAGAGTTTCCCTCTTGTTGACCAGGCTGGAGTGCAACAGCGCAATCTCAGCTCACTGCAACCTCCACCTCCCAGGTTCAAGTGATTCTCCAACCTCAACCTCCCAAGTAGCTGAGATTATGGGTGCCCGCCAACACACCAGGCTAATGTTTTTGTATTTTTAGTAGAGATGGGGTTTCACCATGTTGGCCAGGCTGGTCTGAAACTACTGACCTCAGGTGATTCACCCGCCTCAGCCTCCCAAAGTGCTGGGATTACAGATGTGAGCCAGCACGCCCAGCCTAGAAGTATATTTTTAATTGTCAAGTATTTTGGTATGTTTCTCTTATATTTCGGTTAATCATTTCTGCATAAATGGTATGATTTTAATACTTTTAAAATTATTACCATTTGATTTGTGGTCCAAGATGTTACGTTTCTCAGAGAATGCTCTGGGGTGCTTAAAAATGTGTATTCTGCTATTGTTAGATGGAGTGTACTACATATTTTAATTAGATCATTTTTTTAAATGATGTTGTTCAGTTTTTCCATATCCTTTCTGATTTTCTGTCTACCATTTCTATCAATTTCTGAGAGATGAGTATAAAAACTCTAATTATATTTGTTAATGTTTTGGTTTCTCCTTTTAGCTCTAACAGTTTTTGCCTCGAATCTATTGCATCTCTCTTGTCTGGTGCATACACATTTGGAATTGTTATATCTTCTTAATTGATTGACCCTTTTATCATTATATAATGTCCTTCTCTGTCTCTGGTCCTTTCTTTTTCTAAAATCTTTTTCATTTGGCATACATAAAACTACCACAGCTTTCTTTGAACAGTGTTTGAATAGTGTATATTTTCTATTGTTTAATTTTAACCAATACATTGTCATACTGAAGTGAGTTTTGGTAAATAACATACAGCTTGGCCATATTTTCTTAAAGAATCTGTCAATCTGTGTATTTTAATTGTTGTATTTAGACCATTTAAATTTAATGTAATTATTAATATGCAGGTTGAGCACCCACAATCTAAAAATCATAAATCCAAAATGTTCCAATAAAGCCAGTGCACAAGACAGTATATTCAGCGGCCCCAATGGAACAAAAGAACCTCCCATCCACTTTCATCCGCAAAATCTTTTCTATATACACCCAGATTTATCCATGCAAACACACCTACAAAGGGGAATAAAATGGGACATGTAGAGGCTGGATATGCCAATGGCAGAATCCCCATGATGTCCTAGATGGAGCAAAGACCTATGTGCATTATTTACTGTGTTTTTTTTTTTTTTTACTTTTTTGGCTTATTATCTGCTTTGTGGTATAAAAATCTTGTTGAAAATGTCAAAAAGGCCTGAATATATCTATATGGATAACAGTGATAAGAAAAAGTAAAAATTATCTATAGCACAGAAACTCAAGCTGTTGGAGATACTGTACAGTGATGTCGATGTGAAATGTCTTACATAAGAGTATGGTGTCAGAGCCGGGTGCAGTGTCTCACACCTGTAATCCCAGCACTTTAGGAGGCTGAGGCAGGTGGACCACCTGAGGTCAAGAGTTCGAGACCAGCCTGACCAACATGGCAAAACCCCATCTCTACTAAAAATACAAAAATTAGCCATGCTCTGTGGCACGTGCCTATAATCCCAGCTACTTGGAAGGCTGAGGAAGGAGAATTGCTTGATACCAGGAGGCGGAGGTTGCATTGAGCCAAGATCATGCCACTGCATTCCAGCCTGGGTGACACAGCAAGAACCTGTCTCAAAAAAAAAAAAAAAAAAAAGTATGGTGTTGGTATTGCCACCATATATAACCTAAATCAAAAGAATAATAAACTGTTTAAAGTGATATACATAAGTTAATAAAAATAGGGAGAAAAACACTGCTGAAAGTTGAAAGTAAATATCTTGATAGTTTGTTGAAAGAGGGGATTCATCAGTGTTGCCATAAACACATACCGCTTAATGATATGATGATCATGAAACAAGCAAAGATCTATCACAATAAATGAACTGAAAATTAAATAAAATTGTGGATATTCAACAGGCTGCTTACAAAAACTTAAGAAAAGACATAGCATTAAATTTTTAAATATTTGTATCTGCAGATCACGAAGAAGAAAAAAGTCTGTTGATAAGTTTGCCAAGGTCATTGTTGATGAAAAATTGGATGCCAGAAAAAGTCTATAATGCCAGTAAGACATCACTTTTTTTGCATTATTGCTTCAGAAATATACTGACTACAGCTGATAAGACAGCCTTTACAGGAATTAAAGATGTCAAGTGCAGAATAACTGTGCTAATGCTGTAAGCACATGTAAGTGTAAACTTGCTGTGATAGGCAAGTGCTTATTTCCTTGCTATTTTCAAAAAGTGAATTATTACCAGCACATTATTATGCTAACAGAAAAGCATGGATCATCAACAACATATTTTCTGATTGGTTTCACAAATATTTTCTACCAGTGGCTCATGCTCACTGCAGGTAAGCTGGTCTGAATGACGACTGCAATATTTTGTTGTTATTCCTTGATAGCTGTTCTGCTCATCTTCCAGCTGAAATTTCATAAACAAATTATGTTTATTCCATGTAATTTTCCCAAAATATAACTTTACTAATTCAGCCATGTAACCAGGTATCCTTAGATCAGTGAAGAGTAAATCTAAAAACACTTTCTTGAACAGTATGCTAGCAGCAGCGAACAGCAGCACAGGTGTGGAAGATTTACAAAAGAAATTTAGCATGGAGAACTTTACATATGTTGTTGCCAATGTTTGAAGCACAGTGACTAAAGACACTGTTGTGCATGCTTCACACTACCTCTTGCCTGAAACTACATGCCATAATGATGGTAAACCATGTAATGACTTTGAAGGATTCTGTATGAAAATTGAGAAAAAATGATATCACACTCAATCACATATGCCAAAAATACCTGCACAATCCGTCAGTAAGCTAATATAAAGTGGATGTCAAAGAAATTTTTAACATTGATAACAAGGCTCCAATTGTTCATTCATTAACCAATGGAAAAATCAAAGAAATTTTTAACATTGATAACAAAGCTTCAATTGTTCATTCATTAACCAATGGAAAAATAGCTAAAATGGTTCTAAATTAAGATAATCGTAATAGTAATGACAATGGATATGATGTTGTTAACACTGCAGATAAAGTGCCTATAGATGACATGGTAAAAATGTATGATAGGTTTATTGAATGACTAAGGGAGCATGCATTGATAACAGAACAGGAAATAATGTCAGTTTATAAAATAAAGAGAAGACTTCAAAGATGAAAAACATTGTGAATGAGACAAAAATCTCTGTAGGAAACATTTAAGAAAGTTATCCAGCAGAAAGACTTTTCATTTTTGGAGGACCAATTTTTTGGTCTCTCAGCTGCTTATAATAATTATTCTCACCTAAAAATATAAAATACAATGTACAGTTACCTTTTAATCAAACACAGCATTGTAGACACAAACTGAATGTCTCCTTTTCTTTTTTTGTTGCTGTTGTTTAAGATCTGGTACAGATATACTGGTGATGCTACTGTGATGTTTAGTTAAATAAATTACTTTTTCACTGTTTTAGTGGTATGTCATATTTTTACTGTTAAGCACTTATGTGTGACTAAGTACAAGAAAATAATTTGCTTATCAGCAGCATATACATTCAGAGTCAGGAATAATGGTGATGCCAAACAACCACAGATTGTTCACCTAGGTGTCTGAGAAAGTGACACCTTTGCTTTCTGATAATTCAATGTACGCAAAATTTGTTTTATGCACAAAATTATTAAAATGTAGAAAATTACCTTAAGATTACGTGTGTATCTTGTATATAAAACATAAGTAAATTGGAGGTAGAGCAAGACAGCAGAATAGAAAGGTCCACTCATTGTCACCTTTATAAGGAAAGTTAACAACTATCTACATAGAAAAAGCACATTCGTAAGAACCAAAAATTATGTGAGTACTTGATTTTAAATTCGTATAGCTGAAAAATGAACTAAAGAGATAGAAAAACCAGTACTGAATCGCTGATGCCATCTCTCCCTGACCCTTGGTAACAGCTGCATTGTCCCCGTAGCCTCTCTGAGCACTAGGAGAGAAAGAATATAACAATTCTGAGGCAATAAACAGTGTTGTTATTTACAGCGGAAAAGAAAACCAGACTGAACTCAGCAAATGGCCACCCATGGAGGGAGGGTTTCAACCAGCCCTAGCCAGAGGGGAATCTCCTAGCTCAGCGGTGTGAACATGAATTTCTGTAAACTTCACCACCAAGGGCCGAAGTGCTCTAGGTCTCTATGTAACCTTGAAAGACAGTCTAGGTAATAACGAGTGCAACTATTAGGCAAGTCCTGGGGAAGAACTAGGCCCAGAGACAGTGGACTGGAGGGGCACATGACATTCTGAGACACCAGCTGGGGAAGCCAAGGGAATACTGGCATCAATCCTCCCCTAACCCAAGGCTGCAAGTTTCACAGCTCCGAAAGAGACTTCTTCCTTCTGCTTGAGGAGTGAGGAGGACTTTGTATTGCATATTGGATACTAGCTCAGCCATAGCAAGATAGGGCACTGGTCAGAGTAGTGAGGTACCCATTCCAGGCCCTAGCTCTCAGATGACATTTCTGGACACACCTTGGGTATGACTAGAAATGGGAATGTGCTGCCATGAGGAAAAAGAACCAGTCCTGTCAGCATTTAGCATCTGCTAACTGATGAGTCCTTGGGCCCTGAGTAACCAGCAGTGATACTCAAGTACTACATCAAGAGCCTTAGTGAACCCCTGAGACTTGCTGAATTTAGGTGAGACTCAGCACATTACCAGCTGTGGTAGTTGTGTGGCAAACCTTTTTCTGCTTGAGAAAAGCAAAGGACAAAGTAAAGGGAACTTTGTTCTACACCTTAAATACCAATACCACTATAGGTGTGTAGAGTACCAAGCTGGGGATTGGGGTTCCTGATTTCAGGACTCAACTCTTGGACAACATTTCTGGTCTGGCCCTGGGCTAGAAGGGAGTTCCCTTCCCTGAAGGGTGAGTCCTAGGCCAGACAGAATTCACTGCAAGCTGACATAAGAGACTTTGAGCCTTAAGAACACATTGGTGGTAGTCTGGCAGTACGCCTTGTTTCCAGGGGTGGTAGCTCTGGGGTGAAACTTATTTGCCTTTGGAAAAGGGGAGGAAAGAGTGGGAAGAATTGTGTCTAGTGGTTTGAGCGTGAGCTTGGCAACAATACAGTACAATACTAGGTAGGCTTCTAAGGTTTTTCACTCTAGTCCCTGATTCCCAGACGGTACTTCTGAACCTCCCTGGAATACAGGGGACCTAACTTCCCTGAAGTGATGGACACAGGCATGGTTGGCATTGCCACCTGCTGATTACAGAACTCCAGGCCCTTGAATGAAGGTAGGCAGTAGCCAGGGAGTGGCTACAGTTGACTTTGGGCAAGAGCCAGTGCTGTGCTGACTTTACATCTGACCTAGCACAGTCATACATGTAGTGGCCACAGGGATGGCCTGCGTCACTCCACCACCAGCTTTAGGTGACTCAGAACAGAGACAGAGGCTCTGAAAGTAAGGGAAAAGAACAAGAGTCTCTGCCTGTCAATCCAGAGAATTCTCCCGGATCCTGTCCAAGAACATCAAGGTGGTACTTCTATGAGTCTGCAAGAACTACAGCATTACTTGGCTTGGGGTGTACCATAAAGTAGAAACAGCTTTGATCACAACACCCAAGTTCTTTAAAATATCTGGAAAGCCCTCCCAAGAAGGATGACTACAAATAAGCTCAGATAATGAAGACTACAAAAAATACATAAACCTTCAATGTCCAGACACTGAAGAATATCTACTAGCATCAACACCATCCAAGGAAATAAGTCTTCACCAAATGAACAAAATAAGGCACCAGGGACCAATTCTGGCAAACAGAGATATGTTACCTTTCAGATAGAGAATTCAAAAATGTTGTGCTAAGGACACTCAAAGAAATTCAAGATAATACAGGGAAATAATTGAGAATTCTATTAGATAGATTTAACAAGGATATTGATATAATTAAAAAGAATCCAGCAGAAATTCTGGAGCTGAAAAATGCAGCTGACGTAGTAAAAAATTCATCAGAGTATTTTAATAGCAGAATGACTCAAGCAGAAGAAGGAATTAGTGAGCATGAAGACAGGTTATTTGAAAACACACAGTGATAGGAGACAAAAGAAAATAGGATAAAAACAATGAAACATACTTACGGAATCTACAAAATAGTCTCAAATGGGCAAATCTAATAATTATTGCCCTTAAAGAAGACACAGAGAAAGAAACAGGAGTAGGAAGTTTCTTCAAATAGATAAAAACAGAGAACTTTTCAGACCTAGAGAAATATATCAATATCCAAGTACAAGAAGGTTATAGAACACCAAGCACATTTAACCCAAAGTATACAACCTCAAGGCATTTAGTAATCAAACTTCCAGACATCAAGGATAAAAAAGATCTTAAAAGCAATAAGAAAATAAAAAAGAAACAAATAACATACAATAGAGCTCCAATACATCTAGGAGCAGACTTTATAGTGGAAACCTTACAGGCCACAAGAGAGTGGCATGACATATTTAAAATGCTAAAGAAAAAAAAACTTTTACCCTAGAATAGTATATACAGTGAAAATATCATTTAAACAAGAAGGAGAAATAAAAACTTCCCCAAACAAACAGAAGCTGAGAGATTTCACCAACACCAGACCTGTCCTACAAGAAATGCTAAAGGGAGTAATTGAATGAGAAAGAAAAGAACATTAGTGAGCAGTAAGTCATCACCTGAAGGTAAGAAACTCACTGGTAATAGCAAGTACAAAGAAAAAAACACAATATATTATAACACTGTAACTGTTGTGTGTAAACTACTCTTATCCTAAGTAGAAAGGCTAAAAAATAAACCAATCAAAATAATAACTACAACCACTTTTCAAGGCATGGACAGTACAATAAGATATGAAAAGAAATCACAAAAAGTTAAAAAGTGAAGGGATGAAGTTAAGGTGAGTTTTTATTAGTTTTCTTTATGTGTGTTTGTTTGTTGCAAATAGTGATAAGTTGTTATCAGGTTAAAATAATGAGTTATAAGGTAGTATTTGCAAGCTTCATGGTAACCTAAAACCAAAAAACATACGATACACATAAAATAAAAAAGTAATAAATTAAACCATATCACCAGAGAAAATCATCTTCACTAAAGGAAGACAAATGAAAGAAAGAAGGAAGAGAAGGCCACAGAACAACCAGAAAACAAATAAAAAATGCCAGGAGTAAGTCCTTATTCATCAATAGTAGCATTGAATGTAAATTGACTGATCTCTTTAATTAGAGACATAGACAGGCTAAATGGATGAAAAATAAGAGCCATTAATATGTTGCACACAAGAATCACACTTCACCTATTAAGTCTCACATAGACTGAACATAAAAAGATAAATGAAGATATTCAGTACAAATGGCAACTAAAAATAAGCAGGAGTCGCTATACTTATATCAGAAAAAACAGGTTTTAAAACAAAAACCATAAGAGACAAAGAAGGGCACTATATAATTATAAAGGGGTAAATTGACTAAGAGGATATAATACTTTTAAATATATATGCACCCAAGCTGTAGCACACAGATATATAAAGAAAATATTATTTGAGCTAAAGAGAGACATAGACCCTAATACAATAATAGCTGGAGGCTTCAACACCCCACTTGCGGCACTGAACAGTTCTTCCACACAGAAAATGAACAACAAAAATCAGACAACCTGCACTGTAGACCAAATGGATCTAATACATATTTAGAAAACATTTCATCCAAGAGCTGTACAATACACATTCTTTCCCTCAGCACATGGATCATTCTTAAGGATAGACCATAGGTTAGGTCACAAAATAAGTCTTAAATAGCCAGAAAAATTGAAATAATATCAACCATCTTCTCTGACCACAATGGAATAAAACTACAAATTGACGAGAGAAATTTTGGAAACAATACAAATACTAAAAATTAAACAATATGCTCCTGAATGGCCAGTGGGTCAATGAAGAAATTTAAATGAAAATTGAAAAAGTCTTGCAACAAATGATAATGGAAACACATTATACAAAATCCTATGGGATGCAGCAAAAGCAGTACTAAGAGGGAAGTCTATAGCCTTATAGCTATAAGTTAAAAGAGAGAAAAATTTCTAATAAACAATCTAATGACGTATCTTTTAAAAAGAAACTAGAGAAGCAAGAGCATACCAAACTCAAAATTAGTAGAAGGAAAAAAAATAAAGATCAGACTATAAATAAATAAAATTGAAATAAAAAACAGAAAAGATTAATTATTCAACAAGTTTTGTTTTGAAAAATTAAACAACCTCGACAAACCTTTACCCAGATTAACTGAGAAAAAAAGAGAGCAGATCCAAATAAATATAATGAGAAATGAAAATAAAAACATTGCAACTGAAACTGCAAACATTAAAGGATCATTTTTGGCTACTATGAGCAACATATGCCAATAAATTGAAAAATCTAGAAGAAATTGGCAAATTTCTAGATATATGCAACCTACCAAATTTGAACCAAGAAGAAATCCAAAATCTTAACAGAATAATGACAAGTATCAAGACCAAACCCAAAATAAAACGTCTCTCATTAAAAAAAAGCGAGGGACCTGATGACTTCACTGCTGAATTCTACCAAACAATTAAAAAACAATTGACACCAAATCTACTCCATATTCTGAAAAATAGAGGAGAAGGCAATACCTATAAACTCATTGTATAAGGCCTGTATTACCCTGCCACAAAAACCAGAAAAGACATATCAAAAAAAAAAGAGAAAACTACAAATATCTCTAATGAATATTAATGCAAAAGTCCTCAATAAAATACTACCAAACCAAATTCAACAATACATTAGAAAGATCATTCATCATGACAATGTGGGATTTATTTCTGGGATGCAGTATGTTTCAACATATACAAATCAGTCTATGGGACACATCGTGTCAACAGAATAAAGTATAAGAACCATGGGATCATTTCAATTGATGCTAAAAAAGCATTTGATAAAAGTCGACATCTTTTAATGATAAAAAAAAACCCTAAAAAAACTGGATTGAAGGAACATGCCTCAACATAATAAAAGCTGTATATGACAGACTGACAGCTAGTATTATGCTGAATGGTGAAAAGTGATAGCCTTTCCTCTATGATCTGGAACAAGACAAAGATGACCATTGTCACCACTGTTATTCAACATAATACAGGAAGTCCTATCTAGAGCAATTAGACAAGATTAGGATACAAAGTGCATCCAAATTTGTGAGGAAGAAATGAAATTATCCTTGTTTGCAGATGATATAATCTTATACTTGGAAATACCTAAGGACGCCATAAGAAAAGTATTAGAATTGGTAAACAAATTCAGTAAAACTGCAGGATACAAAATGAACCTACAAAAATCAGTAGCATTTCTATACTCCAACAGTGAACAATATGAAAAAGAAATAAAAAAAGTAATTCCATGTACAAAAGCCACACATAAAATTAAATACCTAGGAATTAACTTATCCAAAGAAGGTCTCTATAATGAAAACTTATAAAAGAAATTAAAGAAGACACCAAAAAATGGAAGAGTATTCTATGTTCACTTATTGGCAGAATCAATATGTTAAAATATCCATACTACCAAAAGCAATCCACAGATTCAATGCAGTCACTATGAAAATACCAATGACATTTCCCACAGAAATGGAAAAATAATCCTAATATTTATATGAAATCACAAAAGACCCAGAATATCCAAAGTTATCCTAAGAAAAAATAAGAAAACCGAAAGAATCACATTACCTGATTTCAAATTATACTACAGATCTATCATAATCAAAACAGCATGGTACTGGCATAAAAACAGACACATACACCAATGAAACATAATAGAGAACCCAGAAACAAATCCATATACCTACTTTTTACGCATTTTTCACCAATATGCCATTTATGCTGGAGAAAAGACAATCTCTTCAATAAATGGTGCTGGGAGAACTGGATATCCACATGCAGAAGAATGAAACAAGACTCCTATCTGTCACCATTTAGAAAAAAAATTAAAGTGGATTAAAGACTTAAATCTGAGACCTCAAAATATGAAACTACTACAAGGAACCTGGTGAAAATCTCCAGGACATTAGTCTGGGAAGAAATTTCTTGAGCAATACCCCACAAGCACAGGCAACCAAAACAAAAACAAACAAATGGAATAACATCAAGTTAAAAAGCCTTTGCACAGTAATGGAAACAATCAACAAAGTGACAAGACAACTCACAGAGTGGAAGAAAGTATTTCCATACTACCCATCTTATAAGGGATTAATAATCAGAAGAAGAAGAAGCTCAATTAACTCTATAGGAAAGAATTCTAATAATCCAATCAAAAGATGGGCAAAATATCCAAATAGACATTTCTGAAAATAACAACGTACAAACGGCAAAGAAGCATATGAAAAGATGCTCAACATCATGGAATACCAGGAAAAATTCAAATCAAAACAAAAATGAGATATTATCTCATCCCAGTTAAAATGATTTATATCCAAAAAACAGGAAATAACAAATACTGGTGAGTGTGTGGGTCAAAAATAATCTTTGTACACTCCTGGTGGATATGTAAATTATTATAACCACTATGGAGAACAGATTTGAAGTTCCTCAAAAAACTGAAAATTGAGCTACCATATGATCCAGCAGTCCTGCTGCTGGTGTATACCCTAAAGAAAGAAAATCAGTTTATCAAAGAGATATCTGCACCCCTATGTTTGTCACAGCACTGTTTACAATAGCTAAGATTTGAAAGCAACCTGTCTGTCGACAGATGAATGTATGAAAAGATGTGGTACATATACACAATGGAGTACTACACTGTCATATAAAAGATGAGATACTACAATTTGCAACCACATGGATGGAACAGGAGATCTTATGTGAAATAAGTCAGGCACAGAAAGACACATATCACATGTTCTCACTTATTTGTGCGATCTGAAAATCAAAACAATAGAACTCAGGGACATAGAGAGTAGAAGGATGGTTACTGGAGGTGAGGGAGGAAGGGTAGTGAGGAGCTGAGGGGAGGTGGGGATGGTTAATGGGTACCAAACAAAATAGTTAGAAAAAAAATGAATAAGACCTACTATTGATAGCTGCACATAATGGTAACTATAGTCATTAATAAGTTAAATGTATGTTTTGAAATAACATAGAGTGTAATTGGATTGTTTGCAACTCAAAAGAAAAATGTCTGTGGGGATGGCTACCCCATTCTTCATGATATGCTTATGTCACATTTCAGCCTATATTAAAACATCTCACATAGTCCATAAATATATACATCTACCATATACCCAAAGAATTTTTTAAAAATATTTATAACATTAGTGAGTTTTGTGTTTAGACTTGAGTCTTATACACAAGACATCTTATCATGTATAGGCGAGTATTCCAAAATCTGAAAAAAATCTAAAATCCAAAATACTTCCGGTCCCAAGCATTTTCAATAAGGGAGACACAATCTCCCTTATTAACCTTATAAACCTGAATCTCATTTTTGTCTTCTTCTCGTTGTTAATTATTTCTTATTTATTTATTAATTCATTTCTACATTTATCTATTTAGAATTTCTGTGCATTACGCATATCTTTCTTTAGAATTACATTTTCATGTATCTTTAGTGTTTCTTAGTGTGTCTGTTTGTATAGTTTTCCTAGTGATTGCTCTAGGTATTACAATATGTATATCTTCACTAAAGACATAAATGAAAGAGCAAAGACCACAAAACAAACAGAAAACAAATTTTAAAATAGCAGGAGTAAGTCTTTGTTCACCAGTAGTAACATTTAAGGTAAATGTAAATATCATAGTTGCTGGCATTGACATTTTACTGGTTTGAGTGAAGCATAGAATCCTTAATCCCTTTATCACTTTATCCTCCCCCATTTATAAGTGATTTAAATATTTTCTCTATGTATGTTTGAAATCACATCAGATAATGTTATAATGTTTGCTTCAACTGTAAAACATAGTTTAGTAAACACAAGGGAAGAAGGAAATCCTATTTCACTGATCCATATGTTGATAATTTTTCTTGTTTTTACTTCATTTCTCACATTCCAAGATTCTCTTTATCATTTATTCTGTGTTTCAATAATTCCCTTCATTCTTTTAGAAGTATATGTGCTGGCAAAATCAATAATTCCCTTTATCTATTCTTTTAGAAGTATATCTGCTGGCAAAAAATTATCTTAATTATCTTTCATCTGATATTTGTTTTGATTTTTCTTCATTATTCAAGGATTCTTTGCTGGACATAAAATTCTTAATTAATAGTTATTTTATGTTAGCACTTGAAGAAATATTATGCCCATTCCTTCTGGCTTCCATGGTGTTGGATAAGAAATACATTGTCATTTCAATTGTTTTCCTACTAAGTAAAGCATCATGTCTCTCTTGCTTCTTTCAAAGTTTTTTCTTTAGCTTTAGCTTTTACAAGTTTGATTATGATGTGTCTTGGCATGGATCTCTTTGGACTTACCCGGTTTGGGATTCAATCAAATTCTTTAATCTGTAGGTTTATGTTTTTTGTAAAATTTGAGAAATTTTCAGCCATTATTAAATTGCATACTCTTTCAGCCCTACCTTCTTTCTATTCTCCTTTAGGATATCAATGACTCTAATGTTAGTGTAATAAGAATTGTTGATTGAAGCATTTTTATGATGGTTGCTTTAAACTTATCAGGAAACATTTCTGTCATCTCAGAATTTGTGTATATTGATTATCTTTTTATATTGAAATTGTGATTTTATTAGTACTTGGCCTAAGTGATTTTTGATTGATATCTGGCCATTTAAGGTATTATGAGATTGCATTTTATTTAAACCATCAGTTTTGTTGTCTTCCACTGACACTGCTCATGCATAAGAAGTGGGTATTTCCTTGCTGCCAGATGGGGATGAAATTCCAGATTTTCTTTTCAGCTTTCCTTAACACAAATGGGTAAAAGACTCATTATTATTGCTAGGTAATAGCAACAATATTACCTAGCAATATTAGGAGGAGAGTTTTAGCTCCCCCTAGGCCTCCACTGAAAATACCATGGCTGAGAAGAGGAGGGATACCACATTACGGCTTACAATGTGGCTTCCACTGATATAAAGGGTGATTGTGTGGGCTTTTATTTCTGCTAGGTGAGGCTAAAGTTATAGCATCTCATTTTGACTTCTCTAACACAATGCCAGCAGGGAAAAATAAAGGAAATGAATAAATAATTAAATTCTGTTGGGAATGAAATTCTAAGCTCTCCACTTGACCTTTGTTGGCTGGTTGGGGCTGGAGCCACTGTTATTCCTAGAGTGTTTTTATGCAGTAAGGTGGTTTTGTCTAAAACTTTTCTGTTTTCCTCAGCTGCTCATTTTCTCATCCTTTAGTTAGAGAGAACACGCTTTCCTTGGGGCTGCTCTTTTTGTGTGTAATTGTTGGCATGGTCAAGTTGCCATCATCTCTGGAACCCAGTCTAGGATCTATTACGCAACAAAGAAAAACAAGACAAACAAATGGAAAAACCTGAAATTTATTGCTGTACCAATTCTTCAGGTCCCAAGGTCTCTAGCCAATCCCCTTCTCCTGTATACTTATTAGAAACATCATATATTTGCTTTAAATGTAATGTGTGTGATTTTAAGTGTAGTTAGCAGGAATGATAGAGAGAATTGTGTCAACTTCATCTCATTGTGGAACAGGAAGTGACTATAACCACATTGACTGTTGTCAGCAGTGAATGAATGTGCATAAAACACTCAGAACAATACTGACAGGCAGCAAAGTGTTCAATTAAAATTTAGGATTACATATTATAAAGACTGACAACCTGTAAAGTTTTTCTTTTTATCTTTAGGAAAGTTATGTATCAATTAATAAATATCAATGGACACAGACTTTTATATTGTGAATAGATATAAAAATTAGAGAACACATTTTTGTAAGGCCTTCAAAGAGCTTTTGATCTTCTTGAAGAGAGAAGATATGATATTATAAGACAATTAATGGGTAAATATAATCAAGCCACTAAAATATTCAGTACAAAAGGTTAGTCTTGCTGTGGTTTGAACCCGCGTTGATAAGGAGTATGGCTATTGAACAGCTGCTGCTAATGCCATTAATCTAGCCCATCGAAGTCTATCATTTTTATTAGGGAATTATATTTGTTATGGCTCTTGATAGCAAAACATTTTTCAACCATTCATATTAATGTACAATATTTCAGTTGCTGAAGTCTCACATCAAAAACATCATAGAAGAACATTGAAGGCCAATGTGTATAAATGTTACAGTACTTACTAAGGTTATTTCCAAATTTCAACTCACCAATATAAAACTAAAAATATTTGAGGTGGAAGTGAATTTTATAAGTAATAGTAATGCAATATATTCACTTAGAAGATAGAATTTAAGATATATAATTAATATATTTTAATGCTAGAATTGTTAACAAACAAGCCAATTCTTTGAGAGTTGTTTAAGAAGAAATGTGAGGAAGGTACTTGTGGAATTCTTCAGAGACATTATTTTGTCATAATACAAATAGAAGAAAAAATTGAAGGGACAGAATCACCAATAGTGTTGTTTTCAGTAACTAGACCTGCATTAGTAAGCTAAAAATTAATAAACAAAAAATTAAAAATAAATACTCCTGGAAACAACAGGGTATAAATGAAAAATGGTAATGTTTCTATGATTGAAACCTGACAGTGAATGAGTAAAAGAGAGACAACACACACACACACACACACACACACACACATATTCAAAGGAGACCTCCATTAAAAGTATTGCAGAGCAGCAAAGCTATTTTAATTATACACATTTATCTCATCACTTCTGTGGACCAGAATGTCATCTACCAAAAGATTTGGACTGTGAATTTGACTGGTGGGAGTGATCGGGGTCCTCTCATTTTTTCTCCCCACAGGATTTTAAAAATTAGATAGCATGAGTTGACTGATCTCATTAGACACAGAGCTGTTTTAATCTCACCTCACTCTGTTTAATAATGGTATAAAATGCTTGAAAAATCAAGCAATTCATATGAAGTTCCATGGTAACTCTAATGCTGTCACTTGTAGTACCTAATTTCATTTCCAGAAGAGGAAGGTCAGGGAGTCCCTAATCTCCTAAAAGTGTTCTTAATAACTTCTTTTCCTGATCCTTACATCTTCAAATATTCTAAATTTGTCTATTGCTAGGTTGATGTAATCTATTAAAATCATAATAAAGTCAATGTAAGCTGTATTTCTAGTGGCTCTAATTTGGATTTAAATAATACAATGTTTTAAAATATCTTTGTATTTATGGAAATATGGAAAAATAATACAGTTATAACACAGCTGACATACTCTTGATTATCTTTGTTTAAAAACCACTTTTCATGAGTCAGTTAATATTCTAAGAAAACAGATTGTCATTCTGTACTTAATCTATGGTTTATGTTTAAAAATAATGTGTCATGTTTTTTGATGTGGTGCAAGTGTTTGCATCTAGTATTATTATGAAAAACAACTGATGAACTTACTGAGCATTAAAAACATGGAAATCCTTGGTAAGAGCAGTTTACTATGTGATCTTGGGTAAGTCATTTAAACTTGCCTGTATCTCAGGGTTTGTAAAAAATTAAACATTCAAAGGCAATAAGATATTTCCCACTTTGTGGGATTGATGGATCAAGTAAGATAATGGATATAAAAATGCTTTGAGAGACTAAAACAGTGTAAAGTTTTTCTTTTTCTCTTTAAATATGTGCTGGTTTTAAGAAAAATAGTAGAAATGCATTCAAAATACTCCCATAAGGTAGGGAGTATTTATTGTTTTGAATGACAGAAGTAAGGCTTTTTATTTTTAATCTAGTTATTTGTCTACAATACTATGGTGAGTTTTACCTATACTGCAGTAATAGAGAAAACGAACTTATACCTCTTAGCTCATCTATTAAAGAAAGATTATACTGTTGTTTTTTTACTCTAAAGCCAGTATTTCCCGAAGTCTTCTAGCAACACGGATGTATGAAGACTAAGATATTTTAAAATAATCTTACCAAGGATTTCCATATTTTTAATGGTCATTGAAAGATTTTGGAATATGACCCAGGCGGTAGCTATCAATGCTTACTGATGAAAATCAGCAAATAGAACTATAAAAGGTGAGGGGAGAAGCCATAACTGAGCCAATTTATTTTTTATTTTTTATATTATTTTTATTTTTTTATTTCAGTAGTTTTTTGGAAAACAGGTGGTGTTTGGTCACATGAATAAGTTCTTTACTGGTGTTTTGTGAGATTTTGGTGCACCCATCACCCAAGCAGTATACACTGCACCTGATGTGTAGTCTTTTATCCCTTCCCACCCCCACTCTTTCTCAGTAGTCCCCAAAGTCCAACGTATCATTCTTATACCTTTGCATCCTCATAGCTCAGCTCCCACACATGAGTGAGGACATGCAATGTTGGGTTTTCCATTCCTGAGTTACTTCACTTAGAATAATAGTCTCCAATTACATCCAGGTTGCTGTGAATTCCATTATTTCATTCCTTTTTGTGACTGAGTAGTATTCCATGGTGTGTGTGTGTGTGTATATATATGTGTGTATGTGTGTGTGTGTGTGTGTGTGTGTGTGTGTGTGTGTCTTTATCCACTCATTGATTGGTGGGCATTTTGGCTGGTTCCATGTTTCTACAATTGCAAATTGTGCTGCTATAAACATCCCTGTGCAAGTATCTTTTTTGTATAATGAATTTTTTCCCTCTGGGTAGATACCTAGTAGAGCGATTGCTGGATCAAATGGTAGATCTACTTTTAGCGCTTTTTGTTTTGTCTTTTTAATTTTTAATTTTGTTGTTTTTAAATTTTTTATTTCCATAGTTTTTAGGGGAACAGGTGGTATTTGGTTACATGAGTAAGTTCTTTAGTGGTGATTTGTGAGATTTCGGTGCATCCATCACCTGAGCAGTATACACTGAACCCAATTTGTTGTCTTTTATCCCTCACCTCCTTCCCACCCTTTCCCCTCGAGTCTCCAAACTCCATTGTGTCATTCCTATGTCTTTCATAGCTTAGCTCCCACTTATGAGTGAAAGCATACGATATTTGTTTTTCCATTTCTGAGTTACTTCCCTTAGAATAATAGTCTCCAATCCTATCCAGGTTGCTGCAAATGCCATTAATTTATTTTTTTATGGTTGAGTAGTATTTCATTGTATATATACATATACATACATATATGTGTATATGTGTGTATATACGTGTGTGGGTATATATATATATATATATCTCAGGATCTCTTTATCCACTCGTTAATTGATAGGCATTTGGGTTGGTTCCACATTTTTGCAATTGCGAATTGTGCTGCTATAAACATGCATGTGCAAGTCACTTTTTGGTAAAACTTCATTTTTCTGGGTAGATACTCAGTAGTAGGATTGCTGGATCAAAGGGTAGTACTACTTTTAGTTCTCTAAGGGATCTCCAAGTGTAGAAGTGTTTCCTGTTCACCACATCCACGCCAACATCTATGATTTTTTGATTTTTTGATTATGGCGATTCTTGCAGGAGCAAGGTAGTATCACATTGTGGTTTTGATTTGCATTTCCCTGATGATTAGTGATGTTGAGCATTTTTTCGTATGTTTGTTGGCCATTTGTGTATCTTCTTTTGAGAGTTGTCTATTCATGTCCTTAGCTCACTTTTTGATATGGGATTGCTTGTTTTTTTCTTGCTGATTTGAGTTCTTTGTAGATTCTGGATATTAGTTCTTAGTCAGATGTATAGATTGTGAAGATTTTCTCCCACTCTGTGGGTTGTCTGTTTACTCTGCTGACTGTTCCTTTGCTGTGCAAAAGCTTGTTAGTTTAATTAAGTTCCAGGTATTTATCTTTGTTTTTATTGCATTTGCATTTGGGTTCTTGGTCATGAAATTCTTGCCTAAGCCAATGTTTAGGAGGGTTTTTCCGATGTTATCTTCTAGAATTGTTAGTTTCAGGTCTTAGATTTAAGTCTTTGATCCATCTTGAGTTCATTTTTGCATAAGGTGAGATATGAGTATCCAGTTTTATTCTCCTACATGTGGCTAGTCAATTATCCCAGCACCATTTGTCAAATAGGGTGCCCTTTCCCCACTTTATGTTTTTGTTTGCTTTGTCAGAAACCAGTTGGCTGTAAGTATTAAGATTTATTTCTGGTTTCTCTATTCTGTTTCATTGGTCTATGTGCCTATTTTTATACATGTAACATGCTGTTTTGGTTATGATGTCCTTCTAATATTGTTTGAAATCAGGTAATGTGATGTCTCCAGATTTGTTCTTTTTGCTTAGTCTTGCTTTGGCTATGTGGGCTCTTTTTACTTTCTTTTTTTTTTTTTTTTTTTTTGGTTTATATGAATTTTATGATTTTTTTTATAGTTCCATGAAGAATGATAGTGGAATTTGATGGGTATGGCATTGAATTTGTAGATTGCTTTCGGCAGTCTGGTCATTTTCACAATATTGATTCTACCCACCCATGAGCATGGGATGTGTTTCTATTCGTTTGCATCATCTATGATTTCTTTCAGCAGTGTATTGTAGTTTTCCTTGTAGAGGCCTTTCATCTCCTTGGTAAGGTATATTCCTAAGTATTTTCTTATTTGCAGCTTTTGTAAAAGGAGGTGAGTTATTGATTTGATTTTCAGTTTGGTTCCTGTGGTGTAAAAGAGAGCTACTGATTTGTATACATTAATCTTATATCCAGAAACTTTGCAGAGTTATTTTATCAGTTCTAGGAGATTTTTGGAGGAGTCTAGGGTTTTCTAGGTATACAGTCACATCAACAACAAATGGCAATAGTTTGATCTCCTCCTTACTGATTTGCATGCCCTTGATTTCTTTATCTTGCCTGATTGCTCTGGCTAGGACTCCCAGTACTATGTTGAACAGAAATCGTGAAAGTGGGAATCCTTGTCTTGTTCCAGTTCTTAGAGGGAATGCTTTCAACTTTTTTTCCCATTCAGTATTATGTTGGCTGTGGGTTTGTCATAGATGGCTTTTATTGCATTGAAGTATGTGCCTTGTATGCCAATGTTTCTGAGAGTTATAATCATAAAAAAATGCTGGATTTTGTCAAGTGCTTTATTTGCATCTATTGAGATGATCATGTGATTTTGTTTTTAATTTCGTCTACGTGGTGTATCACATTTCTTGGCTTGCATCTGTTAAACTATCCTTGCATCCCTGTTATGAAACTCATTTGATCATGGTGAATTATCTTTTTGATATGTTGTTGGATTTGGTTAGCTAGTATTTTGTTAAGGATTTTTGCATCTATGTTCATCAGGGATAGTGGTCTGTAGTTTCCTTTTTTTGGCTATGCCTTTTCTTGGTTTTGGTATTATGGTAATACTGGCTTAATAGAATGATTTAGGCAGCAGTCCCTCTTTCTCTATCTTGTGGAATAGTGTCAATAGAATTGGTACCAATTTTTCTTTGAATGTCTGGTAGAATTCAGCTGTGAATCCTTCTGGTCCTGGACTTTTTTGTTGGTATTTTTTTTTTATTTCCATTTCAATCTCGCTGCTTTATACTGGTCTGTTCAGAGTATCTAATTCTTTCTGATTTAAACTAGGATGGTTGAATTTTTCCAGAAATTTATTCATCTCTTTTAGATTTTCTAGTTTATGTGTGTAAAGGTGTTCACAGTTGCCTTGAATGCTCTTTTTTTATTTCAGTGGTGTCAGTTGTAATATCTCCTTTTTCATTTTGAATTGAGCTTATTTGAATTCTCTCTCTTTTTTTCTTGATTAAGCCATCAATTGTATTTATCTTTTCAAAGAACCAGCTTTTTGTTTCATTTATCTATTGTATTTTTTGTTGTTGTTGTTGTCTCAGTTTTATTTAGGTCTTCTCTGATTTGGGTTATTTCCTTTCTTCTGCTGTGTTTGGGTTTGGTTTGTTCTTGTTTCTCTAGTTCCTTGAGGTATGACCTTAGATTGTCTATTTGTGCTTTTTCAGACTTATAGAGGCAGGCATTTAGGGCTATGAACTTCCCTCTTAGCACTGCCTTTGCTGTATCCCAGAGGTTTCGATAGGTTGTATCACTCTTGTCATTCAGTTTGAATTTTTTTTTAATTTCCATACTTATTTCATTGTTGACCCAGTGATCATTTGGGAGCAGGTTATTTGATTTCCATATATTTGTATTTTGAAGATTCCTTTTAGAGTTGATTTCTAATTATATCCCATTGTGATCTGAGAGAGTACTTTATATAATTTTAATTTTCTTAAATTTACTGAGACTTGTTTTGTGGCCTATCATATGGTCTATCTTGGAGAATGTTCCATGCACTGAGTACTAGAACGTATATTCTGCAGTTGTTGGGTAAAATGTTCTGTGAATATCTGTTAAGTCCATTTGTTCTAGGGTGTAGTTTAAATTCATTGTTTCTTTGTTGGCTTTCTGTCTTGATGACCTGTGTAGTGCTTCCAGTGGCATATTGAAGTTCTGCACTATTATTCTGTTGTTATCTATCCTATTTCTTAGATTTATTAGTAATTGTTTTATAAATTTGGGAGCTCCAGTGTTAGGTGCATATGTATTTAGAACTGTAGTATTTTTCAATCAGACAAGCCCTTTTATCATTATATAATGTCGCTCTGTCTTTCTTAACTGATGTTGCTTTAAAGTTTGTTTTGTCTGATATAAGAATAGCTACTCCTGCTTTCTTTTGGTGTCCATTTGCATAGAATGTCTTTTTCCACCCCTTTATCTTAAGTTTATGGGAGTCCTTATGTGTTAAGTGAGTCTCTTGAAAGCAGCAGATAGTTGGTTGCTGAATTCTTATCCATTCTGCCATTCTTTATCTTTTAAGTGGAGCATTTAGGCCATTTACATTCAACATTAGTTTTGAGATATGAGGTACTATTTTATTCATTGTGCTATTTGTTTCTTTCCTGTATACCTTTTATTGAATTGTATTTTTGTTTTATAGGTCCTGTGAGGTTTATGCTTTAAAGAGGTTTGTTTGGATGCGTTTCTAGGATGTGTTTCAAGATTTAGAGCTCCTTTTAGCAGTTCTTATAGTGCTGGCTTCATAGTGACAAATTCTCTCAGCATTTGTTTTTCCAAAAAAGACTGTATCTTTTGTTCATATATGAAGGTTAGTTGTGCTCGATACAAAATTCTTGGCTGACAATTTGTTTTGTCTTCCTGATTTGATTTCTCTTCTTCTTAAGGAACAAAATTATTTTTAGGTTTGGCCATTTAGCATAATCCCAAACTTCTTGGAGGCTTTGTTTATTTTTTCTTATTCTTTTTTCTTTGTCTTTGTTGAATTGGGTTAATTCAGAAACCTTGTCTTTGAGCTCCATACTCTTTTCTTCTGCTTTTTTGATTCTATTGCTGAGACTTTTCACATCATTTTGCATTTCTGTAGGTGCATCCATTATTTCCTGTGGTTTCAATTGCTTTTTATTTATGCTATCTATTTTACTGAAGATTTCTGCCCTCATTTCTTACATCATTTTTTTTGATTTCCTGAAATTGGTCTTTGCCATTCTCTGGTGCCTTCTTGATTAGCTTAATAAATGACTTTATGATTTCTTTTTCAGACAAATTAGGAATTTATTCTTGGTTTGGATTCATGCTAGGTAACTAGGGTAATTTTGGGGGGGGGGGGTTAAAGAACCTTGTTTTATTATATTACCAGAATTGTTTTCCTGGTTCCTTCTCATTTGGGTAGGCTATATGAGAGGGAGAGTTCAGGGTTCAAGTCTACTGTTCAGACTTTTTTGTCACACAGGATGTTCTCTTGATATAGTACCCTCCCCGTATTGCTGGGGATGTGGCTTCCTGAGAGCTGAGCTGTAGTGATTGTTATCTCTCTTCTGGATCTAGCCACCCAGCAAGTCTACCAGGTTCTGGGCTGGCACTGGGGGTTGTCTTCACAGAGTCCTTTGATGTGAACCATCTGCAGGTCTCTCAGCCATGGGTACTAGTACCTGCTCCAGTGGAAGTGGCAGGGGATTAAAATGGACTCTGTGAGGGTCCTTAGTTTGGGTTGTTTGATGCACTATTTTAGTGCTGGTTGGCCTCCTGCCAGGAGGTGGTGCTTTGAAGAGAGCATCAGCTGTGGTAGTATAAGGAGGATCGGGAAGTGAGTGGAGCCCCAGAACTCCTAAGAGCATATGCCCTTCATCTTCAGCTACCAGGGTGTGTAGGAAAGGAACTACATAAGTGCAGAAGAGAAAGCAAAGTGGATATGCAAGCAGGTAACTAGGGTATTCTGGCACAAGGGTTGTCTTATTTCATTTTATATTGCTATAACCAAATACCACAAATTAGGTAATTTATGAAGAATAGATATGTATTTAGTTCAAAGTTCTGAATCCTGGAAAGTCCAAGAGCATGGTGCCCACATCTGTTCAGCATCTGGTGAGGGCCTTTTTGCTGCACCATTACATGGTGGAGGGCATCACACAATGAGAGGGTAAGAGTATGGTGTCAGCTCAGGGTTCTTTTCCTTTTTTTATAATGCCATATGGGGTCCCACCATGATAACTCTATCTAATTCTAATTACCTCCCAAAGACCCCACCTTCAATCAATATGTGGACTTGGGGACCAAGCCTTCATCACATGAAATTTGGGGCACATGTTTAAACCATAGCAGAGGTTAGGAAATACACAGCCCTTCTTATCCCCTTGATCTTCCATTCTCATGCTAGAGGCTAAGCAATTGCACTTAAGATAAGAAGCTCTTGGACAAGAAAAATGTCAGAGGAAAGAGGCAGAAGGTTTTCAGAGTGGCATAATAGAAACTAGAGGGAAGGAAACTAAGTATGTTATAGCCCATATTATAGCAATAAGCTTTCTCTGAAATCTCTAACTTGAGGCACATTATTAATCTCCCCCTTTTCTCCATCCACGGTGGAGTGTACCTAACTACAACTAAAGAAGTATAACAAAATGAATATATATAAGAAAAAGCAGAATTGATAGTGAATATATAACAGAAAAACTAAAATTAGTAGACCATAGATCACAGTAACTTAAGAAGTTACAATAAATATTTCCAGAAAAGTAAAACAGAATTATATTTTTTACTTGCTTAAAAATAATTTCAATAGCTTTAGTGGTATTAATAAAAGTAGTTTTTGGTTACAGGAATACATTGTGCAGTAGAGAAATCTGGCACGAAGTGTACTCATCACATGAATAGTGTATATGTAGCCAATAGGTAATTGTTCATCCCTCATCCCCCATCCTCCCCATTCTGAGTCTTTAATATTTATTATTAAGTCTTTGTATACCATTGTGTACTCATGGCTTAGCCCCCACTTATAAGTGAGAACATGCAGTGTTTGGTTTTCTGTTCCTAAGTTCCATCCAAGTTGCTGCAAAATACATTATTTTATTTTGTCCTATGGCTGAGTTGTATTTTGTAGTATATGTATATCACATTTTCTTTATCCACTCATCGACTGATGGGCACTGAAATTGACTCCATAACGTTGCAATTGTAAATTGTACTGTGATAAACATACACATGCAGGTGTCCTTTATATATAATGATTTCTTTTCCTTTGGGTAGATACCCAGTGGTGCCATTGCTAGATTGAACGGTAGATCTACTTTTAGTTCTTTGAGAAATCTGTAAGACAGAATATTGGAAAATGAAGAAGAGACAATGCCAATAAAGAACAAACTGGGTCTAAAAATATGATATTGCAAGTAAATTCAATAGAAGGGTTAAATAGCAGAATTAATACAGCTGGAAAAGAAAGAAAGAAATACTGATTTGCCGGATTAGGATAAGGAACTCTTCAGAAGGCATCAGGAAGAGATGGAAAATATAAAGGAAATGTTAAAAGGCATGGGAAATAGAAGTACACGTATTTTTATTAGTATAATAATGATCACGAAGGGAGATAATTTCAAAGAGTAAAGGAAATAAGCGAAAAAAATGTAAAATCTCAGATTAAAAATATTTAGTGTACCGAAAGAGCAGATCTAAAAATTACACTTAATACTTAAATAGGTAGATAAATTGAAAATATAAGACAAAGAAAAAAATCTAAAAGCTTCTGGAGGACTAGATTATTTACAAAAAAGTAAACAATCATGTGGCTATGACACACACACACACACACGCACACACACACATAAAGCACACACACATATAAACAAGACTCCCTCTCACTACCCCTCTTTCTCTTTCTCTCTCTCTATATATACTGTTATTCCATTTTGCATTGCTATAAAGAAATATCTGAAACTGGGTAATTTATTTAAAAAAAGGTTTATTTGCCTTACAGTTCTGCAGGCTGTAAAAGAGTCATGGTGTCAGCATCTTCATCTGGTGAGGTGAGGACCTCAGGCTGCTTCCACTCATGGCAGAAGTCAAAGAGGAAGCAAGAAAGAAAAGAGAGAAGGTTCCAGGCATTTCAACCAACCAGATCTCAAACGAACTCATTATCACGGGGAGGGCACCAACGTATTCATAAGAAATCCACCCCCGTGGTCGACACACATCCCACCAAAGCCTCACCTCCAAAATTGGAGATCACATTTCAGCATCAGATTTTGGAGATGGGACACACATCCAAACTATATTTTTAATATATATACATAAATACACAAACATATAATATAGATATAATATATAATTAATATATTATACATATTATATATAATAATATAGCTATATATTAGCTCAACATCCCTCCCAATTATTTCTTGTTTTCTTCAAAAACTTTTTTGTTGTATTATATATAATAACATAGTTATATCTATATTACTATATGAGTTATATAGTATATAATAGAAATTATATTATATATTATACATATTATTATATAGGATGCATGCATAGTATATTAACTATATAATATATATTATATATACATGATATCCATGGACATATATTAAACACATAAAAGTGCTTATGTGCCAATATGAGGGCACTTGGAGTGAGATTATGAAAGGAACCTCGAATGAATGAATAAAGAAATAGGTACAAACAAAAGTACACAGAATGTATATTGTTGAAAGAAAAATCAGAGTTTTAGTATATAAAATAAAGATAGAGATAATTATGGCACTCTACTAATTTCTTTACTTAATATTTGGAGATACTAACTTAACCACCACGATTCCATGGAGAAAGATATTTGCTCAAACTGACATCAAAATACTTACTCTGGAAGATTTTTAACCTAGTGTTGGGATCTCCATCCCATTTCACACCAAATTAGAACTCCTTTAAGATCCTGAGGGCTAAGTGAGAATCTCAGCTCATTATAACATATATGTATATTAGGCCCACGGGTTATAAGATCCTAGGTTGTTTAGTTCAATTACTGTCCTTGTGCATCTCTTGGTACTCTCCTGTTACTTCTGCTTCAGGTTCAACACCTAGTCCAGGGTTCTGATTCCTGGTTTTGTTTTTCAGCTCAGCCCAGCTAAGTTTGTTTCTCATCTAAGATGCTGTTTTTAGTTCCTGAAAACATCCTTCCCAATCTCTTGAGCATATAGCTCAACATCCCTCCCAATCTTTTTAGCATTACTGGTAATCCAGATAACTGGTATTCTTTAAAAAATTTTATTGTTGGATAAGCTTTTCTTCCCACCATGATCAAGTCATCTTCATCCCTGGGATGCAAGGCTGGTTCAACACATACAAATCAATAAATGTGATCCATCATATAAACAGAACCAATGACAAAAACCACATGATTAACTCAATAGATGCAGAAAAGGCCTTTGATAAAATTCACCACCGCTTCATGCTCTCAATAAACTACGAATTGATTGAACGTATCTCACAATAATAAGAGCTATTTATGACAAACCAACAGCCAATAGCATACTGAATGGACAAAAGCTGGAAGCATACCCTTTGAAAGCCGGTACAAGACAAGGATGGCCTCTCTCACCACTCCTATTCAACATAATATTGTAAGTTCTGGCCAGGGCAATCAGACAAGAGAAAGAAATAAAGGGTATTCAAATAGAAAAAAAGAGGAAGTCAAATTGTCTCTGCTTTCAGATGACATGACTGTATACATCTCAGCCAAAAATCTCCTTAAGCTAATAAGCAATTTCGGCAATGTCTCGGGATACAAAATCAATGTGCAAAAATCGCAAGCATCCCTAAACACCAACAATAGACCATCAGAGAGCCAAATCATGAGTGAACTCCCATTCACAATTGTTACAAAGAGAATAAAATACCTAGGAATACAACTTACAAGGAATATGAAGGACCTCTTCAAGGAGAACTACAAATCACTGCTCAAAGAAATAAGAGAGGACACAAACAAATGGAAAAACATTCCATGCTCACAGATAGGAAGAATCAATATTGTGAAAATGGCTATACTACCCAAAGTAATTTATAGATTCAATGCTATCCCCATCAAGCCACCTTTGACTTTCTTCACAGAATTAGAAAAAAATACTTTAAATTTCATATGGAACCAAAAAAGAGCCCGTATATCCAAGACGATTCTAAGCAAAAAGAACAAAGCTGGAGGCATCATGCTACCTGACTTCAAACTATACTACAAGGCTACAGTAACCAAAACAGCATGGTACTGGTACCAAAACAGATATATAGAACAATGGAACAGAACAGAGGCCTCAGAAATAATGCCACACATCTACAACCATCTGATCTTGGACAAACCTGACAAAAACAAGCAATGGGGAAAGGATTCCCAATTTAATAAGTGATATTGGGAAAACTGGCTAGCCATATGCAGAAAACTGAAACTGGACCCCTTCCTTACATCTTATAGAAAAATTAACTCAGGATGGATTAAAGACTTAAACGTAAGACCTAAAACCATAAAAACCCTGGAAGGAAACCTAGGCAATACCTTTCAGGACATAGGCATGGGCAAAGACTTCATGACTAAAACACCAAAAGCAATGGCAATAAAAGCCAAAATTGACAAATGGGATCTAATTAAACCAAAGATCTTCTGCACAGCAAAAGAAACTATCATCCGATTGAACAGGCAACCTACAGAATTGGAGGAAATTTTTGCAGGCTATCCATCTGACAAAGGTCTAATATGCAGAATCTACAAGGAACTTCAACAAATTTATAAGGAAAAACAAACAACCCCATCAAAAAGTAGGCAAAGGATAAGAACAGACACTTCTCAAAAGAAGACATTTATGCAGCCAACAAACATGGAAAAAATACTGATCATAACTGGTCATTGGAGAATTGCAAATCAAAACCACAATGAGATACCATCTCATGCCAGTTAGAATGGTGATCATTAAAAAGTCAGGAAACAGCAGATGCTGGAGAGGATGTGGAGAAATAGGAACACTTTTACACTGTTGGTGGGGGTGTAAATTAGTTCAACCATTGTGGAAGACAATGTGGCGATTCCTCAAGGATCTAGAACCAGAAATGCCATTTGACCCGGCAATCCCATTACTGGGCATATACCCAAAGGATTATAAATATTCTACTATAAAGACTCATGCATACGTATGTTTATTGCAGTACTATTCACAATAGCAAAGGCTTGGAACCAACCCAAATGCCCATCAATGATAGACTGGATAAAGAAAACATGGCACATGTACACCATGGAATACTATGCAGCCATAAAAAAGATGAGTTCATGTCCTTTGCAGAGACACGGATGAAGCTGGAAACCATCATTCTCAGCAAACTAACACAGGAACAGAAAACCAAACACCACATGTTCTCACTCACAAGTGGGAGTTGAGCAATGAGAACACATTGACATGGGGAGGGGAACATCACACACCGAGGCCTGTCAGGGGTTGGGGGGCTAGGGGAGGAATAGCATTAGGAGAAATACCTAATGTAGATAAGGGTTGATGAGTGCAGCAAACCACAATGGCACGTGTATACCTATGTAACAAACCTGCACGTTCTGCAAATGTATCCCAGAACTTAACATAATATAAAAAAAATTTAAAAAGTTAAAAAAACTTTTATTGTTGCTATACACTAAATCCAGCTTACTCCCAACTAATTTAATAAGATCCAATAATAAGTTTTAAATATATAATAGTCTTATATTTAAGTTCGTATACGAAATATAGAAGGGAGAGAGGACATCATAACAAAGCTCTTATTACTAAATCTGAATATCAAAATCAGAGACCATAGAATCAAGCTTAAAACACATAAGATGATTTTAAAATAGTCAAAAGTCAATTTTGAAAGAAAACTTTTCTAATGTTTATAAATCTCTATTTGGATAACACTGTGGTTTGAGTGCCTTCTTCAAAACTTGTGTTAAAATTTAATAGCCATTTTTACAGTATTAAGTGGTAAAGACTTTAACATGTTATTAGGCCATTGTAGCTCCATTCTCTTGAATGGATTAATGTTGTTATCACATGAGTGGGTTGGTTATTGAAGGAGAGACTTTGTTTTTCATTTGCTTTTTTTTTTCTTTTTTTCTTTTTCTTTTTTCATTTTTCTTTTCTTTTTTTTTTTTTTTTTTTTTTTTGAGACGGAGTCTCGCTCTGTCACCCAGCCTGGAGTGCAATGGCGCAATCTCAGCTCACTGCAGCCTCTGCCTCCCGGGTTCAAGCAATTCTCCTGCCTCAGACTCCCTAGTAGCTGGTGTTACATGTGCATGCTATCACGCCCAGCTAATTTTTTTTTTTTTCAGTAGAGACGGTGTTTCACCATGTTGGTCAGGCTGGTCTTGAACTCCTGACCTCGTGATCCCCCCGCCTCGGCCTCCCAAAGTGCTGGGATTACAGGCGTGAGCCACCTCGCCCGGCCGAGACTTTAAGTGAACTCTCTTGTGCTCTCTCCCTCTCTCTCTCTCTCTCAACTCTCTCTCATGCTTTCTTGCCCTTCAGCCTATCTGCCAACAAGGCCATCACCAGATGCCAGTCAGTGTCATGCCCTTGGACTTTCCAACCTCCAGAACTCTGAGCTAAAGAAAGCTATTTTCTTTATAGTGTGTGGCATTCTATTAATGCAATAGATAATGAACTAAAGCAGATATTAATATTAACAATTTTAAGTATTATTATTTGGGTCTAAGATCCACTCTTAACAACTTTTTAATTCTTTTTCACTGAATTACTATTTAATAACAGACAAGTTTTGTATATTTACATCATTAAGTGATTCTATATTTGAAGGCATATTTTCCAGATAAATAGTGTATCATTGTTTTAAATAAATATGCTACAGAAAAATTATTATGTATAGCTAAAGTAACCCTCTCAGAATTATCTTATGCTTAAAATGACATACTGTATTATTTTTATGTCTCAACTAAATTCTAAGGGTGTTACTTATATAGACTATACTTATGTAGTATACCCATATGTTTGAGAAAATTGTTTGTTTTTTTCAAGTTCTAAATATATCTACACCCATTCAAATTATTATAGAGCTGTAATTGTTGGAAAGTTCTAATACCAAGCCCAAATCTATCCTGTTGCAATTATCATCCACTTCTTCTACTTCTGCTTTCTTAACTATATGAATAAATCTAATGCCTCTTTTACAGAAGAATCTTTGAAATACTTGACTGTAATTTTCATGTCTTTTCAGATTTTCTTTGCCAAGCAAATCATTCCTACAGTTTATTTAATTAATCTTCCTTTGATATGTACCTGAGCTGATGAGCAAAAGGTGTAAGGCTATTCTCACTGTTTTGTTCCAAGGGTTACATATCATGCTAATGCAGACCATGACAACACTTGTTCTCCTTGCCCCAGCCATTATGTAATAAGTTGACTCCAATTGGCCAGGCTTATTAAATAAAATGGCTTTTCCATTGGAATGACTATTAATATAATTTGCCATGTGCAAATTAATATAATTTGCACAATTCCTTTTCTAAACTAAATGCAGAACTTTACATATACTCCTATTTGATTTCATCTTATGATCTTCATTCTAGAATTAAGGTTCTATAGAATTTTGATTATTTTATTTTTCCAAATATGATGGCATCCCTATATTTAAAAAGATTGACCTTTAAATTTTTACTCAAGTACACTATTTTAAAATGGTGAGTGAAACGGAATCAAGGACAAAGTACTTTGAAAAATCACTAGAAAAATTACTCCACATTGAAATTTATCTATTAATGAATGCTCTGTGGCAGAGCTTCTTGGCCTGGACTGAACATTAGAATCACCTGAAGAGCTTTTAAAAACAATTAATGCCCAAACAAGGGACTCACTACAAACCAATTAAATGAGAACCTCTGGGGGTAGAGCACGGGCTTTGGTAATTTTTGCTTCAAATTATCCCAGATGATTTTAATGTGCAGCGTAGGTTGAGATAAACTGATCTAGTTAATTTTGTTTAGTACTTCCCCCCACCCCATTTTTGAAAATATTATAAAGGACAAATATTTATTTCATTTTATTTGTAAGAGCATGTTTAAAGAACTAGACATGACAAAAGAAAGTAAATGGTTTAAAATATGTGCATAATTTTTATTGCATTTATATATAAAGTCAATACTTATTTACATAATCTTAAAGATTGGGGGAGCTTTCCTTTTTATCGAAATAGGCACTATATGCAGATACTTTTGGACATAAAATAATGTTACATCTCAATAAACCCATTGTAAGTTGAAAGTGTCATAAGTCATAAATGAATTTAATGCACCTAACTTACTGAACAGCGTAGCTTAGTCTAGCTCACCTAAAATGTCCTAACATTTACATTAGCCTACAACTGGTAAAAATCATTTAACACAAAGCTTATTTTATAATAAAATGTTAAATATCTTATGTATTTATTAAATATGTACTAAAAGTGAAAAATAATGGTTTTGTGAGTACTTGAAGTACAGTCTCAATGCATCACTTTTGCAACATAATAAAATCAAAATAATATGTTATACTATTGTAATTCAGAAACTGTTTTGTGTACACGTACACACACACAAACACACACACGAGAGGTCTTCAAAAAGATCTTGGAAAATGCATATTATAAAAAGATGCATAAATTTTAAATTTTTTTGCACCAAAATGAACTTATTACTTTTTATAACATATCTGAACAGGGTCCTGGGTGAATCATTAAGAAGGATAAGACATCAGTTTGAATAAAGCTTCTATCAGAGCAACATAAAGTCTGATAAAATTAAAGCAAGAGCAAACATCAAATTTATGGTGGAGTTTGGGTGGAAGAAGAATAAAATCATTGACGCTTTAGAAAAAAATTATTGGGAGAATGCCCCAGAAAAATTAGAGGTTTAAAAATAGATAATGTGTTTTTAAAAGGGAGGAGTCAATGTTGAAGATAAAACATGCAATGGCAGATTATCCCAACAGTTTGTGAGAAAAAAAATTATTTTGTTTGTACTCTAATTGAAGTGCGCCAATGATTAACATTAAAAAATAGCCAATACCATAGACATGACAGTTGATTCAGCTTACACAATTATGACTGAAAAATTATAGCTGAGAAATATTAATGGGTATCACATTGTGAAATCGATGGATATCACAACTGTTGAGCCCAAATCAGCTGCAGAAATGAGCAGAGCTTTCAAAGGAAATTTTAAACAAATGAGGATCAAGATCCTGAAGTATTTCTCCAATAATTTTAATAGGGAATGAAAGATGGCTTTACCAATATGACCTTCAAAACAAAGCACAATCAGAGCAATGGCTATTCATAGGCAGAAGTGATTCAGTCAAGTGAAAAGAGACTGGTCAAGAGCAAAGTTCATGGAAAGGGATTTGGGGGGATTTTTAAGGCATTTTTCTTGTTGACTGTTTGGAGGGAAAAATAACGATAACATCTGCTTATTATGACAGTGATCTGAGAAAGTTAGGAAAAGCTTTAGCAGAACAACCTCTGAAAAAGCTTCACCAGAAAGTTCTTCTCCACCATGACAATGTTCCTGCTCATTCCTCTCATCAAACATGGACAATTTTGCAAGAATTTTGATGGGAAGGTATCCACCTTCTAGTCTTGATTAGACTTCTTCTGAAATCTTTTTGTTATCTAAACTTAAAGAGGACACCCGTTTTTTTTCTGTTAATAATTTAAGAAAAGACTACATTGACATGGATACATTCACAGGGTCCTAAATTATTTAGGAATTGACTAAATGTCTAGTATCATCACTTTAAGTTTTGAACTTGGTGGCACTTATGTTGAAAGATAAAGTTTATGGTTTTATATTTATCATTTAATCCCATTTTCCATGAACTTTTTGAAGCTTCCTCCTATATATGTGTGTGTGTGTGTGTATATATATGTGTGTGTGTGTGTATACACATAGTGCCACATAGTAAATGGTACATTACCACTCTTAAAGTGCAAAATTATGACAGTTTCTTTTATTCTGTATAGTCCCGAAAAGAGTTAAAAACAAAAAATGGAACTGATTATATAATAAATGATTGGTAATTAGTATGATAGGCATGACTATAACAATTAGTGATGATGCTAATAGTTACCATTTACTGAGTGTTTATTACTTGCTATGAACTGTGTGTGTGTATATATGTTTATATATACAAAGATAGGCTCAAAGAGGTTAAGCATAGGGCCAAGATTTAAGTAGGATGAGGTCGTCATTGGTCATAATGGGGTGAGATTTTTCTATATATTCAAAAACCAAACAGGACTGCTTTTTATTGTTTAAAATATACAGTGGCATATTAATATTCACACAAAGATAGATTTAAGTAATAAAAACAATTCCTTATTGAGATAATTGAGCCCATTAAGCCAGGATCTAAAAATTCTTGCTTTGCTATTACATTTTAATCACTTGGTCCAAATTTCATATATTGAATAAAAAGTTATTTCTAATAATTCTACTGCTTTGATAATTAATTCACTCAATAATCAAAAGATGTAATTTATGAGTATGAAGACATGAGCTATCAACAAAGTAATTCAAATCAAGCATTTTATTTTTAGTTATCTTAGTTAAATTTTTTAAAAACTCTGGTTGATTTGGCTGACCTGATTATTTATAAAATGTTCATTTAAAAGAAAATTCATGTAAATCCCTCCTAAAGCTATAAGTTTGATATCCACAAAGACAACATTCCCAGAGAAATGAAGAAAATTCTTCAGCAGAATATAGAAATATATGCAATATACCTTCAAAGCAACCTGTACTAGTCTGTTCTCGTGCTGCTAATAAAGTTGTACCCAGAACTAGGTAATTTATAAAGGAAAGAGGTTTAATTGACTCAAAGTTCCAAATGGCTGGGAAGGCCTTAAAATCATGGCAGAAAATGAAGAGGAAGCAAGACATGTCTTACATGGCAGCAGGCAAGAGAGGGCATGTGCAGGGGAACTGCCTTTATGAAACCATCAGATCTCATGAGACTTATTCACTGTCATGAGAATATCACAGAAAAGACACACCCCCATTATTCAATTAACTCCCACCAGGTCCCTCCTGTGACATGTGGGAATTATGGAAGCTACAATTCAAAATGAGATTTGGGTGGGGACACAGCCAAACCATATAATTCCATCCCCAGCCCCTCCTAATCTCATGTCCTCACATTCCAAAACCAATCATGCCTTCCCAACAGTCCCCCAAAGTCTTAACTCATTTCAGCATTAACTCAAAAGTCCACAGTCCAAAGTCTCATCTGAGACAAGGAAGACCCTTCCACCTATGAGCCTGTAAAATAAAAAGCAAGTTAGTTATTTCACAGGCATACTGGAGGAAGAGACACTGGGTAAATATTCCCATTCCAAATGGGAGAAATTGGCCAAAACAAAGGGGCTACAGCCCCATTCAAGTCTGTAATCCAATAGGGCAGTTATTAAACCTTAAAGTTCCATAATAATCTCCATTGACTCCGTGTCTCACATCCAGGTTATACTGATGCAAAAGGTGGGCACCTCTGCCCCTGTGTCTTTACAGGGTACAGCCCTCCTCTTGGCTGCTTTCACTGGCTTGTATTGAGTATTTGTGGCTTTTTTAGGTGCATGATGCAAGTGTGGATCTACCATTCTGGGGTCTGGAGGACAGTGGCCCTCTTCTCACAGCTCCACTAGGGGGTGCCCCAGTGGGGACTTTGTGTGGGGGCTCCAACACCACATTTCCCTTCTTTACTACCTTAGTAGAGGTTCTCTATGAGGGCCCTGCCCTGAAGCAAACTTATGCCTGGACATCCAGGCATTTCTATACATCCTTTGACATCTAGGCAGAGGTTCCCAAACCTCAATTTTTGACTTCTGTGCACCTGTAGGCCCAACATCACGTGTAAGTTGCCAAGGCTTGGGGTTTGTACCCTCTGTTCTAGAGATCTGTGGAACTTTGAACTTGAGGGAGATTTCCCAAGTCTCTTTGCATAGAAAGAGTGACCCTTACTCCAGTTTCCAACAAGTTCCTCATCTTTATCTGAAACCACCTCAGCCTGGATTTTATTGTCCATATCACTATCAGCATTTTGGCCAAAGCCATTTAAAAAGTTTCTAGGAAGTTCCAAACTTTCCCACATCTTCCTGTCTTCTGAGCCCTCCAAGTCTTTAGAAAGTTCCAAACCCTCCCACATTTTTATATCTTCTTCTGGGCCTTCTGAACTGTTGCAACCTCTGCCTCTTACCCAATTTCAAAGTCAATTCCACATTTTCAGGTATCTTTACAAAAGTGCATGACTACCTGGTACCTATTTACTGTATTAGTCTGTTCTCATGCTGCTAATAAAGACATACCTTGGACTGGGTCATTTATAAAGGAAAGAAGTTTAATTGACTCAGGGTTCCACATGGCTGGGGAGGCCTCACAATCATGGCAGAAAGTGAAGGGGAAGCAAAACACGTCTTACATGGCAGCAGGCAAAAGAGAGCATGTGTGTGGGAACTCCCCTTTATAAAACCATCAGATCTCATGAGACTTATTCACTATCATGAGAACAGGACAGGAAAGACCCACCCTCATGATTCAATTACCTCCCACCAGGTCCCTCCCATGACAGGTGGGAATTATGGGAGGTAAAATTAAAAATGAGATTTGGGTGGGGACACAGCCAACCCATATTACCACCCTATAAACATCAAAATTAAAATATTCTTAATCTTTCTGCTGACCATTATTTTAAATTATATATTTACATATTTGTAGTGACTTTCTCCTTAGTTTTGCAAAATCTATAAGAATTTTACAAAAAAAGTAAAAATGTTTAACAATTTGTTAATTTTATTGTAGATTTATAATTATGGTTTTAAAAAACAAATAGTATTCTTTAGTTGTCATTTTAATTGAACAACTCCATTTTTCAGCAAAGTGGGTCATTATAGCAGGGAAATATTAAAATGTCTTTCCATACTTGAATTTGACATTCTCTTCTTTTATTATATGTAAATTTTAGAAAAATAAGAATATTGTCAGAATTAATGTTTGCTGCAGTGTGAAATCCTCATTGATATGCAGTTTTTTTGGGGGGAGGGGTTTTCACTTACAGTATCTAATTGACTTAAATACTAAACTCTGAAGAAAAAAATATATATTGTTGTCTTTCTGCAGATATTGGTAAATATAAGAAAGTTTAGTGTGCCACTGGAGTTCTACTTCTTCTTCTTCTTTTTTTTTTTCCACCATAAACTGGTTTGTATTTCCTCTCTTAGCTATCCACCACAATCAAGACTAATAAGAAATATATATATGTATATATATGTGTATATATATGTGTGTATATATATACACATATATATGTGTGTGTATATATATATACATATATATGTGTATATATGTGTGTGTATATATATACATATATGTGTATATGTGTGTGTATATATGTGTGTATATATGTGTGTATATATATACATATATATACACACATATATATTTGTATAGTGTTTCAAAGATGCTAAGAACAAAGAAGGATTACTGTTCATATATCTACACTGTTCACAATAAGACATCCTGATCTACGTGAGCTATTAGAGTAGAATTGGAGGTTGAAAAATTATTCACTAACACTTTGAACATCTTGTAAACATGCTAGTCTCCCTCACTAACTCTACTTAGTTCAAAACACAAAGGATCCCTAGTCAGCATTTCTTCTCTTTCTTCCGAATCCCATATTTTAACACCTGATATTATCTGGATCCACTGGTGAAGACATTATCAAAATGTTTTTCTTATCAAAATTCCTCAAAAAGTAAATAAATACATGAATCCATTCGAAATTATGAAGTCTTATCTTTCCCTTTTAAATTATGTCAAAATCATATAAGTAAATCTTAAATTAATGGCCATTTAATGTTGGAATTTTAGTCATATTCTGAGATTTATAAATATACAAACAAAAAGAAATTATCTTGTATTAGTCCATTTTCACACTTATATAAAGATATTACCTGAGACTGGGTAATTTATGAAAACGAAGAGGTTTAATTGACTCACAGTTTCACATAGCTGGGAAGGGCTCAGAAACATTACAATCATGGTGGAATGTAAAGGGGAAGCATGTACAACTTCACAGTGGCAGAGCAGGAGAGAGAGAGCTCACAGGGAAAACTGCCACTTTTAAAACCATCAGATCTCATGAGAACTCTCTCACTATTATGAGAATGGCATAGGGGAAACTGTCCCCATAATCCAATCACCTCCCACCAGGTTCCCTCCCTCAACAGGCAGGGATTACAATTCCAGATGAGATTTGGGTGCCAACACAGAGCCAAATCATATTCAACATCTGGCCCCTCCCAAATCTCATATCCTTTTCACATTTTAAAACAAATCATGCCTTCTCAACAGTTCCCCCAAAGTTTTAACTCATTCCAGCATTAACTCAAAAGTTCAAGTCCAAAGTCTCATTTAAGACAAGGCAATTTCTTTCCACCTATGAGCCTGTAAAATCAAAAGCAAGTTAGTTACTTCCAAGATACAATGCGGATACAGGCATTGGGTAAATGCTCCAATTCCAAATAGGAGAAATTGTCCAAAACAAAGGGGCTCCAGGCCCCATGCAAGTCTGAAATCCAACAGGGCAGCCATTAAATCTTAAAGCTCCAAAATACTTTCATTTGACACCATGCCTTATATCCAGGCCACACTGATGCAAAGGGTGGGCTCCCATGCGCTTCAGCAGCTCCCCCCATGTGGCTCTGCAGGGTACAGTCCTGTGACTGTTTTCACAGGCTGGTGTTGAGTGCCTGTGACTTTTTGAAGTACATGGGGCAAGCTGTCTGTGAATCTACCATTCTGGGGTCTGAAAGACGTTGGTCTTCTTCTCAGAGCTCCACTAGGCAGTGTCCCAGTAGGAACTCTGTGCATGGGATCCAACCCCACATTTTCCTTCTGCATTGCCCTAGCCAAGATTCTCCATGAGGGCCCTGCCCCTGCAGCAGATTTCTGCCTGGACATACAGACATTTTTGTATGTCCTCTGAAATCTAGAAAGAGGTTCCCAAACCTCAACTTTAGTCTTCTGCATACCCGCAGACCCAACACCATGTGGAAGCCACCAAGGCTTGGGGCTTCCACTCTCTGAAGCAACAGCCCAAGCTATACCTTTGCCCCTTTTAGCCACAGCTGAAGCTGGAGTGGCTGGGATGCAGGGTATCATGTCCCAGAGCTGCACAGAGCAGTGGGACCCAAGGCCTGGACCTGGAAACCATTTCCCTCTCTTAGGCCTCTTGACTTATAATGGGAGGGGCTGCCACAAAGATCTCTGAGATGCCCTGGAGACATTCTCCCCATTGTCTTGGCTTTTAACATTTGGCTACTGCAAATTTCTGAAGCTGGCTTGAATTTCTCCTCAGACAATGCTTTTTCTTTTCTGCCACATGGTTAGGCTGCAAATTTTTTGAAACTTTTATGCTCTGCTTCCCCTTTTAACATAAGTCCCAATGTCAGGCCATCTCTCTCGGGTTCAAATATCCACAGATCTCTAGGGCAGAGGCAAAATGCTTCCAGTCTTTTTGATAAAGCATGGCAAGAGTGACCTTTGCTTCAATTTCCAATAATCTCCTCATCTTTATCTGAGACCACCTCAGCCTGGACTTCATTGTCCATATCATTATCAGCATTTTGGTCAAAATCACTCAACAAGTCTCCAGGAAGTTCCAAACTTTCCCACATCTTCTGGTCTTCTTCTGAGCCATCCAAACTTTCGACCTCTGCCTGTTACTCAGTTACAACCTTGCTTCCATATTTTCAGGTTATCTTTACGGAAGTATCCCACTATTCTGGTACCAATTTTCTGTATTAGTCCATTCTCACACTGTTATAAAAAATCTACCTGAGATGGGGTAATTTATATACAAAAGAGGTTTAACTAACTGACAGTTCTGCATGGCTGGGGAGGCATCAGAAAACTTACAATTATGGCACAAGATGAAGTGGAAGCAAGGCATGTCTTACATGGTGGCAGGAGAAAAAGAGAAAGCACAGGAGAAAGCACTAAACACTTATCAAAGAACCATTTCTCATGAGAACTCCCTCACCATACCGAGAACAGCAAGGGGGAAATTTGCCTCCATGATCCAGTCATTTTCCACCAGGTCCCTCCCTTGACATGTGGGGACTACAGCTCCAGACAAGATTTGAGTGGGAACGCAGAGCCAAACTATATCATCTCTAGTTAAGAAAATGTGGGAAATATTGTATTGATTAAAAATAAACATATAGAAGATGGCCAACTAGACACAGCCGGGTGGAACAGCTTCCATGGAGGGAACAAGATAACTGGTATGCTTCTAACAGATCTTCAGAGGGAAGGCACCAAGAGTGCATAGAGGAAAGACACAGAAGCTTGGCCGAATGGGGAGAAATCTGGGAACCCTGCACGTGGTTACTACACACTGGGCCACAAAGTCTCTGGGGAAATGGGTGAGTTGAACTGGCCAGGAGCAACCTGCTCTTGCCATAGGCCTCAGGAACTCCAACAGGAGGAGACCCCTAAAGCACCACGTACACAAGAGTTGGCAGGGATAGCTACTTAGAGAAGTTGTAGGGGCAGCAAGCCCGCTGATGTGGAGCCCAGAGGGTTTGGTGCTGGAGCATCTGTAGCAGAGTATGGCAAGAGACAGTCATCCTGCTAAACTTAACTTGCCGCCATAGTATACTTAAGCCCTAGGGGAACTGTCAGACCTGATCTCTGCAGGTCCATGTTGCCCATCTGATGAGGCTAGTCTAGTCTGAGCACCTATTGGTCTTGTGGCCTCTCCTGGGGTCTCAGCCTGGCCATTCCTGCTTGCAGGGCAGTCTCAGGTGCCCTGGGGACCTGCATCATAGCTTCTGTGCTAGTGGATCATGCCAGACTGGCAGAGGCCTCCAGTAGGGTGGCCCCTATGGTCACACAGCAACTTGCATGCTCCCTCCTCATACTAAAGCTTCTCCCGGGTCCATGGAAACTCCCCATATAGTTTTGCTGGCATGTGTCTGCAGAGGCAGTTTTTCCTTTTCTTGCCCTACCAGTATGCAGAAGTATAGTGGGCCCTCCTTCCCCCTACCAAGAACCATTGCAGATGGAGCCATGGCAGGCACAGAGCCAGTCAACCCCACCCCTGACAGCACCCTGCCCTTGGGATAACACTAGAAAAAGAACAGCATATTCTCCCTCACACTAAGTGATCACTCCTGCTTTTGGGACAGAGAGAAAGCACTTAGACCTGTGCCTGTCAACACCCCACCCCCAAGCCAACACCATTTCTAGCATGACCATGCACAGTTACGAGCAGGAATCCTCTGCATCCCCCCAGCTGTGTTGCCTCTGCCACTGTGGTGAATGTTCACAGGAAGGCAGGCACCCTGGGATCTGCTAGCACTCTGCCACAGGATCCACACTTCAGCACCCCCAGTTCAGTGGATTCCAAACCTCAGGAAGCCACAGACCAAAGTCAGAGTCCAATAAAATTGTCCTAAAGTTAAGGAAGAGTCCAGGAGTTGAGAGATGAGTTTTGGTGCCCTAAAATCTTCTAGAAACCAAGACAGTAGGCTGAATCCACCTTATACCAGAATCAAACTCTCAAGGTCATCAAATAGGAATAAAAGAGTAAAAAAGAATATCCAAAGGTTAGTAACCTTGAAGATTGAAGGTAAGTAAGCCCACAAAAATGAGAAGGAATCAGCATAAGAACATTCAAAACTCAAAAAGCCGGAATGCTTTCTTTCCTCCAAATGATCACATCACCTCTGCAGCAAGGGTTCTGAACCAGGCTGAGATGGTTAAAATGACAGAAATATAATTCATAATATAAGTAAGAATGAAGATAATTGAGCTACAAGTGTATGTTGAAATCCATTTCAAGGAAGCTAAAAATTATAATAAAACAATGCAGGAGCTGACAGACAAAATAGCCATTATAGAAGAGAACATGACCAACCTGATTGAGCTGAAAAACACAATATTAGTATTTCATAATGCTATCACAAGTATTAATAGCAGAATAGAGAAAGCAAAGGCAAAAATTTCGAAGCTTGAAGACTAGCTTTCTGAAATAACATAGTCTGACAATAATAGAGAAAAAAGAATTAAAATGAATGAACAGAATCTCAGAGAAATATAGGATTATGTAAAGAGACTGAATCTATGACCTATTGGTGTTCCTGAAAGAGTTGGAAAGAATGGAACCTACTTGCAAAACATATCTTATGATACCATCTATAAGAACTCCCCCAACCTAACTAGAGAGGTCAACATTATATTTCAGGAAATGTAGAGAACTCCACTTCACAAGAAGATAATCCCCAAGACACTTAATCATCAGCTTCTCCAAGGTCAAAATGAAAGAAATGAGGTTAAAGGCTGCTGGAGAGAAAGGTCAGATAATCTACAAAGAGAAGCCAATTAGACTAAAAACAAACCTCTCTGCAGAAATCCTGCAAGCCAGAAGAGATCCAATATACTACATTCCTAAAGAAAATAAATTCCACCCCAGAATTTTATATCCAGCCAAACTAAGCTGCATAAACAAAGGAGAAATAAGATTTTTTTTCAGACAAGCAAATGCTGAGGGAATTTGTTACCACCAGACCTACCATACAAGAACTTGTAAAGGAAGCATGAAATATGGGAAGGCAAGAGCATTACCAGCTACTAGAGAAACATACTTAAGTACACAGATCAGGGATACTATAAAGTAATCACATAAAAACCTTCTGCAAAAAAACCAGCTAACATTATGTTGGCAGAATCAAATTCACACATATCAATACTAACCTTGAATGCAAATGGGCTAAATACCCTAATTAAAAGACATAGAGTGGCAAGCTGGATAAAAAACCAAGACCCATTGGTATGCTGTCTTCAAGGGATTTATCTCACATGCAATGAAACACATAGATTTAAAATAAAAAAAGATGGAGAAAAATCTACCAAGCAAATGAAAAACAGAAAGAAAGCAGAGGTTGCAATCCTAGCTTCAGACAAAGCAGACTTTAAACCAACAAAGATCAAAAAAGACAAAGAAAGGCATTACATAAAGGTAAAAGGTTCAATTTAACAAGATGTAACTATACTAAGTATATTTGCACCCAATACATGAGCACCCAGATTCATAAAGCAACTTTTTAGAGACCTTCAAAGAGACTTAGACTCCCATGCAATAATGAGATAGTGTAAGATTCCATTAACAATAATAGATCATTGAGAAAGACAATTAACAAAGATATTTATGATCTGAAATCATGACTGTATTAAATGTAACTAATAGATATCTACAAAACTCTCTACCCAAAAACAACAGAACATACATTCTTCTTGTTACAACATGGCAAACACTCTAAAATTGATCACATTATTGGAAGTAAAACACTCCTGAGCAAATGTTAAATAATAACTGAAATTATAACAATATCTTAGACCACAATGCAATCAAAGTAGAAATCAAGACTAAGAAATTCACTCAAAACCATACAATTCCACAGAAATTGAATAGCCAGCTCCTGAGTGGCTTTTGGGTAAATAGTGAAATTAGGGCAAGAATCAGGAAGTTTTTTGAAACTAATCAAAACAAATATAGAACATACCAGAATCTCTGGGACATAGTTAAGTTCCTCTGGCCAGTGTTCACAGGGAAATTCATAGCACTAAATATCCACATCAAAAAATTAGAAAGACCTCAGGTTAGTAACCTAACATAACAACTATAAGGACCAGAGAACCAAGAGAAAACAAATCCCAAAGCTAGGGGAAGACAAGAAAGAAGGAGACTGAGACATAAGAAAACATTCGAAATATTGACAAATCCAAGAGCTGTATTTTTAGTTAATAAATTAGACTGCAAGCTAAACTAAAAATGAAGAAAAGAGAGATGATTCAAATAAACACAATCAGAAATGACAAAGGGGATATTACCACTGACCCTACAGAAAATAAAAAGAACCATCAGAGAATAATATAAACATCTCTATGGACACAAACTAGAAATTCTAGAAGAAATGAATAAATTCCTTGACACATACACCCTCTCAAGACTGAATCAGGAAGAAACTGTATCCCTAAACAGACTAATAATGAGCTCTGCAATTGAGTCTGTAATAAATAGCCTACAAACCAAAAAAAGCCCAGGACCTGACAGATTCACAGCTGAATTCTATCAGATGTACAAAAAAGAGCTGTTAGCGTTCATGTTGACATTATTTCAAAAAGTTGATAAATAAAGACTCTTACCTAACTCATTCTGTGAAGCTAACATAATTCTGATACCAACACCTGGCAGAGACAGAACAGGTAAAGAAAACTTCAGGACAATATCCTTGACAAACATTAAGGCAAAAATCCTCAACAGAATACTGACAAAACTAAATCCAGCAGCACACCAAAAAGCTTATCCACCATTATCAAGCAGGCTTTACCCCTTAGATGCAAGGTTGGTTCAACATACACAAATCCATACATGTGACTCATCAAATAAATATAATTAAATAAAAAAATGAAAGATTATCTCAACAGATACAGAAAGCCTTTCAAGAAAATTCAACACAACTTCAGGTTAAAATTTCTCAATATACTGGGTATTGAAGAGACATACTTCAAAATAATAAGAGACATCTAAGACAAACCCACAGCCACTGTGCTTCATACTGAATGAGCAAAAGCTGAGAGCATTCCCCTTGAAAGCCAGTGCTAAACAAAAAGGCCCTGTCTCATCACTCTTATTAAACATAATACTGGAAGTCCTGGCCAGGCAACAAGACAAGGGAAAGAAATAAATTGCATCCAAATAGGAAGAGCGGAGGACAAACTATCATTGTTTGCAGCAGAGTTTATTCTACATCTAAAAAACCCCATAGTATCTGCCCAAGAGCTTCTTAAGCTGGCAGACAAATTCAGCAGTCTTTGGAAACAAACTCAATGTGCAAAAATCACACATTCCTATACACCAACAACAGTCAAGCAAAGAGACAAATCAGGAATGCAATCCCATTCAAAACTGCCACAAATAAAGAATAAAAAACTTAGAAATACAGCTAATCAGGAAGGTTAAAGATCTCTACAAGGAGCACTACAAAACACTTCTCAAAGAAATCAGAGATGACACAAACAGATAGAAAAACATTCCTTGTTCATTAATAGAAAGAATCAATATCATTAAAATGTCTGAACTGCACAAAGCAACTTACAGATTAAACGCTGTTCCTATTAAGTTACTGACCTTCTTCACAGATAGAAAAATTATTTTAAAATTCATATGGATCAAAAACGACCCCACATTGTTAACGACATCCTAAGCAAAAAGAACAAAGCTAGAGGCATCACGCTGCCCTACTTCAAACTACACTAGAGTGCTGCAGTAACCAAAACAGCATGCTACTGGCACAAAAACAGACTCATAGACCAATGGAACAGAATAGAGAACCGAGAAATAAGACCTCATACCTACAACTATCTGATCATTGACAAATCTGACAAAAATATGCAGTGAAGAAAGGATTCCTTATTCAATAAATGGTGCTGGGATAACTGGTTAGTTATATCCCCAAAATGGAAACTTAGCCCTTTTCTTACAACATATACAGAAATTAACTCAAGATTGATTGAAAACTTAAATGTAAAGCTCAAAACTATAAAAACCCTGGAAGATGACCTAGGCAATACTATCCTGGGCATAGGAATAGGCAAAGATTTCATGATAAAGATGCCAAAAGCAATAATAACAAAAACAAAAATTGACAAATGGAATCTAATGAAACTAAAAATCTGCACAGCAAAGGAAACTATCAACAGAGTGAAAAGGCCAACCTACAGAATGGAAAAAAATTTGCAAACTGTACGTCTGACAAAGGTCTAATATCTACAATCTATAACAAATTCAAACAAATTTACAAAAAAAACACCACCCCATTAAAAAGTGGGCAAAGGACATAAGCAGACGCTTTTCAATAGAAGACATACATATGGCCAACAATTATATAAAAAATAACTCATGACACTGATCATAAGATAAAATAAAATAAAAACCACAGTGAGATACCATCTCACAACAGTGGCAATGGCTGTTATTAAAAAGTCAAAAAATAACAGATGCTGGTTAGGTTGCAGAGGAAAAGGAATGTTTATACATTATTGGCGGGAGTTTAAATTAGTTCAACCATTACAGAAGACAGTGTGGCAATTCCTCAAAGACATAAAAACAGAAATACCATTCAACCCAGCAATCCCATTACTGGGTATATACTTAAAGGAAAATATATCATTCTATCATAAGGGCACATGCACACATATGTTCATTGTAGCACTATTTACAATAGCACAGACATAGAATCAACCTAAATGCTTATCAGTGGTAGGCTGGATAAAGGAAATGTGGTACATATGCACCATGGAATACTTTGCAGCCATAAAAAGAATAAGGTAGTGTCCTTTGCAGCACCATGGTTGGAAGTGGAGACCTATCCTTAGCAAACTAACCCAGGAACAGCAAACCAAATACTGCATGTTCTCACTTTTAAGTGGGAGCTCACATGAGATCACATGAGCACATAGAGGGGACTGACACACACTGTGGTCTATCGGAAGGTGGAGGGTAGAAGGAGAGAGATAATAAGGACAAATAACTATTTGGTTCTAGACTTAATACCTGGGTAACAAAATAATCTGTACATCAAACCCCCATGACACAAGTTTACCTGTATAACAAACTTACACATGTACCCCTGAACTTAAAATAAAAGTTAAAAAAAATTTGATTGATAAAAAGTTTTAATTGATGTTTGCACCTCATGGCTTTTCAGAGCCTCTAATATGGTAATATCTGTTATGTTTTTCTGAGGGAAATACGATAAGAAGCTCCAACATCTTGCAAATTTATGAACATTCAGAGCAGTTGAGTATTCCCCAATTTGTATAGCCCTTAAAGTTTCAAGGAGTGAGTTGGGCAATTGACTTGGTCCTTCCAGATATGGAACTGTTGAATTTAGTAAAATGCAGTAGTTGTACTAGAGAATAAATTACATCATTAAATCATTAAATAAATTTAAGTCATACTTGCTTTGTCCTTCTGTTCCACTTCCAACAAAAAAATACTTTATTAAACACAAGTATACATGGTATATAGCCCATTTTCATTCCTAAGAAACAATAAATATCATTCATAATTCTACTTGAAGTCTATGTAATAAGCTACTTTTTAAAAGAAGTATAAAAAGTAAAAGCAGTTAGAAATCAACAAGATGTCAAAATTTGAACACCAAAACAAAATTCACTTGGTGATACTCTCTGTGATATTCTCTTTATTATTTTCACACATTCTAACACAATATGCACTAAATGATTTTTCATGGTTTTGTTAAATCTGAATATGACTTATGATACTGTTTTGCTAAAGATAAGTAAGATCATGGATCCCTTGTTTAGAACCAAATTATTATGTTGCATGATATCAAAGCTTGCTTTTTAAAAATAAATTTGTAAAAAAAAAAGTCATCCATACTCTCTGCCTTTCAGTTTGTGCTAATAACATTGGCCTTTGTACTTTCACAGTGAATTCCAAGATTAAACATTCAGCATAACAAAAAATTAATAGTACTTACCCCCAAAATAGCCTCAATGTACCCAACACATAAGTAATAACTAATATAAATGTTTGTATAAGAACTTCATAGCAAAATCTAGCACTAAGATAAAGGTCTTAAGGACTATGGCCATGCCAAAAAATAAAAGCACAATAATCTTTTAATCAACAGCTGTATTTGTCCTATTACATATAAAGCAATCAGGCTATATATTCTCATTACCTTTCAGGCACTTCCTCTAAAAGAAATGTTTGACCTGTATGCAACAATGCAGTTTATTACATTTAACTCTCACTACCAAATGCAATAGAGCACCAAACATAGATGGGCAATAAAAAATAATTTTGGCTCCTACAGAATTATTTATGAAGTTGCAATACCCTATATAGTTGGCTGCTACTGGATACCTACTTATTGACTATTTGTGGCAAAACTGTGAGAGAGTGAAGGAAGAGCCTGCATAATTTTTCCTGCATGGATCAGGGCCAGTATGAATCTGCAGTGTTTTAACTTTCTCTCTCATTTTAAGTATATTTATTCCCCTACATATAGCAGGGCATATAAAAGAGAACAGAGCTCAAAACCCTATCCCCTAGGACAGAGTTTATATTAGTGCTTTCTGTTTCTTAGTGATTGTATCTCAGATGCCCTAAACTCTGAACTTCATGTCTGGATTCGCTAAACCCCTCCCGACTGTAATGATTCTCTGAGTTCAATCTGTGGCCAGTAAGTGCCTGAGTTTTCTAACCTCACCTCTCTCTGAGAATGAAAGAAAGTAGAACAAATCTTTATTGGCTACTTCAGATGTTCATGACACCTTCAGATATTTTGTCTCATTTTATCCCACAATCACACTGCAAGAAATGAATTTTTTCATTTAAAAAAAAGAGAAACTGAAGTTCAGAGAAGTAAACTCACTTACTTGTCAAGGTAATTCTACTATATCAGTGGTGCAGTAATCCAGCCTCATTTACCTAAGTCCAGAACTAGGATCAAGTCATCGTGAATTAAATGTGAAATAACTTTTTAACCTTTATAATCCAGGGAAATCTTTATATTGAAGAGTTCTATTCACCTCCCTGCTTACACCCACATCTCAATGGAAAGAACACTGAATTATAATTTGGAAGGCAAAGGTTTCCATTCCTTTGTGACCTTAGGCGGAAGATGGACTCACTCTGGGTCCCTGTTTAATTATTTATGAAGCAGGGCCAGTTTTCTTGCCCTAATTAACTTGTAGGTGTATTGTGAGGAAAAAGACAATATATATTAAAATGCTTTGTAAATGATAAAGCACTACCGAAATGTAATCATCATGATCATGACGATGATCATGATTATAATGCACATCATTACCAGGGAGATGTTACATTGTTCTTCCCCAGATCCAGACAAGTCCTTCTTATGTGGACTTCACAGACCCAGGTTTATAATGTGCAAACTCCTGGGACTACATGACAAGAAGGATAATGATTTCCCTTTTTGTGAATCCTTGCATTTTTTCAGACTACTGAAAATCTTTAGCAGAGAAGTCTCAGAGGGTTTCTGACAACCTATTTTCTCCTACTGCAGTTGGGGAGAATAAGATTTATTGGCGTTAAAGCAAAATGGGTTCTTTTCAGTTGAAGCATTTCCCAAATAAATGTCTTTAAAATTTGATTTTATAAGCAGTGGTCTATAACTTTATTGAAGTGTTCTCTCTTTCTCTGTCTCTGTCTCTCCATCTCTCTCTCTCTTTCCAATCTCTGGAGGTAAGTGACCCATCCTCTGTATTATTCTTCATCCTCTCTAATAAACAGTTAGTTCCTAGTTTTTTATTCCTTAGCTTTATGACTAGATCATAAGCACATGTGCACAGAGGACATACTAGCTCCTGAGGCTAGTGTGCATGTTGCTATTCCTATTGTACTTTGAATTTTAGAGGGCTTCCAGTATCCTACTCTTTAATAAAGTGTGTTAGAAATGTAGACAGTATTAATAAACTATCCTCAATTCATTGACATCTAAAAAGAAAATCATTATAAAACACTTATATTTCAACAAATGACTTCAATTGCTCTTAGTGTACTCAGGATGTGGGCATTCCTGTGCAATTTTTACAAACACATAGTGTGAAAGAAATATGTCTTTAACACACTTAATTTAACTCAACATTATATTATAAATACATATATCTTTTCTGTATATATGTATTCCAATGGCCTTAAGGATCTAAAATATAAGAGATAGAGTCCCCTAATTCTGTTCATCAAAAAGCATTACTACGTATTTTATATAGGTGTGCATCATATATTAATCATTGCAGAAAGAGCTATATTATCTTGATTCTTTTCAATCTTATTTTTTCTTGTGTACAAGTGGCACATAACTTTTACTTGCTAGTGGGAATTCTTGATTTCAAATATCAGAATTTCTGTCTTTATTAAATTAACCCTTTATGTGCTACGAATAGTTTAACCAGTTCATTATTATGCTTAATGGCTGTTTTCTTGGAATAAATGATTGTTCAATACAATCCAATATATTAATTGAGCTTCCAATATATATACAATGTAGTAGACACTTCAGTGGATAGACAAATTAGTGAAAAGAGCACAATCCCCATGCCTACAAAGCTTAAACCACAATAGTGGTAAATGAGGCAATGACTTATGAATATAAAACAAGGACAAGTACAATTTCTGACAAGAAAAGATGCTTTAAATATAACCAGCTTCCTATAATAGTAATACAAATCAAATATCCATGAATTTATCTAAATGCCTTTGTAAACCATTATGTTTTTTGTTATATTCAGTATGTATCACCTTCTGATATATCACTTTTCTTTTGATTTTTTTGCATATAATAGTATGTTTTAGGCTACAATGAGTATCCAAAAATGGGGTATTCTGATTTTATATATTTTAATTATATCATGCCTTTACTTCAATCATTCCAGGCTGAATATTGCAAAATTTGCAGTCTATTTATACAGGGAAGGCAGTACATCCGTTTGCTTATAGTTTCTTTTTTTATTATTACAAATGTAAAATGATTCTGTTTCCAAATATAAAGGTATCATAGTCACAAAAACACAATTTAGAGAATATTGTATGCATTAAAATTGATAGAATATTGAATGTTGCCAAAATAATATTTTAAGATTCAAAGCTCTTTCACTCAGGGAGGTCAAAGTACATCTTAAGCAATATTTAATCTCTTAAAAAACAAGAAAGTGGGAAATATCATCATTCAGAGGATGACTTCTTTCCTTTGGCCACAGCCATTTAAAAACTACTTGGAAGTCTCAGTAAAACAGACTCTGACAATACTTTACTGAATAAAGTGTTACTTTTAAAAGATAAAAATTTTGTGAATATAAAGTATTGCAGGTTGTATTAGTCCGTTTTCATGCGGCTGATAAAGGCATACCTGAGACTGGAAATAAAAATAGGTTTAATTAGACTTACAATTCCACATGGCTGGGAAGGCCTCAGAATCATGGTGGGAGGTGAGAGGCACTTCTTACATGGCAGCAGCAAGAGAAAATGAGAAAGATGCAAAAGCAGAAACCCCTGATCAAATCATCAGATGTCGTGACACTTACTACCATGAGAACAGTATGGGGGAACCACTCCCATGATTCAAATTATCTCGAACCGGGTTCCTCTGACAACCCGTGGGAATTATGGGAGTACAATTCCAGATGAGATTTGGTGGGGACACAGAGCCAAACCATATCACATGTGCATTCCCAAAAACTGAAAAATACTGCTCAGTAAAATAGAGAAAAAGTACTAACATGCATATTTCCACACCCAGAAATATCTTTATTAAAATTTTGGTTTATGTTTTCCAACCTATTTCTGTGTATGTGTGGGTGTGTGTTAAAAAAATGTGAGCATTCTCCACAAAGTCTTATATACTGTTTTTTATTTTACAAAACACAAATTTGACTGTGTAATAAATACAATTGGCCTTCTGTATCCATGAGTTTCATAGATTCAACCAACCATACATTGAAAATGTTTGGAAAAACTATATAAATAATAATACAAGAACAGAAAATAACACTTTAAAAAACAAAATATAACCACTATTTACCTAAAATTTACATTTTATTAGGTGTTTCAAACAATCTAGAGATAATTTAAAGTATATGAGAGGATATGCATAAGTTATATGTAAATTCTATGCCATTTTATATAAGAGACTTAAGCATCTATGGATTTTGGTATCCATGAGGAATCCTGGAACCAAACCCTCACAGATACTGGAGGACGAATGTGTTTTTTTGTCTTTTCTTTTTTTTTTTTTTAATTATACTGTAAGTTCTAGGGTACATGTACACAACGTGCAGGATTGTTACATAGGTACACACGTGCCACGTTGGTTTGCTGCACCCATTAACTCGTCATTTACATTAGGTATTTCTCCTAATGCTATCCCTCTCCCTGCCCCCCACCCCATGACAGGCCCCAGGGTGTGATGTTCCCCACCCTGTGACCAAATGTTCTCACTGTTCTATTCCCACCTATGAGTGAGAACATGTGGTGTTTGGTTTTCTGTCCTTGTGATAGTTTGCTCAGAATGATGGTTTCCGGCTGCATCTATGTCCCTGCAAAGGACATGAACTCATCCTTTTTTATGGCTGCATAATAATCCATGGTGCATATGTGCCACATTTTCTTAATCCAGTCTATCATTGATGGACATTTGGGTTGGTTCCAAGTCTTTGCTATTGTGAATAGTGCTGCTAAACATACATGTGCATATGTCTTTATAGCAGCATGATTTATAATCCTTTGGGTATATACCCAGTAATGAGATTGCTGGGTCACATGGTATTTCTAGTTCTAGATCCTTGGGGAATCGCCACACTGTCTTCCACAATGGTTGAACTAGTTTACACTCCCACCAACAGTATAAAAGCGTTCGAATGTGTTTTTCATAAAGCTGAAATTTAAATGTTGGCCAGTAGTCTTCTGTGTGAACATACCTAAATGTACATAACTATTTTACGTTTATTTTCTTTTATTTTCAACTATTTCCTTATAAATAACATTGTGATTAATATTCCTGTGCATAAACATGATGCCGATTACTAATTATTTACTAAGCTTCAATTACTATACGTGAATTATAAGTCAAAAGGTATAAACAATGTTTGAATCCTTATACACACTGCCAAATAGCTCTCTAAATAAGCCATCTCAACTTAGACTACCACCAGCTCAAAAGCCCTGGACCCCCCTCACTATATTCCACCCAGAGACAGATGACGGTTTTCATTCCTGACTAACAAATAAACAAAAACAAAAAGACTTTTTTACTTATAAAAATATGTAACACAAGTTATGTATTTCCAGGGCTGAGAGAATGTTCAATTTTAAAATAGGCAAAATCTATAATGTTGCTATCTCTTTTTCTGTCACATTTCTGTCTACATTTAGTATTCCTTCTTCCTATTTTCACCCACATGAAGCAAGATATCTCATACTGCAATTTTTTACTCTTTTTAGAAAGATAAATTTTGATGTACAATATTAAAGAATGCTAAAATTCCTATCATTAAAGAGTAAAACAAAATATTTAGTATGAAGCCTCCCTGATGTACACTAAACTTCCAACGATTTCAACTATCACTTATTTGTTTAAGGCTAAACGCTGCCTTGTACACTTCTACATGGAAGGGTGCCTACCACCTGCCAGGTACTATACTTACACTTTATGTAATCTCACTCAATCCTTAGTATAATCATTTGAAGTGGGTATTTTTTTTTTCATATTATATAGATAAAGAAAGTAAAGCACAGTGGGGAGAAGTAATTTGCTCAAAGTCACATGGCCCTTAGAAATAATTCAGCATGGTAGAGAAGATGTATCTAGTCCATTAACTTCTTTGCCCTCATCTCTCAAAGCTCTCCTCCTAATTCTAAATCTAATCACATGTTTATTTCAGTTTTCTCAGCACTCATTAATGTTCTCTTTTGCCTTGTCTATTTGTATTTGAAATTACCTACATAGCTCCTAATATTAGTCCTCCAAACTCTTCATTCTACAGGTTAAATTTTGGAGGTTACTTTGTTTAAGCAAACTTCCCTAGCTCTTCTATCTTGGTTAAATACGTCTCCTATCTGGTCTTAGCGTACACTTGTATGGGTGCTAATAAAGCACATACAATGCTGAGTCACGGATACTTTGTTAAACCACCCAGCTCTCTTTCAGAACTTAGGTACTTAGTCCTCCAGCTGCTTACAAACATTGGTAGCTGAGCCTTTACCTTAAGACCATACCTCCTTTCCTGAAGTACACAACATTCAATGACTGGCAAATGCAGGTATGTAAAGGTCCAGAATCACTGCCTCAAGGTGACATAACTTTTGAAGATCATATCCATTCTAGAGTATCCAGAGGGACCTGCTGAGGTCTTTGTTAACATTTTATCTGGTTCAGCTCCCTCTGTCCAATCTTTTTGTCTTCTGCCCCTCATAGATGTTGATTCTGAGAGTATCTCACCTGCCCACATAACAAATGTGGCATGCAAATCTACATCTCATAGACTTTTCTTAAAGAAGACAACAAAAATAGTCAACATTTTAACTGATTTCTTTCTTGGCTATTTACCTCAATAAACTATAAATCAAAGAGAGCTTTTGTTCTCCATCATCTCCACAGTCTTTCTCAATAAATACTGATTGAATAAATGCATGAATGAAAAAGAGTTACAATTCCAACTCATAATTGTTGGACACAAAAGTCCGAGTTTCTTCCACTATGGAGTATAGCACTGCCCTCTTAAGGAGATGAGACATAAAATAGGAGAGAAAAAAATACACTTATGCGAAGACTATTCAGCTTTATGTCTTTTCAATCTAGAGGACAAAAAGAGCAGAAAATAAGCCTTTCAGAAAACACAGAATATTTCATTGTTTAAACAAAGTTAGTCTTTATGTAAATAAAACATATAATTTCCTAAATAATTAAGCCAACCAGTCAAATTACGTAGCATAAAAAAATCTATCCTGTATTAATTGTCTTAATTAAAACCAGGAACTCAATTCTTCCTTCAAGGATATTAGAGTATGCTTATTTATTTCTTCTATCCTCAATTATGCTCTACTCCTTGAACTGATGAGAATATTTGTCTAATGTGAATCTATAAAACACTAAGCATAGTAAATACCATAGTTTCACACCTATGCCACTTTTCCCTAGTAATCCCCAAATGAACATCAAAAACATTCAAAACTGATTAAGATAATATAGCAGTATATTATAAATGGACTACCCTAAAGCCTGCAGTTAAATTTGAAGGAAAAGTTAATGTATAAAACCCTACTTAATTTGGGGGCCAAAATAGAGATACCATAATAGAAGATGCATAACCTTCAATACTTTTCAAATGCTCTTACTTTCACAAATAAAAATTAAATTCAACAGTTATCTCCATGTAAAATTTATATGTAAAATGCAAATTTTACTACAATTGTGAAATTCAACCTTTCTATGAATAACACATACATATATGCATACATGTTAATACTCATGTGTATTTATGTACATTTGAGCTAGCATAGAATTCCATTATTTGCACTCAAGAATGAAATAGGATTATTCAAAATAATCTTAGAAACCTAAGCCCAGCAACAAATAAAATCATATTCTTAAGGACAATTGTGGGTGTCATAGCGTAATCATCTTTTTTGCCAATGAAATAAAGCACAGTGTGAAACATTTTCTGTCTCTTCAAAACAGTCTTGTGTAATTTCATGATGGCATATGAGTTTGAGCTACCGTGAATAATTGAAATGAAATGGTAATTATTAAAAAAGAAGTTGAATCTTAGACTATTATTAACATGATTTGTATAATATGCCCCTGCTATATTTAAAAACAAATGGGATTTATAGTCATACTAGTCTGAATTAGAGCAAATCTCAATTTTGATCTTTGGTTTCTATAACTAGTTAGGCCAAATGATTCACTGAGATACAATTGTATGGGCAAGAAATTTAGATATGAGCAAGGAGAACATGGAAAGAATACCATACTGAAATGATACAGGAGCTAGAAATAAATTATTTAGACAGATAGTGAGGGTAAGAGAGTCCTCAGTAAGGTTTCCTTTTAATTAAAAGCAGCCTTGAAAAGGCTAGCTAGGGGTCAAGCATGGCCAGCTTCTTCAAATATTATGTAAATGGCATACCTGGCCTGACCAATCTCTTGGGCCTTATGTAAATCAGACAGTGCCTCCTCAAGCTCATCTATAAAACCCCATGCATTTAACCATGAAACTGGGAGACACACTTAGGATCCACTCTCTCTCTGCAGGAGAGAGAGATTTTCTCTTTTCTCTCTCCTATTAAACCTCCACTCTGAATCTCACTTCTTCTGTGTCTGCATCCTCAATTTCCTTGGAGTGAGACAATTCTTGGGTATTTACCCAAGAAAACAACACTGCTTCAGAATCACTCAATCTCTTTGTTAGAATGTTATGATTCATAATTGATAAGAAATGATTATACAAGGAATGAAAAGCAATAACCAGAAAAAGGTAACAATAAAAGTATTTTTTTTTTTTGCCATGCACCTTCAGGTTTATCCTTGCTTACACCAAAATGATTAATAAATTAATTTAATTCCACATATAAATCAATTGTATTATTACAACTACCAGAGGATATTTAAATGTTTTTTTTCTTTTATTTAGAAAGCTTTGTTGGAATAGTACCCATTAGTAAACATATCACCAAATTTGAAACAGCTTACACATTTAAACCTAAAGACAATAAAGAGAAAAAATTCACCAAAAGTGTATGCATATGACCGAGGTAAGTGACTGCTCACATTGTTTCAGCCTCGTATGCAAAGGTAAATATAAATGTCAGAAAAAAATTAGGCCAAATGTGGCTGCTCACGTCTGTAATCTCAGCACGTTGGGAGGCTGAGGTGGGAGGATTGCTTGAGGCTGGAAGTTCAAGACCAGCCTGGGAAACATAGTGAGACCCCTCATCTCTACAAAAAATTCAAAAATTAGCTTAGTGTACTGTTTCTTACCTGTAGTCCTAGCTACCTGAGAGGCTGAGGTGTGAGGATCTCTTGAGCCCAGGACTTTAAGGTTGCAGCGAGCTATGATTAAGCCTTTGCTCTCCAGATTGGGTGACACAACAAGATCTTGTCTCAAATTTTTTTTTGTTTGTTTATTATAGAAGAAAGAAAATAAAGGAAAGAGGTGAAGCAAGATGAAGGAATAGAATGCTCCATGAATCATCTCCATGGCAATTTAACAACTATCTACACAAAATGAGCACCTTTATAATAACCAAAAATCAGGTGAGCACTCACAGTACATGATTCTACTTTCATGTCACTGAAAAAGACAGTGAGTGGGTAGAAAAAACAGTCTTGAATCACCAATGCCCACTCTACCCTCATCCTCCAGCTGTGATGGCGTGCTGTTAAAAGCGTTCCTGTGCTCTGGGGAGAGGGAGAGTCAGCAATTGTGAGTCATTGAACTCACCGCTACCCTGTTACAGCAGAAAGTAAAACTGAACCAAACTGAGATAATGCCCACCCACTGAGGAGCATTGAAACCAGCTCCAGACAGAGAAGAATCACCAATCCCAGTAGTCAGAACTTGAGATCCTGCAAGCCTTGCCACAATGGGCTAAAGTGCTGTGTGACTCAAAATAAACTTCAAAGGCAGTCTAGGCCTAAAAGACTGTAAATCCTAGTTAAGTACTAGTGCTGAACTGGGCCCAGAGCCAGAGAACTAAGTGGACAAGTAATCTACAGGGACAACAGGGCAGCTAAAGGAGTGCTGGCATCAATGCTTCTCTAACCTCAGGCTGCACAGCACAAGGCTCCCAGATAGACCCCTTTACTCTGCATAAAGAGAGAGAAAAGAAGAGTGTGTAGGACTTTGTCTTGCATCTTGGATACCAACTCAGCCACAGCTGACTAAGGTATTGATCAGAGTCATGAGGTCCCCGTTCCAGGACATAGCTGTGAGACAACATTTCTAGACACACCCTAGGCCAGAAGTGAGCTCTCTGCCTTGAAGGAAAGAACCCTGTCCTGGAAGAATTATCTGCTAAGTGAAGAGGCTTTAGCCTCTGCAAAACCAGGAGTGATACCCAAATGCTACATTGAGAGCTTGGGCTGAGACTCTGAGACTTGCTGGGTTAAGATGAGAATAAGCATACTCCCAGCTGTGATGACTATGGGGCAAGACACCTTCTGCTTGACAAAAACAGAAAGAAAAGTAAAAGGGACTTGGATTTGCACCTTAGGTATTAGCTTAGTCATAGGGGGAGGGTAGAGCACTAAGCAGGATCTTGGGGTTCCTGATTCCAGTATTTGGCTTCTGAAAAGCATTTCTGGGCCTTTCCTGTACCAGAGTGATTCCCATTGCTCTGAAAGATGAGACCCATGCCAAGCAGCATTCACGACGAAAGCTGACTTAAGAGACATCAGGACTGAAGGAAACATTGGTGGTACTCTGGTAGTAATCCCTGTGGGCCTGGTGACAGAGGCCATGAGGTAAGGCTCCTGTAACTTTAGAAAGGGGAGGAAAGAGTGAGAATGAATGTGTTTTGTGGCTTGAATGCCAGCTGAACAACAGTGTATTGGAACACCAGGCAGACTTCTAAGGTTTTCCAATCTAGTCCCTGGCTCCTGGACAGCACCTCTTGACATGCCCAGGACCTGTGGAAACTTGCCACCCTGAATGGAAAGACAAAAGCTTTGCTGGGTTTGCCACCTGATGATTGCCAACCTCAGGATCTTGAGCAAACATAGGCTGTAGTGAGGGAAGTATTGCATCAGGCTTTGAGAAAGACCAAGTGCTGTGATTGAATCAGGTCTGACCCAGGAAAGTCCTAGTAGTGATGGCAACAGGGTGCTTGTGTTACACCTTTCCTAGCTTTAGCTGGCTTGGAACAGATCGAGAGACTCAGTTAGTTTGGTGTAAAATAAGGGAAGAGAACAAGAGTCTCTTCCTAGTAATCCAGAGAATTATTCAGGATCTCAACCAAGACTACAAAGGCAATATCTCTATGAGTATAGAACAATCACAGCAATACTAGGTTTGGAATGTCCCTTAAATAGGATACACCTTAGAGCACACACTTAAGTCTTTTCAAATATCTGGAATGCCTTCCCAAGAAGAACAGGTAAAAAGAAATCCAGATAGTGAAGAGCACAATAAATACCTAACTTTTTAGTACCCAGACACAGACAAACAGGTATAAATACCAAGACAATCCAGAATAACATTACTTCCTCAAATGTACAAAATAAAGCAACAGGGATCAATCCTGGAGAAACACAGACATGTGACCTTTCAGACAGATAATTCAAAATAGCTGCTTTGAGAAAATTTTAAAAAATAGAATAATAGAGAGAAGGAATCAATAATTCTGTGAGATAAATTTAAAAAAGAAATTGCAGTAATTGTATAGAATTAAGTAGAAACTCTGTGGCTGATAAATGCAATTGATGTACTGAAGAATGCATTTGAAAGTTTTAATAGCAGAACTGATTAAGTAGAATAAAAAGTTACCAAGCTTGAAGACAGGGTATTTGAAAATACAGTCAGAGAAGACAAAACATAAAAGAATAAAAAAGAACAAAGCATGCCTACATCATCCAGAAAATAGCCTCAAATGGGCAAATCTAAGAATTATTGGCCCAAAAAATAGGTAGAGAAAGAGATAGGGGCAGAAAGCTTATTCAAAGGCATAATAACACAGAACTTCCCAAACCTAGAGATAAATATAAATATTCAAGTACAAGAAGGTTATAGAGTATCAAACAGATTTAACAAAAAGAAGAATACCTCAAAACATTTAATAGTCAGTTTCCCAGAGATTAAGGATAAAGAAACAATCCCAAAAGCAGCAAGAGGAAAGAAACAAAGATTATACAGTGCAGGCCAGGTGCAGTGGCTCATGACTGTAATCCCAGCACTTTGGGAGGCTAAGGCGGGCAGATCACAAGGTCAGGAGATCGAGACCATCCTGGGTAACATGGTGAAACCCCGCCTTTACTAAAAATACAAAAAAATTAGTTGGGCATGGTGGCACGTGCCTGCAGTCCCAGCTACTTGGGAGGCTGAGGCAGGAGAATAGCTTGAACTCAGGAGGCAGAGGTTGCAGTGAGCTGAGATCACACCACTGCACTCCAGCCTGGGTGACACAGCAAGCCTCCATCTCAAAAAATAATAATAATAATAATAATAATAATAATAATAATAATAATATACAATGCAGTTTCAATACAACTGGAAGCAGACTTTTCACTGAAATGCTTATATGTCAGTAGACAGTTGCATGACATATTTTAAGTGTTCAAGGAAAAAAATTCTACCCTAGGATAGTATATCTGGTAAAAAAATATATAAATATATACATAATGTGCATATTTTATATATAAATATATTTATATATTTATATTTTATACACAAATATATATTTATATATACCATATAAATATATATTTGTATATAATATGCAAATACATATTTATATATACCATATTTATATTTTATATTATATATAATATAATATGCATAATATTATATATTATATATTTATATTTATATATTATATATTATAAATATATAAATATGTTTTTATATATAAAAATATATAAATATGTTTTTATATATAAAAATATATAAATATGTTTTTATATATAAAAATATATAAATATGTTTTTATATATAAAAATATATAAATATGTTTTTATATATAAAAATATATAAATATGTTTTTATATATAAAAATATATAAATATGTTTTTATATATAAAAAAATATAAATATGTTTTTATATATAAAAAAATATAAATATGTTTTTATATATAAAAAAATATAAATATGTTTTTATATATAAAAAAATATAAATATGTTTTTATATATAAAAATATAAATATGTTTTTATATATAAAAAAATGTAAATATGTTTTTGTATATAAAAAAATGTAAATATGTTTTTGTATATAAAAAAATGTAAATATGTTTTTGTATATAAAAAAATGTAAATATGTTTTTGTATATAAAAATATGTAAATATGTTTTTGTATATAAAAATATGTAAATATGTTTTGTATATAAAAATATGTAAATATGTTTTTGTATATAAAAATATGTAAATATGTTTTTGTATATAAAAATATGTAAATATGTTTTTGTATATAAAAATATGTAAATATGTTTTTGTATATAAAAATATGTAAATATGTTTTTGTATATAAAAATATGTAAATATGTTTTTGTATATAAAAATATGTAAATATGTTTTTGTATATAAAAATATGTAAATATGTTTTTGTATATAAAAATATATATATATTTTACCAGATATACTATCTTAGTGTAGAATTTTTTTCTTGAACACTTAAAATATGTCAGTTAAAATATAGTATAAAGATATATTTATATAATACATATATTTTATATTAATATATATATTTAAGCATATATATGCTTAAAATATGAAGAAGAAATACAGGCTTGTTTCCCGGGCTGGAGTGCAGTGGCATGATCTCAGCTCACTGCAACCTCTGCCTCCCGGGTTTAAGCGATTCTCCTGCCTCAGCCTCCCGAGTAGCTGGGATTACAGGTGTGCACCACCACGCCCAGCTAATTTTTTTTATTTTTACTAGAGACGGGGTTTCACCATGTTGGCCAGGTTGATCTTGAACTCCTGATCTCAGGTGATCCACCCACCTCAGCCTCCCAAAGTGCTGGGATTACAGGCATGGGAGCCACCGTGCCTGGCCAAACCTCTTTTCTTTATAGATTACCCCATCTTGAGTATGTCTTTATTAGCAGCATGAGAACAGACTAATACACCACCTTACAGCAAAATCAAACCCTCAAGGTCATCAAATACAACTTCAAAAATCCAAAAGTCACTAACTTCAAAGACTGAAGGAACATAAGACCACAAAGATGAGAACAAACGAGGACAAGAACTCTGATACCTCAAGCATCTAGAGTGCCTTCCTTCTTTCAAATGGCCACATAGTCTATCCAGCAAGGGTTCTAAAGTGGGCTAAAATAGCTGAAATGACAGAAATAAAATTAAGTATATGGATACAAATAAGGAATGTTGAGCTACAAAAATAAGTTGAAACCTAACCCAAGAAAGCTAAGAATTATAATAAAATAAGGCAGGAGCTAAGAGACAAAATAGGCAGGATAGGAAAAAACAAAACCTCTGAGAAACATAAAATTATGTAAAGAAAACAAATACATGGCTCATTGGTGTCCCTGAAAGAGATGGGAATAATAGAACCAACTTGAAAAAATATATTTTAATATACCATCCATGAGAAAGTTCCCAAACTAGCTAGCAAGGCAAAAATTCAAACTCAGGAAACGAAGACAGTAAGAGTGAAATACTCACAAGAAGATTATCCCCAGGACAGATAATCATCAGATTCTTCAAGGTTGAAATGAAAGAAAAAATGTTAAAGCTAGCTAGAGAGAAAGGTCAGGCCACCTGCAAAAGGAAGCCCATCAGGCTAATAGTGGACCTCTCAGCAGAAATCCTACAAGCCAGAGAAAATTGGGGGCGAATATTAAGCATTCTTAAACAAAATAAATTCCAACATAGCATTTTATATGTGGCCAAACTAAACTTAATAAGCAAAGGAGAAATAGGATCCTTTTCAGACAAGCAAATGCTGAGAGAATTTGTTACCACCAGACTTGCTGTACGAGAGCTCCTGAAGGAAGCACTAAATGTGAAAAAGAAAGTGCATTATCAGCTACTATGAAAACACACTGAAGTACACAGATCAGGACACTATAAAGCAACTACATAAACAAGTCTGCAAAATAATCAGCTAAAATAATGAGAGGGTCAAATCCATGCATATCAATACTAACCATGAATGTAAATGATGTAAATGGACTAAATACTCGAATTAAAATGCACAAAGTGGCCAGCAGGATAAAGAACCAAAACCCATTTGTGTACTGTCTTCAAGAGACCCATCTCACATGCAATGACACACATAGCCTAAAAATAAAGGGATAGAGAAAAATCTACCAAGCAAACAAGAAAAAGACCAAAAAAAAAAAAAGACAGAAAAAAGCAGGAGTTGCAATCCTAATATCAGACAAAACAGAAAATAAACCAATGAAGATCAAAAAATACAAAGAAGGGCATTACATAATGGCAAAGCATTAAATTAAACAAGAAGACCTAACTATTCTAAAAATATATGCATCCACCAGGCGTGGTGGCTCATGCCTGTAATCCTAGCACTTTGGGAGGCCAAAGCGGGCATATCACCTGAGGTCAGGGGTTCAAGACCAGCCTGACAAACATGGAGAAAACCCATCTCTACTAAAAATAGACAAAATTAGCCAGGTGTGGTGATGCATGCCTGTAATCCCAGCTATTCAGGAGGCTGAGGCAGGAGAATCACTTGAACCTAGGAGGTGGAGGTTGCAGTGAGCCAGGATCTCGCCATTGCACTCCTGCCTGGGCAACAAGAGCATAAATAAATAAATAAATAAGCACCCAATGCAGGAGTATCCAGATTAATAAAGTAATTTTCTAGAAACCTTCAAAGACACTTAGACTCCCACACAACAAAAAGGGAAGAATTTTATACCCCAATGACAATATTAAACAGATCATCAAGATAGAAAATTAACAAATATATTTATAACCTAAACTCAGAACTGTATCAAACGGACCTGATAGATGCCAACAGAACTCTTCATCCCCAAACAACAGAATGTAACTTATTCTCATGGCACATACTCTAAAATCAGTCACACACTCAGAACTAAAACACTCCTGAGCAAATGCAAAAGAACTGAAATTATAACAACCAATCTCTTGGATCATAGCACAGTCAAATTAGAAATGAAGACTAAGAAATTCACTCAAAACCATACAATTCCACAGAAATTGGATCACTTGCTCCTGAATGACTTTTCAGTAAATAATAAAATTAAGGCAGAAATCAACAGCTTCTTTAAAATAATGAGAACAAAGATATACCATACCAGAATTTCTGAGACACAGCTAAGGAAGTGTCAAAAGTAAAGTTTACAGCATGAAATACCCAAATCAAAAAGTTAGAAAAATCTCAGTTTAACAATCTAACATCACAACTATAAGAACTAGAGAACCAAAAATGTAAAGTAACCCCAAAGCTAGCAGAAGACAAAACAAAAATAATAGCTAAAATGGAGGAGATTGAGACATGACAACTCATTCATATCAATAATTCAAGAAGCTGTTTTTAAAAAATTAATGTAATACATAGATCAATAGCTACACTAATAAAGAATAAAAGAGAAATGATCTAAATAAACAGTTAGAAATGACAAAGAATATATTACCACTTACCCCACAGAAATACAAATAAACATCAGGGAATGTAATGAACACCTCTATGCATATAACCTAGAAAATCTGGAAGAAATGGATAAGCTCCTGGACACATACACCTTCCCAAGACTGAACCAAGAAGAAACTGAATCCCTGAATGTACCAATAATTAGTTCTGAAATTAAACAAATAGCCTACCAACCAAAAACCAAAAGCTAGGACCAGACAGAATCACAGATAATTTTACCAAATATACAAAAAAAGCTGGTATCATTTCTGTTGAAAATATTTTAATAAAATTGATGAGGAGGGACCTCTCCATAAGTCAATCTATGAGGCCAGCATCATTCAAATAAAAAAAAAAAACTGGCAGAGACACAACAACAAATCTTCAGGCCAATATCTTTTGATGAACATCGATGAAAACAATACTCAACAAAGTACTGCCAAACCAAAACCAGCAACACATCAAAGCTGATCCACCATGATCAAGTTGGCTTTATCCCTGGAATGCAAGGTTGGTTCAACATACACAAATCCATAAATGTAATTCATCACATTAGCAGAATTAAATACAAACACCACATGATTATCTCAATAGCTGCAGAAAGGGCTTTTGATATAATTGAACACCACTTTGGTTTAAAAACTCTGAATAAACTAGGTATTGAAAAAACATATTTCAAAATGATAACAGCCATATATGACAAACCTAAAGCCAACATCATACTGAATTGGCAAAAGCTGAAAGCATTCTTTTTGAAATCTGGCACAAGAAAAGAATGCCCTCTCCCACCACTCCTACTTAACACAGTTTTGGACAATGTGTACAGAGCAATCAGGCAAGAGAAAAAAATAAATATAATGAGAGAAAGTTAAACTATCTCTATTTGCAGAAAACATTATCCTATATCTAAAAACTCTATAGTCTCAGGCCAAAAGTTCCTTAAGCTGATAAACAAGTTCAGCTAAGTCTCAGGATAAAAAAATCAATGTACAGAAATTACTAGCATTCCTATAAACCAAACACAGATAATCCAGGAGCCAAAACAGGAATGCAATCTTATTCACAATTGTTACAATAAAATTTAAAAACCTAGTAATACAGTTAATCAGGGAGGGAAAGATCTCTACAAAGAAAACTACAAAACACTTCTCAAATAAATGAGTGATGAAACAAACACATGAAAAAGCATTTCATACTTATGGATGGGAAGAATCAATATCATTAAAAAGGCCATACTGCCCAACACAATTTATAGAATTTTTTTTTTTTTTTTTTTTTTTGAGACAGAGTCTTGCTCTGTCACCCAGACTGGAGTGCAGTGGCACAATCTCAGCTCACTGCAAGCTCTGCCTCCCAGGTTCACGCCATTCTCTCACCTCAGCCTCTGGAGTAGCTGGGACTACAGGTGCCTGCCACCTCACCCGGCTAATTTTGTTTTTGTATTTTTAGTAGAGACAGGGTTTCACCGTGTTAGCCAAGATGGTCTCAATCTCCTGACCTCGTGATCTGCCCACCTCGGACTCCCAAAGTGCTGGGATTACAGTCATGAGCCACCGCACGTGGCACACAATTTATAGATTTAATGCTCTTCTTGTTACAATGTAATTGTAGCAATTACATTTTCACAGCACTATTAAAAAATTTAAAAATTCATATGGAAACAAAAAATGCCCAAATACCCAGGCAATCCTAAGCAAACAGGTGAAATCTGGAGGCATCATTTTACCTGACATCAAACTATAATACAGAAGTACAGTAACTAAAACAGCACGGTACTGGTACAAAAACAGACACATACACCAATGGAACACAATAAATATCTGAGAAACAAGGCTGCACACCTAAAATTATCTGATTTTTGTCCAAGCTGACACAAACGTCAATGGGGAAAGGACTCCCTATTCAATAAGTGATGCTGAGATAACTGGCTAGCCATATACAGAAGATTAAAACTAAACCCTTTCTTTATATCATATATGAAAATTAACTCAAGATAGATTAAATACTTAAATATAAAACCCAAAACTATAAAAACCCTGGAGGAAAACCTAGGGAATATCATTCTGATCATAGAAACAAGAAAAAAATTTCTTGACAAAGATGCAAAAAGCAATTAAAACGGAAGCAAAAATTGACAAATGGAATATAATTAAATTAAAGAGTGTCTGAAAAGCAAAAGAAACTATCAACAGAGTAAGCAGACAACCTATAAAATGGGAGAAATTTTTTTTGCAAGCTATCCACTGAAAAAGGTCTAATATCTAGCATCTATAAGAAACAAACACATGCTCGTGGATAGGAAGAATCAATATTGTGAAAATGGCCATATTGCCCAAAGTAATTTATAGATTCAATGCTATTCCCATCAAGCTTCCATTGACTTTCTTCACAGAACTAGAAAAAACTACTTTAAATTTCATATGAATAAAAAAAGAGCCTGTAGAGCCAAGACAATCCTAAGCAAAATATCAAAGCTGGAGGCATCACACTACCTGACTTCAAACTATACTACAAGTTTACAGTAACCAAAACAGCATGGTACTGCTACCAAAACAGGTATATATATATGTATATGTATATATACACATACATACATGCACACATACACATACACACACACATTATATATATATATATATATAGACACACACACACACACCAATGGAACAGAACAGAGGCCTCAGAAATAATGCCACACATCTACAACCATCTTATCTTCAACAAACCTGACAAAACAAGCAATGGGGAAAGGATTTCCTATTTAATAAATGGTGCTGGAAAAACTGGCTAGCCATATGCAGAAAACAGAAACTGGACCCCTTCCTGACACCTTATACAAAATTAGATCAAGATGGATTAAAGACTTAAAACATAAGACCTAAAACCCTAAAAACCCTAGAAGAAAACCTAGGCAATACCATTCAGGACATAGACATGGACAGAGACTTCATGACTAAAACACGAAAAGCAATGGAAAAAAAAAAAAGCCAAAATTGACAAATAGGATCTAATTAAACTGAAGAGTTTCTGCTCAGCAAAAGAAACCATCATCAGAGTGAATAGGCAACCTACAGAATGGAAGAAAATTTTCTCAATCTATCCATCTGACAAAGGGCTAATATCCAGAATCCACAAGGAACTTCAACAAATTTACAAGAAAAAAAACATACAACCCCATCAAAAAGTGGGCAAAGGATGTGAACAGACAGTTCTCAAAAGAAGACATTTATGTGGCCAACAAACGTATGAAAAAACACTCATCATCACTGGTCATTAGAGAAATACAAATCAAAACCACAATGAGATACCATCTCATGCCAGTTAGAATGGCAATCATTAAAAAGTCAGGAAACAACAGATGCTGGTGAAGATGCAGAGAAATATGAACACTTACACTGTTGATGGGAGTATAAATTAGTTTAACCATTGCAGAAAACAGTGTGGCAATTACTCATGGATCTAGAACCAGAAATACCATTTGACCAACAATCCCATTACTGGGTATATACCTAAAGGATTATAAATCATTCTACTATAAAGACACACATGCACGTTTGTTTATTGCAGCACTATTTACAATAGCAAATACTTGGAATTAACCCAAATGCCCATCAATGATAGACTGGATGCAGAAAATGTGGCACATACACACCATGGAATAGTATGCAGCCATAAAAAAGAGTGAGTTCATGTCCTTTGTGGGGACATGGGTGAAGCTGGAAACCATCATTCTCAGCAAACTAACACAGGAACAGAAAACCAAACACAGCATGTTCTCACTTAGAAGTGAGAGTTGAACAATGAGAACACATGGACACAGGAAAGAGAACATCAAACATCGGGACCTATTGGGGGGTGGTGGGGCAAGGGGAGGGAGAACAATAGGACAAATACCTAATGCATGCAGAGCTTAAAACCTACATGATGGATTGATAAGTGCAACAAGCCCACCATGGCACATGTATACCTATGTAACAAACCTGCACGTTCAGCACATGTATCCCAGAACTTAAAGTAAAATAAAATTAAATTACATTTAAAAAAAGAACCAAAAAAATTTACAAGAAAAAAAACATTAAAAAGTGGGCAAAGAACATGAACAGGCATGCAGCCAGCAAACATGAAAAAAAGCTCAACATCACTGATCATTCGAGAAGTACAAATTAAAAACCACCAGATACCATCTCACGCTAGTCAGAATGGCTATTATTAAAATGATAAAAAACAACAGATGCTGGTGAGATTGTGGCAAAAAAAGAATGCTTATACACTGTTGTCAGGAGTGTAAATTAGTTTACCATTGTGGAAGACAGTGTGGCACTTTCTTAAAGACCTAAAAATAGAAATACCATTTGACCCAGTAATCTTACTATTGGGTACATACCCAAAGAAATATAAATCATTATATCATAAAGACACACGTACACTTATATTTATTGCAGCACAATTCACAACAGCCAAGACATAGAATCAACCTAAATACCCATCAATGGTAGACTAAATAAAGAAAATTTCATGCATATACATCATGGAATACTATGCAGCCATAAAAAACAAGGTGATGTAATTTGCAGCACCAAGGATGGAGCTGGAGGCTATTATCCTTAGCAAATTAATGCAGGAGCAGAAAACCAAATACCACACTTTGTCACTTATAAGTGGGAGCTAAATGATAACACAAGGACACAGAGAGGGGAACAAAACATACTGGGGCCTATCAAGGGTGGACGGTAGGAGGAGGGAGAGAATGTGGTAAAATAACTAATAGGTACTAAGCTTAATATCTGGGTGATGAAATCATATGTAGAACAAATTCCCATCAGTTTAACTATGTAGCAAACCTGCACATGTACTGCTGAACTTAAAAGTCAAAGTAAAAAAAAATTATTAAGAATGTCAAAACTTTAATATGGTGGAGAAGCAGCTGTGTGGAGAACATTCTTCTAAAACACTGAATGGCAAATACAAAAGCCATGACACTTGTGGCCAAAATTAAAGACTGTGGCAAAAACACAAACAACAGCATGCTGATAGCCTGAGTAAAAAACTGGGGAGTAAAATACTTTATTGAATAAGAGCTTTTAAAAGCTCTCACAAATATCAGGGAATCTACCAAGTTACATACATGCCCACAGCAAAAAAACATGCTCAGAAAAGACCTGAAAAGACTATAAGCTTTAACATCTGGCTTATGTTTAGACTTGATAAGGAAAGTGAAGATTAAAGTAGAACTGTATATGGTCTCACTAAGCATCAAAGGATTGCCACAACACAAAGCCAATCTGCAAATGCCAGAAAAGTATGTGTTTTTATTTCCTCTTAATTTGGAATGCTCCATATGTTTAAGAAAATTCTTTTAATGACCAGCTGCTCACTAAACTGTAGCAGCACAGCTTTCAAAGATCATATGACAGAGAAATAGTCTTTACAAAATGTAGTTTAGAAAGTCACAAAACAAATGAACAACTACAATGCACAGCAAGTAAAAAAAATCCAGGGAAATATGGAGAAGAATATGATCTCTAGAGCAGCTAAATTATAATATTCAAAATAACTATTATTTAACAAAAGCTAACTAGACATGCAAAGAAACAAGAAAGTACGAGCTAGTTAAATAAAAAGAGAGAGAAAAAAGAAAAAAGGAAAATCACACACACGAAAAAGTAATATTTTTTTCTGACAAGTCACAGTCATTAGACTTACTAGACAAATAACTTAAATGAACTCCCTTAAATATGCTCAATAAGCTCAAAAGAAAGCCCTAGGGGAAAAGAAATAATTATAATCCCCAAGGTAACCACTAAGAAAATAACTTAAAAATATACTAAAAGTGAAATAGGGAATCAAAAGGAATTACTCTGAATAATAAATTAAATGCAAAAAAGGCTGTAATGAAGGGATTATGGTAAAAAATAATACACAGCATATAGAAAGCAAATTTCAAAATGGCAGAAATAAATTATTACTTACCAGTCATCACTTTATGCTTTATCTTAGCCGAAAGACCAAGAATCAATCAGTAATCACTTTAATGTAAATGAATTAAACTCATCAATCAGATGGCAGAGATTGACAAAATGAAAACAAAAAAAAAACATGATCTACCTATATATTCTCTACTAGAGAATCATGATAGACATGAAGATAAAAATAGGGTGCAAGTAAGCATATGAAAATAGATATCCTATGCATATTTATTAGCCAACAGAAACCCGGGGTAGCACTACCAATAACTGACAAAATAGATATTATGTGCAAAATTATGCTAAAAGTAAAAATAGGAGGTTATATATTGATAAGAGCATCAATTCATTAAAAATAGATAACATTTATATACTCACCTAATTACAGAGCCCCAAAATATATAAAATAAACATTAAAAGAAATGAAGTCATAGAAAGCTCTACAAAAATAGAGACTTTAATACTCCAATTAATAATGGGTAGAACTGGTGAGATCAATAAGAAAATAGAGGACTTGTACAACTCTATTAACCTATTAGACCCAATAGACACATACAGGACTCTTCCTCCAACAAAAGCAAAATACATATTCTTCTCAAGTACACATGCTACTTTCTCCAGAATAAAGCATGTATTAGGCCAAAAAAAGAGTTTTAAGAAGTTCAAATGATTGAAATCTTACAAAGTATTTTCTCTAAACATAAGGGACTAAAACTAGAAATCAAGAAAAGAAGAAAAATTAACATGTGTGTAAATTAAACCACATACTTTTAAGCAATCAATGTTTCCATGAAAAAAATCACAAAGAAAATTGGAAAATACTTTGAGATGATTAAAAGTAAAGACAAAGCATAATACAACTAATAAGATGGCCAAAGCAGTGCTCAAAGAGAAAGTGATAGCTGTACATTCCTTCGGTGAAAATAAAATCTTTAACTAATAACATAATTTACACCTCAAGAAACTAGAAAATGTAGAATAATCTAAACCCAAAGCATAAGAAAGAATGTAATAAATATTAGAATAAAGATAAATGACATAGACAATAAGAACACATAAATCAATGAAACCAAATGTTTGTTTTTTGAAAAGAACAACAAAATTGCCAAACAGAGAAGACACATATTGCTAAAATCAAAACTGAAAATGAGGACTTTATTGTGGACACGATGGAAATTAAAGGTTTATAAAGGAATATTATGAACAATTGTATGGCAACAAATTAGACAACCTAGATGAGATAGGCTAATTTCTAGAAAGACACAAACTAAAGCAAATGGACTGAAAAATATAGAAAGTTTGTAGAAACCTATAGTAAATTAAGATATTGAATAAGCAAAAAAAAAAAAAATTCACATACACACACACCCACACAGACACACCCCCCCCCCCAAACACACACACAGACAGGACCAGAAAGAATCAATGGTAATTTCTACCAAACATGTAAAGAATAATGAACATTTTTTCTTAAACTCTTCCAAAAATAAAAAAGGTGGGACTATTTTTGTACTAATTTTATGAGGCCAGGATTACCCCAATACCAAAGCCAGACAAAGACACTTAAGAAGGAAATTATAAGCCAATATCACTTATGACTATAAATTTTTAAATCCCCAATAAATTACAATAAAACCTAAGTGATGTCAGCACAATGGTAAAATAAAAGCAATCTGGTTTTACCCTACCCCACAGAAAACCAGAAACAACTACCCAGTGTCAAGATAAACACCAGGAATATCCCAGAACTATAAATACTGCCTAACCTAAACTAGGAGAGTATTAAAAGGACCATGCACTATGACCATGTAGGAATTCTCCTAGGATGCAAAAGTTTTCCAACATACAAAATCAATGACTGTAATATCCTACCTTAATGGAAAGAAGGAAAAACCCATATGATCATCTAAAAATTGATGCAATGAAGCACCTGAAAAAAATTAACACCTTTTATTATAAAAGTACTCACCATATTAGGAATGAAGAAAAAGATCCTCAAAGTGATATAAGGCATTTACATTAAAAAATAGCTAGCATAATAAACAGTTAAAGATTAAAAGCATTTTTCCTAATATTAAGAACAAGACAATATCGACTCTTACCACTTATATTTAAAATTGCACTGGAGGTTCTAGACAGGAAAATTGGGCAACAACTGAAAATAAAAATATCTAAATTAGAAAAAATTATAAGGTTATTTATATTTTAAGATAATATGATCTCTGATCTTCTATATAGAACATATCAATGGATCTAAGAAAAATGATGAGTCAAGAAAGTAATTCAGCAAAGTTGCAGGATACGAGATAAATACACAAAGATTATTATATTTGTATAAACTAGCAATAAACCATATTAAAAAGCAATTAAGAAAACAGTTCCTCTTACAAAAACACAAAAAAGAGTATGCTTGCAAATAAATTTAAACAAGGGATTGCAAGAACTGTACATTGAGAACTGCAAAACACTGCTAAAAGAAATTAAAGATCTAAATAAACAGAAAAAGTTTTTATATTCATGGATTGAAAAACAATATTAAGATGGCAATAATACCCAATTAAATCTATAGATTCAATTCATTCTCTATCAAAATCCCAGTGGTAGTTTTATTTTACAGAAATAAAAACACTACTTCTAAAGTTAATATAAAATTGCAAGAGACTTCAAATAGCCAAAACAACTTTGAGAAATAAAACAAAGTTGAAGGACACCCTTCATGACTTCAAAACTTACTATAAAGCTACAATAATTTTTAAAAATGTGATGTTGGGAGAAGATAGAAATATAGATCACTGAAATAAAAGTTCTAAAATACATCCTTAAATCTTTGGCCTACTGATTTTGACAAGGGTGCCAAGACATTCAATAATAAAAGGAAGTTCTCTTCTTTAAATGATACTAAGACAACTAGATAGCCACATGAAAAGAATAAAGTTAGGCCATTTCCTCACGCCACATAAAAAAATTATCTCAGCCAGGCACGGTGGCTCATGCCTGTAATCCCAGCACTTTGGGAGGCCGAGGCTGGTGGATCACCTGAGGTCAGGAGTTCGAGACCAGCTTGCCCAACTTGGCAAAAACCCATCTCTACTGAAAATACAAAAAAAAAGCCGGACATGGTGGCAAGCACCTGTAATCCCAGCTGCTCGGGAGGCTGATGCAGGAGAATCACTTGAACCTAGGAGGCGGAGGTTGCAGTGAGCCAAGATCGCGCCACTGTACTTCAGCCTGGGCAACAAGAGCAAAACTCCACCTCAAAAAAACAACAACAACAACAAAAATTTATCTCAAAATGGATCAAAGAGCTAAATAAAACATCTAAAAATACAAAACTCTAAAAGAAAACTTGAGGGGAAAGCTTTATGACTTTGGATTTAGCAATGAATTCTCAGATACAAGAAAAAAGGAAAAACAACAACAAAAAATAGAAAATTGGACATCATTAAAATTGATGTTTTGTGTGTATCAATAAATACTATAAAGAATGCCAAAAGAGAACACATAGAATGGGATAGATTGTTGGTAAAATCATATTTCTGGTTTGGGCCTAATATCCAGAAGATATAAAAACTCTTAAAACTCAATAAGAAAAATAGAGAAAACTCAATTTTTAAATGGATGAATAAATGGATAGACTTTTCTCCAAGAAAACACACAAAAATGGCCACAAGGACATAAAAAGATGTTCAAAATTATTAGTCATTAAAAAGATGCAAATCAAAACCACAATAGAGAAAGAAGAACGAAGCATGTCTCCAATGTCCCAAGATTTCAGTGCACTGCCCAAATGGCTGGTTTCTGCATCATCTCACGTTGAGCACTGACAGAAACAACAGAGTTCACATGCCTGGGAGTAAATAAGAACAAAGAAAAAGGGGTAGATGGCTTGCTGCAGTCTGCACAGCTCTTAAAGATTGGGAGAAGGCACAGAACTTGAGGTTTCTTCTCCAGGAGAAAAGGAGAGGAGTTAAGAGTCCTCCAACATACCAGTCTTTCATTATGCTGCCAGAGGGGGGTGGTTTCTGTCTTGCTTGACATAGAATGCTGACAGAACTGGCATAGTTCAATCACCTGGGACAGCTAGGAATGGAGAAAAATGGGTAGGCTACTTGTTGTAGCCCATAAGGCTAGGCAAGATTAAGATAAAGTGAAGAATCTGAGGCTTCTTCCCCAGGAAGAAGAAAGAGAAGTAGAGCATGCCTCCAATATTCTGGCCTGTCAATATGCTGCCTGAGTGCCCAGTTTCCGACTTGCCTCACACGGAGTGCTGACAGAACAGATATAATTCAGATGCTTGGAGAGGACAATTAAGAACAAAAAAAGGGACAGGTGGCTTACTATGATAGGTACAGCTATGCTCTGTGAGATTGACAAAAGGCACAAAATCTGAGGTTTCTACCTCTGAAGGGAGGAAAAAAAAAAGTGGATCATGCTTCCAACAACCTGGCCTTTCATTGCACTGCCCAAGAGGACAGATTCAGTTGCATGATACCTTGAGTGCTTACAGAATTGGCACAGTTTGGTGGAACCAGATAAAAACACAGGAAAAAGGGAAGGCAGCATGCTGTGCCCACCATGTCTCTGCAAGATTGAGAGAAGGCACAGAAGCCAAGCCTTCTCCACAAATAATGTAGAAGAGTGATGCATGTCTTCAACATCTCAGCCTGAAGCACAGCAGTCAGACACCATAGGAAGTAAAAGATTATTATAAGCTCTTAAAAGAAAAAGAATCAGTAAATCTTTCTAATTATTAACCTACACATACAAGTCCAGAGAAGACACATCAATTAAAAAGGCTTGAGAGGCTTACAGAATCTCTAGAGTGGATGATTGTTGAAGTACTTTGTCCATTGAAGCTATTCTGTAAAGACTAGAAAAGATGGCTGCTTCAAATTTATCATCAACACAACAAAGCTATAAGAAACACAAAGAAGCAGGAAAACATAACATAATCAATGAAAGAAAATAAATTTAAAATAGGTGACCTTAAAGAAACAGAAATCTAAAATTTGCCAGATAAGGAATTCAAAATAATTATCTTTAAAATTTTTACGGAGTTACAGATGAATATAAATAGACAATTCAGTAAATTCAGGAAAATAATACATAAAATAAGAATATCAACAAAGATAGAAACTATTAAAAAAAAATTCTGCCACTGATGACTATAACTAAAATAAAAAAGTTCAGAGAGCTTTAACAGCAAACTTGATCTAGCAAAAGAAATAATCAGCAGGCCAGGCGCGGTAACTCACGCCTGTAGTCCCAGCACTTTGGGAGGCCGAGGCAGGTGGATCATGAGGTCAGGAGATCGAGACCATACTGGCTAACATGGTGAAACCCCGTCTCTAATAAAAATACAATATATTAGCTCGGCGTAGTGGCACGCGCCTGTAGTCCCAGCTACTCAGGAGGCTGAGGCAGGAGAATCACTTGAACCTGGGAGGCAGAGGTTGCAGTGAGCTGAGATTGCACCACTGCACTCCAGCCTGGGCAGCAGAGTGAGACTCTGTTTCAAATAATAATAATAATAATAATAATAATAATAATAATAATAATAATCAGCAAACTCAAAGACATATTATTTGAAATGGTCTAGTCAGAGAATTTAAAAAATAGAATAAAAAGAGTGAAGAAAGACTAGGGGACTCAGGAAACACCATCAAGCAAACCAATATATGCATTATGAGGTTCAGTGACAATAAGAGAGGATAAGTAAGAGGTAGAAAGGGGCATAAAGCTTATTTCATGAATCATTGGTGGTGCATGCCTGTAATCCCAGCTACTTGGGAGGCTGAGGCAGGAGAATCGCTTGAATCCTAGAGGCGGAGGTTGAGGTGAGCCGAGATCGCTCCACTGCACTCCAGCCTGGGAGACAGAGCAAGACTTCATCTCAAAAAAAAAAAAAAAATTAGCACTCCATTGGCTGCCCCAGCTGATGTCTCAGTTTGTCATGTGCACTCCAGTCCATTGTCTCTGGGCTAAGTTCAGCACTAGAATTCACCTAAGAGTTGCGGTTTTTATGCCCTAGACTACCTTTGAAGATTACTTGGAGACAGCGAGCAGTGAGCACTGTAGCTCTCGGTGGGGAGGTTTGCAGTCACTCAACGTTTGGACTACTGGGATGGGGGATTCCCCTCTGGCAGGCATCTTCTGAGTTTGGTACGGTTTTCTTTCTGCTCTAACAGCACAGCACTGAGTTCGATGCCTCACAATTGCTGTGTTCTCCCTCCCTCAGTGCCCAGAGACGCTCTTCACTCCATATCACCACTGCCAGGGGTACGGGAGGAGTTTTATCAGCAATTCAGGACCGTTTTTTCTATTGCTTCACTGCCTCTTTTAGTGATATGAAGTTAAAACCAGGTACTATGAGTGCCCACCTGATTTTTTGGTTCTTATGAAGGTGTTTTTTCTTCTGTAAATAGTTGCTAATTTGGTGTCCCACTGGGGGAGACAATCAGTGGAGCTTTCTATTCTGCCATCTTGCTCTGCCTGGCAATCTCTCTCAAGGTATTATTTTCTAACATTATTCTCAAAAAAAAAAACAAAAACAAAAAACAAAAAACCGAGGCTTCTAATAAAATGGAAATAATTTTATCTTCCAGCTTTTTGCATTCTAAGTGGTAGTGGTCTCCTTTCTTATTTCACTGTTATTCTTCTTAAAAGATGTTTATGCATTCTGGATACAAGTGCTTAAGAATATAGAAATATTGATATACAGATACAGATCTATCTTTGACCTATCATCTACCTACCTATTCATCTAAATTTCTTTCATTCTGTCACTTGCCTCATCAATTCCATTTTTTAAAATTATTTAATTATTTAATTTTTAATTTTTGTGGGTATATAGTAGATGTATATATTTATGAGGTACATGAGATATTTTGATATAGGCACGTGATATAAAATAAGCACACCATGGAGAATAGGGTATCCATCCCCTCAAGCATTTATCCTTTGAGTTACAAATAATTCAATTACTCTTTTCAAGATATTATAAATTTTACAAATAAGTTATTGACTACAGTCACCCTACTGTGCTATAAAATAGTAGGTTTTATTCATTCTATTTTTTATATCTAGTAACCATCCCTACCTCCCTCACAACCCCAACAACCTTTCCCAGCCTCTGATAAACATCTTTCTACTCTCTATGTCCATGAGTTTGTTTTGATTTTTAAATCCCACAAGTAATTGAGAACATGTGATGTTTGTCTTTCTGTACCTGGTTATTTCACTTAACATAATGGTCTGCAGTTTCATTCATGTTGTTGCAAATAACTGGATCTAACTTTTTATGGCTAAATAGTGCTCCATTGTGTATATGTATCATATTTTCTTCATTCATCTGTTGATGGACACTTCAGTGGCTTTCAAATCTTAGTTATCGTAAACAGTGCTGCAACAAACAAGGCAATGCAGATATCTTTTCGATTTACCGATCATTTTTTCCTTTGGGTATATACCAGCAGTAGGATTGGTAAATTATATGATATTGCATTTTTTAGTTTTTCAAAAAACCTCCAAACTGTTCTCCATAATGATTGTACTAATTTGCATTATCACCAACAGTATACTGGTGTTCCCTTTTCTCCACATTCTCACCAGCATTTGTTATTGCCTGTCTTTTGGATATAAGCCGTGTTAACTCGGGTGAGATGATATCTCATTGTAGTTTTGATTTGTATTTCTTGGATGATCAGTGATGTAGATCACCTTTTCATATGCCTCTTTGCCTTTTGTATGTGTTCTTTTGAAAAATGTCTATTCAAATTTTTGATTATTTTTAATTTGATTATTAGATTATTAATTAGCCGGTGATAAAGGCTTCCAGAACGTTTTTTTTTTTCCTTCAAGAAAACAGGTTTCCTACTGGCCCAAGGTGAGTGTAAAAATATCTGGCATCTAAAGCCTGGAACAGGGGTCTCATGACTCTGACCAGTGCCCTATCCTATTGTGGCTGAGCTAGTATCTAAGAGGCAAGACAAAGTCCTCCCCACTCTTTTCTTTTCTTTCCTCAAGTAGGAAGATGGGATCTCTTTTGGAACTGTGAGCTTGCAGCCTGGGGTTAGGGGAGGGTGTTGTCAGCACTCTTGGCTGCCCCAGGTGTTTTCTTAGTATGTAAAATCCCTCCCTCCCCAGTTTACTGTCTCTGGGCCGAGTTCAGCACTAGGATGCACCCAAGAGTTGTAGTCCTTATGGCACAGTTTGCCTTTCAAGTTTGTTTGGAGACACAGGGAACTGTAGCCCTCGGTGGCGAGATTTGTGGGAACTCAAGCTTGGACCACTATGATGGGAGATTCCCCTCTGGCTAGGGCTGGTTTAAATGGTTTATCTCTGTGTGGGCATCCTCTGAGTTTGGTTCAGTTTTCTTTTCTGCTCTAACAGGACAGCACTGAGTTTAATGCCTTACAGTTGCTTTGTTGCCTCTCCCCCAGTGCCCAGACATGCTCTCCACACAATGCTGCTGCTGCCAGGGGGTGATCTCAGGGATTACGGACTGTTTTTTCTATCTCTTCAGTGCCTGTTTCAGTGATATGTAGTTTAAACCAGGTACTATGCATGCTCACCTGATGTTTGTTTCTTATGAAGGCAATTTTTCTATGTAGATAGTTGTTGAATTGGTTGCATGCTTGTGGGGGAGACAATCAGTGGAGCCTTCTATTCCACCATCTTGCTCCACCTCCAAATCTCTTCTTCATTTTTTTAATGGTTTCTTCCAAAGAGCAAACATTTGTAATATTTATGAAGTCCAGTTTATCAATTATTTTCTTTTGTTTGCTCTATGACATACTTGCCTACTCAAAAGTTGTAAACCTTTTAACCTATATTTTCTTATAAAATTGTTATTGTTGTAACATTCACATAGAAGCCTAAGGTCCATTTTTTTAGAAAAACTGGATAATCTTTAAATATTATAAATGTTAAACCCTTCAGATTCCTGAGATTGAAAGACAAACAAGTGAAATGAATTAACAAAATTGAAAAGTGTCTCTGAGGAGAGATGGGACATATGAACACTTTAAACTAATAGGCAAAGAAAAAGAATTTCCATCTTCAGGAGTGAATATTATTTGCCTCAGTTTATATTTTCTACACACAACATTCCCTGTTTCATAAAAAAATGAGCCATACAAAAAGCAAGAAAAGTTAAAATCATTGTCAAGAGACAAAGTAATCAATAGAATCAGACACCAAAATAATTTCTTAACAGAATAATAAATGAATTTAGAAGCATCATAGAATAAGATGTCAACATATAAGAAAACTGCATTTCTATGTATTAGCAATAAACAATTGGAAATGAAAATAATATTTATAATAACATTAAGAGTCATAAAATTTTAAGGGGTAACTTTGATAAATATATATGATATTTGTATGATAACATCTATAAAATATTAATGAAATTAAGGAGGACTTAAATAAATAGAGAGACATACTGCATGAAGAGATTCAAACTTTTAACATTGTTAATTTTTTCTCAAATTGATCTGTTACCTGTGATAAGAAATAAGGTCTTTTTTAATTATAAAGGAATCAATTCACCATGAGGACGCAACATTTCTTTATTATTATTATTATTATTATACTTTAAGTTTTAGGGTACATGTGCACAATGTGCAGGTTAGTTACATATGTATACATGTGCCATGTTGGTGTGCTGCACCCATTAACTCGTCATTTAGCATTAGGTATATCTCTTAATGCTATCCCTCCCCCCTCCCCCCACCCCACAACAGTCCCCAGTGTGTGATGTTCCCCTTCCTGTGTCCATGTGTTCTCATTGTTCAGTTCCCACCTATGAGTAAGAACATGCGGTGTTTGGTTTTTTGTCCTTGCCATAGTTTGCTGAGAATGATGGTTTCCAGCTTCATCCATGTCCCTACAAAGGACGTGAACTCATCAATTTTTATGGCTGCATAGTATTCCATGGTGTATATGTGCCACATTTTCTTAATCCAGTCTATCATTGAGGACACAACATTTCTAATGTCTGTGTACTCAGTAACATTATAGACCTTCCAAATACAAAAGCTAAAACTGATAAAACTGTAAGAGATAGAAATACATGAGAGACAGAATTACAATATTTAATATGCATGTTAAGTAAATATTCTAATTGGATATTTCAATATCTCCCTCAATATGTTTAATAAAATACATAGTTATAAAATCAGAAAGAATATAGAAATCTTGAATAACACCATAAATCAACTTAATAAACAATTATAGAACACCACTCAGCAACAGCAGAATACATTGTTCTGCATTATTTATTATTATTATTATTATTATTGATTCAGATGGTACATGATCAAGTTTGTTATGTGGATATATTGTGTAATGATGAGGTTTTAGTTTCTATTGTGTCCATCACCCAAATAACGAATATTGTACAGAATTTTATAACACTCACTGTCCTCCCACTGTTCCCTCTTTTGTAGTGCCCAGTGTCTGCTATTTCCCTCTGTATGTCCATGTGCATCCATTGTTTAGCTCCCACTTATAAGTGAGAACAGGCCACATTTGATATTCTGTTTCTGAGTTATTTCACTTACGATAATGGCCCCCAACTCCATCCATGTTGCAGTAAAGAATATGACTTTATTATTTTTATGGCTGCAGGGTATTCCATGCTGTATGTATACCAGGCTTTCTTTATTTAATCAACCACTGATAGACACTTAGGTTGATTTCATGACTTTGCAATGGTGGATGGTGCTGCAGTAAACATACAGGTATAGTTGTCTTTTTGACATAATAATTTCTTTCACTTTGGGCACATACCCAGTAGTCCCACTATTTTTCGTATGTTGATGGGCTACTTGTATGTCTTCTTTTAAACAATGTATATTTATGTTCTTTGCCCACTTTTTAATGGAGTTTTTTTTTCTTGTTAAGTTCTTTGGGTTTCTTTTAGATTCTGGATATTAGTTTCTGATCAAACGCATAGTTTGTAAATATCCTGTCATTCTGTAGATTGCCTGTTTACTCTGTTAGTTTCTTATTTTGCTATGAAGAACCTTTTAATTTCATCTCATTTGTCTGTTTTGTTGCATTTGCTTTTGATGTCTTAGTCATAATTTATTTGCCTAGGCCAATGTCCAGAAGAGATATTCTTAGGCTTTCTTCTAGGATTTTTATAATTTCAGGTCATCCATTTAAGGCTTTAATCCATTTTGAGTTAATTTTTTGTTTATGGTGAGAGATAGGAGTCCAGTTTCATTCTTCTGCATATGGCTATACAATTTTCCCAGCATCATTTATTAAATAGAGTGTCCTTTCCCCATTGTATATTTTTGCCAATTTTGTCAAAGATCAATTGGCTGTAGGTATATTGCTTTAACTCTGGGTTCTCTATTCTGTTCCAGTGACCTATGTGTCTATTTTTTGTACCATGCTATGTTGGTTACCACAGTCTTATGGTACATTTTGGAGTCAGTTAATGTGATACCTCTGGCTTTGTTCTTTTTGCTTGGGATTGCTTTGGCTATTTGGTATCTTTCTTTGGTTCCATATAAGGGTTAGAAATTTTTTCTAATTCTATAAAAGTTGATATTGATAATTTGATAGGGAATTTGTTGAATCTGTAGATTGTTTTGAGCAGTATGATCATTTTAGCAGTATTCTTTCAATCCATGAGTATGGGATGATTTTCCATTTGTTTGTGTCAACTACATTTTTTTCAGCAGTGTTTTGTAGTTCTCCTTGTGGAGATATTTTACCTCTTTGGTTAAATGTATTCTTAGGTATTTTCTTTTGGGGATAGACTACCGTATTTGGGATTCAGTTCTTAATCTGGTTCTCAGCTTGAACATTGTTGGTGTATAGAAATGCTACTGAATTTTGCATGTTTATTTTGTACTCTGAAATTATACTGAAGTAATTAATCAAGTCGAGGAGTCTTTTATGAGTCTTTGGAGTTTTCTAGATATAAAATTACATCATATGTGAACAAAGATCATTTGACTTCCTCCTCTCAAGTTTGGATGTGTTTTATTTCTTTGTCTTGCCTGATTACTCTGATTAGGACTTCCAGTACTATGTTGAATAGGAGTGGTGAGAATGGGCATCCTTGTCTTGTTTCATTTCTTAGAGGGGATCCTTTCAACTTTTTACCATTTAGTATAACATTGGCTATGAGTTTGTCATGTTTGGGTTTTATTATTTTGATGTGTGTTTCCTTGATATCTAGTTTGTTAATGTTTTTATATTATGAAGGAGTGTTTGGTTTTTCATATTGCTTTTTGTGCATCTATTGAGGTAATCATATGGTTTTTGTTTTAAATTCTAATTGTGGTAGTAAATTACATTTCTTAATGTACGTATGTTGAACTATCCTTGTATCCTAGGAATAAAAAACACTTGATCATGATGTATTATTCTTTTGATGTGCTGTTTGGTTGTATTTGCCATCCCCCCTTTTTTTAGGATTTTTGCATCTATGTTCATCAGGAATATTGTTTTTTTTTATGTGTTCTTACTTGATTCTGATATTAGGGTGATACTGGTTTGTAGAATGAGTTAGAGAGAATCTTTTTTTCTTCTTGATTTTTAGGAAGTTTCAGCAAGATTGGTGCCAGCTTTTTGTACATCTAGTAAATTTGGCTGTGAATCTGGGTCCTCTGGGCTTTTTTCCTTGTGAGAATTTTTATGACTGTTTTGATTTAGTTACTCATTTTTGGTCTGTTCAGAATTTCTATTTCTCTCTGGTTGTATACTTTCAGAAATCTATAAACTTTTCCCAGGTTTTCTAGTTTGTGTACATACTAATACTTAAATGATAGTCTCTGGATCTTTTGTATTTCTGTGGTATCAGTGGTAATGCCACCTTTATCATTTCTGATTGTGTTTATTTGAAAGTTTTCTCTTTTTTTCTTGCTTAGTCTAGCTAGTGGTCTGTCGTTTTTGTTATTATTTTCAAAGAATCAACTTTTTATTTTGTTTTTGAATCATTTAAAAATTTTTCAACCTCATTTAGTTCTTCTCTGATCTTTATTATTTCTTTTTTTTTATTTTTGGCTAGCTTTAAATTTCTTTTTGTTTTTCTTCATTTCTCTAGTTCCTTAAGGTGTGATATTATGTTGTTAACTTGAAATCTTTCTATCTTTTGATGGCATTTAATACTGTAAATTTCCTCTTAGCACTGCTTTTGCTGTATTACAGAGATTTTGATATGTTGTGTATCTATATTCATTCATTTGAAAAAATGTTTTAATTTTTGTCCCAAATTTGTCATTTAACCAAAGATCATTCAAGTGAAAGTTGTGAAGTTTTCATGTATTTGTATAGTTTTCAGAGTTCCTCTTGGTATTGGTTTTTAATTTTATTTCACTCTGGTCCTAGAAGTAACTTGATATGATTTCAATATTTTAAAATTTATTGAGACTTGCTTTATGGCTGAGTATATTATGTGGTCCATTTTGAAGACTGTTCCATGCACAGATAAGAAAAATGTATATTCTGCAGTTTGGGGGCAGAATGTTTTATAAATGTTTATTAGGTCCACTTGGTCTAGAGCTAACTTTAAGTACAGAGTATCTTTTTTAGTTTTCTGTCTCAGTGATCTGTCTGCATGTGTCAGTGGGAAGTCAAATTTTCCCACTATAATTTTATTGCTTTCACTTTTCTTAGGTCTAGCAGTATAAGTTTTCGTCAATTTGGGTACTCTGGTGTTGGGTACATACATATTTAGGTTAGTTATATCTTTTTGTTGAATTGAATGCTTTATCACAACATAATAAAATTTCTTGTCTTTTTTACTGGTTTTATTTAAAGTCTGCTTTATCTAACATAAGTTTAGCCACTTCTCATTTTTGTTTTCTGTTTGCATGGTATGTATTTTTCTATCCCTTTACTTTGAGTCTGGAAGCATCTTTACCTACTCAGTTGGTCTCTTGTAGGCAACAAGTGGATGGATCTTGTTTACTAAATCTGTCAGTCTATACCTTTTAAGTGTAGCATTTAGGAGACCATTTATATTCAAAATTAATATTGATATGCCAGGATTTGTCCCTGCCATAATGTTGTCATCTAGTTGCTTTGTAGTTTCAATTGTGTAATTGCTTTATAGGATCTGTGAACTTTGTGCTTACATGTGCTTTTGTAATGGCGAAAATTTTCCCTTTATGTCCATCTTTAGAACTCTTCTGAGCATTTCTTGTAGAACTAGTCAAGTGACTATGAATTTTCTTAGTGCTTACTATTTTGAGAAATATTTTATTTCTCTTTCATTTTTGAAGCTTTGTTCAGAAGGATACAAAACTCTTGACTAGCAGTTATGTTATTTAAGAAGACTAAAAATAGGCCGGGTGTTGTGGCTCACGCCTGTAATCCCACCACTTTGGGAGGCCAAGGGGAGTGGATCACGAGATCAAGAGATCAAGACCATCCTGGCCAACATGGTGAAACCCCATGTCTACTAAAAATATAAAAATCAGCTGGGCGTGGTGGCACATGCCTGTAATCCCAGCTACTCAGGAGGCTGAGGTAGGAGAATCACTTGAACCCGGGAGGTAGAGGTTTCAGTGAGCCAAGATTGCACCACTGCACTCCAGTCTGGCGACAGAGCAAGACTCCGTCAAAAAAAAAAAGACTAAAAATAGGACCTTTCCAGTTTGTAAGGTTTCTGCTGAGAGGTCTGCTCTTAGTCTGATTAGATTTTCTTTGTAGATGATTTGGCACTTTTCTCTAGCTACTTTCAAGATTTTTCTTTTCCTTCATATTGACTTTGGATGTGCTTCTTATATCTGGATGTCTAATTCTATAGTTAGATCAGGGATGTTTTCCTAAATTATTACATCAAATGTATTTTTTCATCATTTTTACTTTTTTTTTCTCCCTCAGGAATGCCCATCATTTGTATGTTTGGCCTCTTTACATAAGTTCATATTTCCTGAAGGCATTTTTATTTTTTAATTTTTTTTTTTAAATTCTTGTCTGACTTGGTTAGTTCAAAGAACCAGTCTTCAAACTCTGAAATTTTTTCGTTTGGTTGGTCTAGTTCATTGTTAAACTTTCAACTATATTTTGTAATTTCTTCAATGAATTTGCTTTATTTTCATAAGTTCTGTTTGTTTTTAAAATATTTATCTCTTTAGTCAATTTTTCATTCATATTCTGAATTGTTTTTCTGATTTCTTTGTCTTGGTTTTCAACTTTCTCTTGGATCTCATTGAGCTTCCTTATAATACACATTTTGAATTCTTTTTGTGTCATTTCAAAACTTTCATTTTCATTAGGATCCACAGTTAGAGAGCAACTGTAATCTTTATGGATGTCAAAACACTCTATCTTTCAGTACTACTAGAGTTTTATGTTGATTCTTTCTCATCATGTAAAGAAACTGTCACTTCTTACTTTACATATGCTTTCATTTAAATGTGACTTTTAAATTTTTTTCCATTTTCTCCCTTGAGGGAGTGATTGTAAGGTATGATGTTAATGATCATTTGTCTTCAAATCTGGGTGATTTCAGGGGCTGGCTCTGTATAAGTTTGTTGTTCATAGACAACATTGTGTGGTGGCTTTCTTAAATGCTAATTGTTTTAGTAATATATTGGTCATGTGAACTAACTCGCTATCTTCTGGGGGCTGGGAGTATGAAGATATCAGGAAGCTTATATTTTCCTCTAGCACTAGGCCCTTCTGTCAGCAGGTTTTTAATTGGATTTTGCAGTTAAGTCTTCGGTCCAGCAGGTGGCACTTATGAGTAAAAGTTGGCTCACCCTTGGATATCCTGATGACCAATGAAAACACCCGAACTGATAGGGGTGGTGGTGGGAGCTCAGATGCACTGAGGTCTCTGCAGGAGAGTGCTGTACCAGCTCCTTATCCTGGACAGGCAGCAATGTGATTCACTTGTCTATCACACCCTTGAATCACAGCTGACAACCCTCAGTTCAAATACACGGTATCCGTTATCTCCAGGTTGCAATGCAACTGAGATCTGTGGAAAATGCCAATCCTGTGGTTATTGTTGAAATGACTTTGAGTAAAAACCTTTGTGTAGCCCAAAACAGGCAGCACTGTGGCTAGTCCACACTCTGCTGCAGGAACACTGCTGCTCCACATAGGAAGGGGGAGATGAGCCTGGCCCTTCAGGCAAGCCCAGGCCAGTGGATAAATTTTCAGTGGGTATGCAGCTACCCTGAATAGCACTGGAATGCCTGTTACTGAGTGCATTCATGCCAACCCCCAGCAGGAAAAGATGCAGCTGCATCCACAGCAGTAGATGGGAGATTGGGAGAAGACCCCGTCTCCACTTTCATTTCTGGCCCCTGGTGCCACCTGTCTGCTGGAGTGGACCAACACTTTTCCTCTTCAAAGATCAGCACTGCACCCAGATCTTCACTGTGAGGGGCATGGTCACATTTTGGTCACAACTGGGGGGCTCTTAGGCAGGGAAGAGCATGCAATCTGGATTCATTTGTCCCAAAGGGTGCTTTGGCAGGCTGCAATCTCCCTTCCCCTAGATGCAGCTCGTGCCGAGGGCTAGATCTCTGGAGATCTTGTGCCTCCTTAGAGTCCTGCTTGTTCCATGTGATTGCCACAGTCAGAGCAGGTACTGGGAAATGTTTGTGGAGGATCTATTGATGAGGAGACAAAAGGGCTGAGAATCTCTGGGAAGGATAGTGGCCCACAAGAGGTGCACAACCAGTATGGAACATGCCACTTCAGCTCAGGCTTGAGAGGAGAGAAGGAGAACCTGTGCAGTCTGCTCAACCCTCCAGAAGTTTCCAAATTACCTTCGAGAATGATCCCTGAACTTCTAAAGACACAGGGGCTTTCTGACAATTCAACAGTCAGCAGTCTGTTGCAGGGATGAGGGAACAAAAACACCCCACACTTCCACCTACCTTTTCCATGGGACCCCAAGTTTCTCAGGGGTCAATCTCTCCCAGGCTCTTGCTGCCTTATTTTTCTGTGCCCAGCTTCTTCTCATGGCTTCTCCAACAGGTTCCACCTCTCTCCCCTCAGCATTCCACTTAGCCATAATCATTCACCTGTAACTGTGGATCTTCTGTCTGAGGAGAACTAACATTTGACATTTCTAGTTGTCCATTTGAAAAAAAAATAATACAAAATCTGCTTAAATAAATGTGGAACATTTACCAAAACAGACTATGTTCTGGGTTAAGGAATAAGTCTCAATAAATTGAAAGAATTAAAGTCATATAAAATATTTTATCTCACCACAATGGAATTACATTAGAAATTAATTTTAAAGATCTCTGAAAAAAATCCCCCAATTTGGAAACTAATAATTCATTTCAAAATAACTAATGAGGTTATCTTCCTTCCAAGTTGGTGAATTAAAGGCTTTTAGCATGCCTGAGCCACTTGGAAATAACAAGATAGTGCATAAAGATCAACTCTATTAGCTTTAATTCAAGAGAAAAAAAAAAAAGAATCCACCAGAATTTTGAAGGACATCCCACTCTCCAGGGAAAGGAATACAAGCTAACAGGCCCTGTGTTGATGGTATCCAGCTGATAAAAGTGAGTCAAATCCAAGTATGTGAGAGAGGCAGAGAGCCTCCCTCTGTGATTCTCCTTTCCACTGGATATCTGAGCAACCCAGGCCAAGGGAGAGCACTTTGTTTCTCCCAATCCCCAAAATTATCATGGGGAGTGGCTTGGAGGTGCTGAAAGGGAAAGACACTGGGAAAAGCTACAGACATCTTTCCAGATCCAGGACCAAAAGCAGGACACCATTGTTAATCCAGGCACATGCAAAAACAGGTATTTTTTGGTGACACAGCAGTGTGGCTATGCGAGCATTTTTGTCTTGAACTAGAGATTGGAGCACTTGCTCTGGAGTAAGTTAGGGTCCTCCACAGCCATAATTGTGGAAAGCACCTATGCAGTAAGGACTGAAATTGTGCTTTCCTCCCTTGGAGGTCTGGGACAGGAGGAGAATTGCTACAGTTTCTGTTTCTTCTTGGTGATGAGACTTATAGCCAGGGGCAGCTTAGTGAACTGGAACTGGTCTGCATGTGTCATTACTGGGTGACCTAGCCTCCTCCCCTGAGATCATGGTGGAGTGGGGCCCTCTCTGCTCCCTCTCTAGGCATAAATCCAGGCCTTTAGGGCACCTGCTCGCAAGGACTAGCAATGGCACTCTACCCTTCTTGTGCAGAGGTGCTAGTGCAAGAAGGCCCTGTCTGCTCCACACCCAGGCATATCTCCAGGCATTCAGAGCACCCATATTCTTGGATAAGCAGCCTGACCTGCTCCACCCTACTTTTGCAGAGATCCCGGTACAGGGGGCCCCTCCCCACTTCACATTTAGGCAGATCTCCAGGCATTTGGAGCACCTGTTCACCTGGTTCAGCAAGCTAAGCCACCCCATCCTTCCTGGGCATAGACTGTGCTGCAGTGGGGCACTCTCTGCTTCATACACAGGTAGATCTCCAGGCATTCAAAGCATCTGCTCACCTGAATTGTCATCCTGGGCTGCACCACCATTCCTGTGTAGAGATCCTGGAGCACTAGGGCCCTCTTTGCTTTATGCTCAGGTAGATTTCCAGGCATTTGGAGCTCCCGCTTGCCTGGTTTAGCAGCCTGACTCACCCCACCCTTCCTCTGCAGAAATGATGGTACAGGGGGAACCTTCTCCACTCTATTCCCAAGTAGATCTCCATGCATTTCTCCAGGAATTTAGAGCACCCACTTGCCTAAATCAGCAACCTGAGCTAGCCAACCCTTCTTGTGCAGAGATTGTGGTGAAGTGGAGCCCTCTCTGACCCATGCCCAGGCAGTTGGTGGACCAATTCATCTGAATCACCAGCCAAAGCTGCCTTATCCTTTTTGTGCATATATCATGGAGTATCAGGATCTGCTGTACTCCATGCCTAGACAGGTCTCCAGGCTCCTGGAGTACCCACTCTTCAGGATTAGAAATGTGTTTTAAAAAATCAACAAAGCCTTCAAAAAACATGAGATTATCTAAAGTTTGTAAATCTATAAATTGTTGGCATTCCTGAGAAAGATGGATAAAAAGTAAATAAACAAGAAAACATATTTGAGAAAATAATTCAAAAAATAATTTTAATCTTGTAGAGAGGTAGACATCCAGATACATGAATTCAGTGAATGCCTTAAAGTAATATACAAAATGAACATCACCAAAACATATCACCACTAGACTGTCCAAGGTCAATTATAAAGAAAAAACATTAAACGAACCTAGACAAAAATGTTACGTCACATACAAAAGGAACCCAATCAAGCTAACGGAAGACTTCATAGGAGTAACCTTATGAGCCACGAGAGATAGGAAGCCTATTTTCAGCATTTTTAATTACAAGGAATTTCAACCAAGAATTTTATATAGTCCCAAACTAAGCTTCATAAGCAAAGGAGAAATAAAATGTTTTCCAGAAAGCAAGTGATAAGAAAATTTGTTGCAACTAGACCAGCCGTATAAAAGTTCCTTAAGGGAGTCCTAAACATAAAAAAAAAGAATGATACATGGCTACCACAAAAACACATATAAGTGCATATCCCTCAGTCCCTAAAAAACTACTTTGTAGTTTTTTATCATGTAAAACAACAACAATAACATGGTAAAGACTACAAAGCAATCAGTTAACAACTTAATGAGAGCATCTAAACCTCACATATCAATAATCAATATTAAACTTGAATGTAAATCAACTAAATGCCCCCACTTAAAAGGCATAGAGTTGTAAGTGGGATAAAAATTAATACCCTTCCATCTGGCTTTTCAAAAGACCCATCACACACTTAATGACATGCATAGGCTCTAAGTAAAGGGCTGGAAAAAGATGTATCACACAATGGAAAACAACAACAGAAAAGCAGAGTTCACTATTTTTATATAAGATAAAATATACTTGAAACTAGCAACACTAACAAAAGACAAAGATAATACATAATAATAAAGGATTCAATTCAACAAGACTTAACTATCCTAAACATGTATGCACCTAACATTGGAACACCCAGATTCATAGAACATCTACTTCTAGACCTGCAAAATACTTAGCTACACAAGAATAGTGGGAGACTTCAACCCCCAACTGACAGCATTAGATCATTGAGGCAGAAAACTAACAAAGAAATTCTGAACTTAAAATTAACACTTCATCAATTGTACCTAATAAAAATATGCAGAACACTCCACTGATCAACTACCAATTTTCTCTCACAGAAAATACATTATTCTCATCTGCACACAGAACATACTCTGAAATCAACCACATGCTCAGTCATGAAGCAAGTATCAATGAATTGAAACAAACTGGAATCATACCAACCGTACTCTCAGAGCACAGTGGGAAAAAAAATAGAAATAAATAGAAGATCTTTCCAAACCACAAAATTACATGAAAATTAAACAATTAGCTCTTGAATAACTTTCAGATAAACAATGAAATTAAGGAAGAGATCAAAAAATTCCTTGAAATAAGTGAAAACAGAGACACAACATACCAAAATCTGTGGGATGTAGCAAAAGTAGTGTTAAGAGTAAAGTTGATAGCACTAAATGCACACCTCAGAAAGTTAGAAAAAATCTCAAATTAACAATCTAACATCACACCTAGAGGAACTAAAAAAAATAAGAGCAAACTAACCCTAAATATAGCAGCAAAAAAATAAATAAAATCAGAGCAAAACTGAACGAAATCGAGACCCAGACATTCATACAAAGAATCAACAAAATCAAAAGTTGGGTTTTAAAAAGGATAAACAAGATCGACAGACTGCTAGCTAGATTAACAACAACAAAAAGACAGAACATCCAAATAAGCACAATCAGAAATAACAAATGGTTGTGATATTTACAACCAGTCAGTCTCACAGAAATACAAAATATCCTCAGAGACTGTTATCAACACCTCTATGCACATAAACTAGAAAATCCACAAGAAATAGATGAATTCCTGCAAACACCCAATCTTTCAAGACTGAATATGGAAAAAGCTGAAACCCTAAAGAGGCCTGTACTGAGTTCCAAAATTGAATCAGTAATAAAAAGAAACCCTACCAACAAAAAAAGCCCCTGAAGAGATGGATTCACAGCAGAATTCTACCACAGGTTAAAATAAGAGCTGGTACCAATTTTACTGAAAGTATTTTTAAAAAGCAAGGAGGAGGGACTCCTTTCTAATTTATTCTATGAAGCTAGCATCACTCTGATACCAAAACCTGGCAAAGACACGAAGGAAACAAGAAAACTACAGGCCAATTTCCCTGATGACCATAGACACAGAAATTATCAATGAAATACAAGCAAACTGAATTCAGCAGCATACCAAAAGCTAATTTACTATGATCAAGTAGACTTCATTCCTGGAATGCAATTGTTACCCATGGAAGGTATCTGAGTTACCGGCAACGAATAATCTGTATGGGTCTGCAGCAACGTCAATTCTTGCCTCCTTAGAAGAAAAAATTTGACTGAGGGGCCAACGCAAAAAAAAAAAAAAAAAAAAAAAAAAGAGAGAGAGAGATAGAGAGAGACAGAGAGACCAAGGCAAGTTTTAGAGCAGAAGTGGAAGTTGTTTTTTTTTTTTTTTGAAAGGCTTTAAAACAGGAAAGAAAGAAAAGCATGCTTGAAAGAAACCCAAGTGGTCACGTGAAGGTCAAGTCCAGTGTTTAACCTTGATCCTAGGACTTTATAGGCTGGCCCCTTTTTCATTATTTTTCCCTTAGAGTAGGTTGCCCGCTTGCCCAGTGCTCTCCTTATGCTTGGGAGGTGAGCATACTCAGTGAGTATAGGAAGTTGTACCCATGCCCATCTGAGGCTTTCTTCCCTTTCCTGGTGGAGTGCCCCTGGAAGGTCATACTTTGCCATTCTGCCTCTTAATGTGCATGTCCAGGCTCACCATCCCAATACCTGAGATTTTAGCATGTCCAGGATCACCATCCCAATACCTGAGATTTTATTTGAAACTTCTTTTTGTTTCTCCCTGGTGCCTGCATTCAATTAACACTTTAATGCAACAAGTGTGGACCATCAGGAAAGTTGGGGAGCGCCCCCTCCTGCCAGGATCATGCCTGTCTAACTACCTGTAACACAATGATGGTTCAACATATGCAAAACAATAAATGTGAATCACCACATCAACAGAATTAAAAACAAACAAAAAAGATCATCTCAATAGATGTGAAAGCCTTTGATAGATTCAACATCCCTTCATAATAAAAACCCTCAACAAACTAGGCATCGAGGAAACATACCTCAAAGTAATAACCATCTATTACAAGTCCACAGCCAACATCATCCAGAACAGGCAAAATCTGGAACGATTCCTCTTGAGAACTGGAACAAGACAAGGATGCTTAATCTCACCACTTCTATTCAACATAGTACTGGAAGTTCTTGCCAGACTTATCAGGCAAAACAAATAAAAGGCATCCAAAAAGGAAAAGAAAAAGTCAAACTCTCTTTTTTTTCTCAATGTAATTCTATACCTAGAAAACCCTAAAGACTGCTGAAAGGCTCCAGGAACTGATAAACTCTTTCAGCAAAGTTTCAGGATAAAAGATTGATGTACAAAAATCAATAGCATTCTTATTTACCAATAACATTCAAGATCAGAGTCAAATCAACAATACAATCCCATTTACAATAACCACAAAAAGTACCTAGAAATACATCTAACCAAGGAGGTAAAAAAATCTCTACCAGGAGAAATACAAAACACTGCTGAAAGAAATTGGAGATGGCACAAATAAATGGAAAAATCTTCCATGCACATGGATTGGAAGAATCAACATTTTCAAACTGACCCTACAGTCTAAAGAATTCTACAGATTTAGTGCTATCCCTTTCAAACTACAAACATCATGTTTCACAAAATTAAAAAAATACTATTTTGAAATTCATATGGAACCAAAAAGAACCCAAATAGCCAAAGTAATCCTAAGCAAAAGCAACAAAGCCAGAGACATACCATTTCCTGACTTTAAACTATACCATAAAGCCACAGTAACCAAAATATTATGGTACTGGTGCAAAACACATAGAACAATGGAACAGAATAGAGAAGCCAGGGGAAAAAAGCTGCACTTACAGCCATCTGATTTTTTGACAAAGTTGACAGAAATAAGCAATAAGGAAAGAACAACCTATTCAATAAATAGTGCTGGGATAGCTTTCTACCTGTAGGCAGAAGGATGAAAGTAAACACCTAACTTTCACCATATAAAACATTAATAATTTATTCATTAACATTGAGATATGTTTCTTCTAGACCCAGTTTTCTGAGAGTTTTTATCATGAAGAGATGGTAAATTTTATTAAATACTTTTTCAGCATTAATGAAACAATTGTATAGTTTTTATCCTTCATTCTGTTGATATGATGTATCACATGGATTGATTTGCATATGGTGAACCATCCTTGCATCCCAGGAATAAAATCAACGTGGTCATGATGCATCATCTTTCCAAAATATTGTTGAATTCAGTTTACTAGTATTTTGTTGAGAATATTGTATGAATATTCTTCAGAGAAATTGGCCTCTAGTTATTTTTTCTTGATATGTCTTTGTGTGGTTCTGGTATCCTGGTAATACTGCCCACATAGAAGGAGTTTGGAAGTATTCCCTTCTCCTCAATTTTTTTAAAGAATATTTTGAGAAAGACTGGTATTAGTTTTTCTTTAAATGTTTGGTAGAATTTCGCAGTGAAGCCATCAGGTCCTGGGCTTTTCTTTCCTGGAATAGTTTTTATTATAGTTTTTATCTTACTACTTGTTACTGGTCTGCACAGGTTTTCGATTTCTTCCTGGATCTATCTTGTTAGGTTGTACGCAGAATCAATTGCAATGTCTCCTTTTTTATTTGTGATTTTATTTATTTCAATCTTCTCTCTTTTTTCTTAGTTATTCTAGCTGCAACTTTGTCAATTTTGTTTAACTTTTCTGAAAACTAACATTCTTTTATTGATTTTTAGTATTTTATTACAATATCATTTATTTCTGCTCTAATCTTTATTATTTACTTTCTTTTACTAATTTTGGTTTGTTTTTAATTTTCTAATCATTTGAAGTGTATTATTAGGCCCAGTGTGGTTCCTCACGCCTGTAATCCCAACACTTTGGGAGGCTGAGGTGGGTGGATCACTTGAGGCCAGGAATTTGAGACCAGCCTGGCCAACATGGTGGAACCCCATCTCTACTAAAAATGCAAAAAAATTAACTGGGTGTGGTGGTGCAGGTCTCTAATCCCAGCTACTCTGGAGGCTGAGGCAGGAGAATTGCTTGAAAGGTGGCAGAGGTTTCAATGAGCCGAGATCTCACCACTGCACTCTGTTGCCTGGGCAACAGAGTGAGACTATATCTTAAAAAAAATAAATAAAAAATAAAATAAAATTTATCATTAGATTGTTTAGTTGAAGTTCGTTTTTTCTTTTTTTGATATGGGCACTTATACCTATAAATTTTGCTCTTAGCACTAGTGTTGGGTGCATATATATTCAAAAATTTTATATCCTTTTGCTGAATTGACCCCTTTATGATTATATAGTGACTTTCTTTGTCCCTTCTTATAATTTATGTCTTGAAATCTGTTTTTTTCTAATATAAGTATAATGACTGCTGCTGTTTTTTGGTTTTCATTGGCATAGAATATCTTTTTTCAACCCTTTATTTTTAGTCTAATTTTGTCTTTAATGATAACGTGTGTTTCTTATAGGAAACAAATCAACGGGTCTTGTTTTTTCATTTATTCTGCCTATGTCTATTGATTTGAGAGTTAGTCCTTTTACATTCAATGTTATTATTGATAAGTAAGAACTTACTCCTGTCAATTTGCTTTGTTTTGTTTTGTTTTCTGGTTGTTTTGTGGTTTTCTTTCTTTCCTGTCTTACTCTAATAAAGAAAATTTTCTCTGGTGATTTAATTTACTTTCTTGTTTTTTATTTCTTTTGTATCAATTGTATGATTTTTGGTTAGAAGTTACCATGAGGCTTGCAAATACTATCTTATAATCTTATAACCCATTATTTTAACCTTACAACAACTTAACCGTATTTGTATTAACAAGTACACAAACAAGCCAAAAAAAAAAAAAAACACTAATGTAAACTCACCTTAACTTTATCCTCCTGCTTTTTAACTTTTTGTTGTTTTTATTTATGTCTTATTCTACTGACTATGTCTTGAAAAGCTGTTGAAATTATTTTTGATTGGCTCATCATTTTGTCTTTCTACATAGGATAATGTAGTTCACACACCACAGTGACAGTGTTATAGTATTCTGGCTTTTCCATGTACTTAGTATTTCCAGTAAGTTTTGTACATACAGATAATTATTTAATGCCAATTAATGTTTATTATTATTATTTCTTGTTGAAATACTCTCTTTAGCATTTCTTATGGAATGATGTTACTATTGATGAAATCTTTCAGCTTTTGTTTGTCTGAGAAAGTCTTTACTTTTTTATGTTCGAAAGATAATTTTTTATGGATATACTATTATAGGATGAAAGTTTTCTTTTCTTCAGCACTTTAAATATGTCACTCTCTTCTGTCCTATAAAACTTCTACTGAAAAGCCTGCTGCCAGAAATAGTGGAGCTCCATTACATGTTGTTTGTTTCTTTTCTTTTGCTGTTTTTAGGATCCCTTTTTCATCCTCAACCTTTGGGAATTTGATTATTAAATTCCTTGAGGTAGTGTTCTTTGAGTTCTATCTGCTTGCTGTTCTATAACCTTCTTGTACTTGGATATTGATATCTTTCTCTACGTTTGGAAAGTTCTCCATTATTATTACTTTAAATAAATTTTGTACCCCATATCCTTCTCTGCCTCTTCTTTAAGGCCAACAACTCCTAGATTTTCTTTTATGAAGATATTTTCTAAATTCTATAGGTGTGCTTCATTGTTTTTATTTTTATCTCCTCTTAATGTATTTTCAAATAACCTGTCTTCAGGTTCACTAATTCTTTCTTCTGCTCTACTTATTCTGCTATCAAAGAACTCTACTGCATTCTTTAGTATGCCAATTGCATTTTCAGCTCCATTATTTCTGCTTATTTTTAAAAATTATTTCAATCTCTTTTTAAAATGTATCTGATAGAATTCTGAATACCTTTTTAATGTTATCTTGAATATTTTTTAGTTTCCTCAAAATAGCTATTTTGAATTAACGGTTTGAAAAATAACATAGCTGTTTCTCCAGGATTGTCCCCAGGTGCCTTATGTAATTCATTTGGTGAGGATATGTTTTTCTGGATCGTGTTGATGCCAGGGATGGTGATGATGCTAGCAGATGTTATTTGGTGTCTGAGCATTAAAGAGTTAGGTATTTATTGTAGTCTTCACTGTCTGGGCTTATTGGTAGCCATCCTTTTTGGAAAGGTTTTCCAAATATTTACTTTCTCCCAAACTTACAGAGTCTCTGTCTCTATTCTGAGCCACCTAAACCTATGGATAGAGTGACAGTAGCATCCTTGTGGTCACCTCCACTAGGACTGCACTGGGTCAGACCTGAAGCCAGCACATTGCTGGGTCTCAACCAAGGCTTGTGTAACCACTCCCTTGCTACTGCCTATGTTTGCTCAAGACCCTGGGGCTGTACAATCAGTAGGTGGCAAAGCAAGCAAGGCCTGCGTCCTTCTCTTCAGTGCAACTAGGACTGCACTGGGTCAGACCTGAAGCCAGAACTGTGCAGGGTCTTGGCAAAGGCTAGTTGTAACAAATGCCTTGCTACTGCATATGTTTGCTTAAGGCCCTGAGGCTGTACAATCAGTAGGTTGCAAAGCCAGCCAGGCCTGTGTCTTTCCCTTCAGGGCAGCAAGGATCCCAGACCCAGGTGCACCAAGAAGTGCTGTCAAGCAGACAGGAACTAAAGTCATCAATCTTAGAAGTCTAATTGGTATTCTATTGTCTTTTGGCTGAGCTGAAACTCAAATCACAAGATGCAGTCCTTCCTACTCTTCCCTTTCCTTTCCAAAGGCCAAGGAGCCTTACCTTATAGCCACCTCCACACCAGGCCACAAAGAGTACTGCCAGACTACTACAAATGCTCCCTTAAGGCCCAAGGTATTTTATGTCAGCTTGTAGTGAATGCTGCCTGGCCTGGGACTCACCCTTCAGGGCAATGGGCTCCCCTCTGGCCCAGAGCAAAGCCAGAAATGCTGTCCAAGAGTCAAGTCCTGAAATTGAGGTCCCCAAATGTTGGCTTGGTGCTCTAACCCCCCTGGTGCTGTTGGACCTAAGGCAAAATTCAAATTCCCCTTTATTTTCCTTATGCTTTTCTCAAGTAGAAGAATTTTTGCCTCGTAGCCATGACAGCTGGTGATGTGCTGAGTGCCACCTGAGGCCAGCAAGTCTCAGAGGCTCACCGAGGCCCTCAATGTATTACATGGTATTCAGTGCTCAAGGTCTCTTCAGTTAAGAGGTGATGAATGCTGACAGGACTCGGTCTTTTCATTCAAGGCAGCAGCTTCCCTTCTGGATCAAGGTGTGTCTACAAATATTGTCTGGGAGCTAGGACCTGGAATGGGGTTCTCATGACTCTGACCAGTGTCAATCCTGCTGTGGCTGAGCTGGTATCTTAGATGCGAGAAAAAGACCTCCTTATTCTTTCCTGTTCTCTCAAGTGGAAGGAAGTCATCTCTTTTGTAGCCCTGATCTGTAAAGCCTGGCATTTGGAGAGGGGCGATTCCAGCACTCCATTGGCTGCCCCAGCTGGTGTCTCAGTATGTTGCATGCCCTTTCAGTCCACTGTCTCTGGGTCTATTTTATTCCTAGGACTCGCCTAACAGTTGCAGTTCTTACAGCCACGACTGCCTTTCAAGTTTACTTAGAAATGCAGAGCACTTTGGTCCTCAGTGGTGAGGTTTGAGGGCACTCAAGTTCAATCTGCTGAGACTGACAATGTCCCTCTGGCTAGGGCTCATTCAAATGCTCCCTCTGTGGGCCAGTGTCAGCTAAGTTTTGTCTGTTTTTTGTTTCTGCTCTAACAGAACAGCTTTGAGTTCAATGCCTCACAATTGCTTTGCTCTCACTCCCCCAGCACCCAGAGATGATTTCTGCACCAGGCTCCCAGTGTCATGGGGGTGGGAGAAGTGTGGTGTCTGCTATTCAGGACTGTCTTTCTTATCCCTTCAGTGCCTCCTTCAATGAAATGAAGTTATAACCAGGTAGTATGAGTGGTCACCTGATTTTTGTTTTTCATGAAGGTGTTTTACTTCTGCACAGATAGTTGTCAAGTTAGTGTCCTTGTGTGTGTTGGGGGGTAATCAATGGAGATTTCTCTTTCACTCTCTTGCTCTGCCTCCTCAAGATGGCAACAATAGACACTGAAGACTAATAGAGGAGGGATGGAGGGAGCCGAAGAAGGGTGGAAAACTATCCAGATAACAAGATCATTTATGTTTCAAATGCTGGCACCACACAATATACCCGTGTAACAAACCTGCACATATACCTCCTAAATCTATAACCAAATTTGAAATTATAAGAAAATGTGAAAAAAGTAAACAATAAATCAAATAAGATATGAAAGATAATTTATTAATTATTTTGAATTATCTAAAAATTAAAACACAAAATATCAGAATTTGTGAGATGCTGTTAAAGCAATATTTATAAAAAATTATAGGACTAAATGGCTATATTATAAAAGAAAGATGATCTCAAAACAATGAAAACAATTACATTTAAGAAGCTAGAGAAAGAAGAGGAAATTTAAAACAAGAAAGACAAATAAAGAAAATGGGGGGAAATGGCAGACAGGAGGCAGGACTAACTTGCAGCTCCTACTTGTATGAACAAAACAGCATGTGAAGACTCACACTGTGAACCTTTGCTTCAAGAATAACCACAAGAACATACTAGTAAAGCCAAAAGAATTCATAGACCCTTTGAAAAAGTTGCTTGCCTCTACAAACATTGAGAGACAGCCGAAAAACTGAGTGCTCAAAATGTCAGAAGGATAAAGTCTGCCTCTGAACACACATTCTCACCAGGGAGCCTGAAAATCCAGATCACGGGAGAAAGACTTAACTTTACCTAGAGCTGAAATAAATTTAGAGAGCCCAGTGAAATATATAAGTAGAAGAAGCAGTGGGAAGTGCCCTGTAGGCACTCCCAACCCCCAAGGAAGTCCAGGGAACCAATTCCTGACTTTATCTCACAAGGGTCCTTGTAGGGGGCTGCCAGTGGAGTTGGGGAAAGACCATAGAGAGAAGGAAACTTTCAGCTGAACTTTGTAATAATTTAGAAGGAGCGCAAATTTTCAAGGGCAGAATCCGGGGGTGGGGGGTGAACAGAAGAGCAGATAACAGCACAGAAGCTGCAGCTGGGAGGGGCGAAACCTGAAACACTGCCTGCTTTCTCAGTGGAGAGGCTTGTAGTCTGGAGAAAGTTCCCAGCCCTGCTCACCGGCTGCCTGGATATAAACTCTGTGTTGTTGGAAAAGCACGGCGGGAGTGAGACTGGCCTTTCTGGCTGCCTGGAAGCTAGGTGAAGCCTGTCATGGCCAGCTTTCCCGGACTTCCCTGGTGATCTGTACGGTACAGCAGAGGCAGTCATAATCCCCCTGGGAACATAAATTCATCAGCCTGAGAACCATATCCCCAGCCCCCAACAGTGGCTCCAGCAAGCCCCACCCAAAAAGAATCTGAGCTCAGACATACATAACCCTTTCCCCACCTGATGGTCTTTCTCTTATCCAAGTGACCCTAGTGCAAGCTTGTGTCCTCCCTATACTACCACAGCGGATGTTGTCTTGAAAGTGCCACCTCCTGTCTGGAGGCCAACCAACACAAACTATTACAGCAAATTATAAAAGAACAATCCTGCCCCCAGAAAAGAGAAAACAACAGCTAATACCGCCACCTGCAACATCCTGGCTAACCAGAAGTCCTGAGTCTGTCCATGTGACAACACTACTGCCAGCACAACCAGCATTTGAGAAAACCAGCACGCTAAACAAAACTACAATAAGGTCTCACACAGAGTCTACCACATTCCCCTGCTACCTCCACTGGAGAGGGGCTGGCATCCATGGCTGAGAGACCTGAAGACAGATCACATCACAGGACTCTTTGCATACATTTCCCAGTACCAGCCTGAAGCCCAGTAGCTCTGCTTGGTTGCTAGATCCAGAAGAGAAAAACCAATAACTGCAGTCTGGCTCTGAGGAAGCTTCATCCCTAGTGGAATGGGTAGAGCACCACATCAAGGTAGCACATCATCTGACAAAAGAATCTGAACAGCAGCCTTTGAGCCTCAGATCTTTCCTCTGACATAGTGTATCCAAATAATAAGAAACTAGAAAATAAGAAGAAACCAGAATAATAATTCTGTTAATATGACAAAACAAGGCTCTTTGATACCCCCAAAAGATCACACTAGCTCACCAGCAATGGATCCAAACCAGGAAGAAATCTATTAATTGCCAGAAAAAGAATTCAGAAGGTTAATTATTAAGCTACTCAAGGAGGCACCAGAGAATGGTGAAACCAACTTAAAGGAATTTTAAAAAATAATACAGGATATGAATTTAAAAAATCCAGAAAATAGATGATAGCATAAATAAAAAGCTATCACAACTTCTGGAAATGAAGGACACACTTAGAGAAATTCAAAACACACTGGAAAATCTCAACAATAGAATAGGATAAGTAGAAGAAAAACTTCAGAGCTTGAAGATAAGGCTTTCAAATTAATCCACTCTGACAAAGACAAAAAAAAATCAAAGATATAAACAAAGCCTCCAGGAAGTTTGGGATTATGCTAAATGACTAAACCTAAGAATAACTGGTGTTCCTTAGGAAGGAAAAAATTCTAAAAGTTTGGAAAACATATTACAGGGAATAATCTAGGAAAACTTCCCTGGCATTGCTAGAGATCCAGACACCTAAATACAAGATGCTCAAAGAAAACCAGAGAAATTCATCACAAAAAGACCATCACCTAGGCACAGAGTCATCAGGTTATCTAAAGTCAAGATAAAAAAATAATAATAATCTTAAGAGCTGTGAGACAAAAGCATTAGGTAACCTACAAGGAAAAACCTATCAGATTAACAGCAGACTTCTCAGCAGAAACCCTACAAGCTAAAAGGGAATTAGGGTCCTCTTTTTAGCCTCCTTAAACAAAACAATTATCACCCAAAAATTCTGTATCCAGAGAAACTAAGCTTCATATATGAAGGAAAGATATAGTCTTTTTCAGACAAAAAAATGCTGAGACTATTTGCCACTACCAGTCCAGCACTATAAGAACTGCTAAAAGGAGCTCTAAATCTTGAAACAATATGTCAATACACAAAAATAGAATCTTCTTAGAGCATAAATCTCACAGGACCTATGCAGCAATAGCACGATTTAAAAAAAAGATATTCAGGCAACAACTAGCATGATGAATAGAATTGTACCTCACATCTCAATACTAATACTAAATGTAAATGGCCTAAATGCTCCATTTAAACGATACAGAATGGCAGAAAGGGTAAGAATTCACAAACCAAGTATCTGCTGTCTTTCAGAGATTCATCTAACACATAAGGACTCACAAAAACTTAAAGTAAATGGGTGGAAAAAGATATTATATGCAATGGACCACAAAAGTATGCATGAGTAGCTATTATTATATCAGACAAAACAGACCTTAAAGAAACAACAGTTAAAAAAGACAAAGAGGAAGATTATATAATGATAAAAGGTCTAGTCCAATGAATGTACAAAACAAATATTTGCAGAACATTTTACCAAACAACTGCAGAATATACATTCTATTCATCACAACATAGAACATTCTCCAAGACAGACCATATGTTTGAAAAGCTGAAAGAGAACAAATAGACAATCTAAGGTCACACCTCAAGGAACTAGATAAAATAGAACAAACCAAACCAAAACCCCATGGAAGAAAAGACATAACAAAGACCAAAGAAGAGTTAAATGAAATTGAAACAAAAAATACCACAATAAATGAAACAAAAAGCTAGTTCTTGAAAAGATGAATAAAATTGATAGACCATTAGTGAGATTAACCAAAAAAGAAGAGAGAATATTCAAGTAAGCTCAATTAAAAATGAAATACAAGATATTACAACTTACAACTGATACAAAAGAAATACTAAAGATTATTCAAGCCTACTATGAACACTTTTATGCACATGAAGTAAAAAAACTAGAGATGGATGAATTTCTGGAAATACACAAGCCTTCTAGATTAAACCAGGGTGAAATGGAAACAATGAACAAATGAATAACAAGAAGTGATATTTAAATATTAATTTAAAAATTGCCAACAACAAAAAAAGTACAGGATCAGATGGATTCATAACTGAATTCTATCAGAAATTCAAAGAAAAATCGTTAACAATCCTGTTGACAACATTTCCAAGGATAGACAAAGAGGGAGTCCTCCCTAAATCATTCTATGAAGAGAATATCATCCTAATACCAAACCAAAAATGGAAATAACAAAAAAAAGAAAACTACAAATAAATATCCCTGTTCAACATAGATGGAAAAATTCTTGATAAAATACTAGCTAACCTAATCCAACAGCATTTCAAAACAATAATCCACCATGATAAGTGGGTTTCATGCTAGGAATTCAGGGATGGTTTAACATACACAAGTAAATAAATGTGATACCCCACAAAAACAAAAACAAAAATCATATGATTATTTCAATAGATGCAAAAAAAACATTTCACAAAATTCAGCATGCTTTTATAATTAAAACCCTCAGCAAAATTGACATGGAAGGTAGCTTTATACTTTAAGGTAATAAAAGCCATCTATGACAAACTCACAGCTAACATTATACTGAAGAAGAGTTGAAAGCATTCTCCCTGAGAAATGGAACAAGATAAGAATGCCCACTTTGACCAATTCTATTCAAGACACTACTGGAAGTCCTAGCCTGAGCAATTAGAAAAGAGAAAGAAATGAAGGACATCCAAATCGGTGAAGAGGAAATAAAACTTCTGCAGTTTGCTGATGATATGATTGTATACCTTAAAAACCCTAAAGATGAATCCAAAATCTCCTAGAACTGATAAATGAATTCAGTAAAGTTTCAGGATACAAAATAAATTTAAACAAATTAGTATCACTGTAAAACACCAAAAGTAACCAAGTTGAGAATGAAATCAAGAACCCAACCTCTTTTACAGTTGCTGCAAAAATAAAATAAAATACTTAATAATATACCAGCATTAATCTGTTCTTATGTTGTATGAAGAAATACCTGAGACTGGGTAATTTATAAAGGAAACAGATTTAATTGGTTCATAGTTCTGCATTCCTGGGGAGGCCCTAGGAAACTTAGAATCATAGCATAAGGGAAATGGGAAGCAAGGCATCTTCTCCACAGGGCAGAGGGATGGAGTGAGTGCAAGCAGGGGAAATGCCAGACATTTATAAAACCACCAAATCTCATGAGACTCATTTACTATGATGGGAATATCATGCAGAAAAGCACCCCTGTAATCCAATTACCTCCACCTAGTCCTGGCCTTGACACATGAGAATTATGAGGATTATGGGGATTACAGTTCAAGATGAGATTTTGAGGGAGGACATAGCCAAGCCATATCTTTTCACCCCGGCCCGTCCCAAATCTCATGTTTCCACATTTCAAAACACAATCATGCCTTTCCTACAGTACCCCAAATTCTTAACTAATTCCAGCATTAATCCATAAGTCCAAGTCCAAAGTCTCATCTGTGACAAGGCAAGTCTCTTCCTCCTATGAGCCTGTAAAATCAAAAGCAAGTTAGTTACTTCCTACATACAATAGAGGTATAGGAATTGGGTAAATACATCCTTTCCAAATGGGAGACATTGGCCAAAACAAAGGGGTTACAGGTCCCATGTAAGTCCAAAATCCAGCAAGGAAGTCATTAAACCTTTAAGTTGCAATGCTGTCTCCTTTGACTCCATGTCTCACATCCAGGTCATGTTGGTGCAATAGGTGGACTCCCACAGTCTTGGTCAGCTCTGCCTCTGTGGCTTTGCAGGATGCATCCCCCTTCTAGGTTGCTTTTATGAGCTGGTGTTGAGTGCCTGTGGCTTTTTTGGTGGATCTACCATTCTGGGGTCTGGCAGATGGTGGCCCTCTTCTTACAGTTCCACTAAGCTATGTCCCAGTGGGGACTCTGTATGGGGGCTCCCAATCCATATATCCCCTCTGCATTGCCCTAGCAGAGGGCCTCCATGAGGGCTCTGCCCCTGCAGCAAACTCCTGCCTGGAAATCCAGGCATTTCCATACATCCTCTGAAATCTAGGAAAGGTTCCCAAACAATTCTTAATTTGTGTGCACAAACAGGCTAAATACAATGTGGAAGCTTCCAAGGCTTGGGGCTTCCACCTTCTGAAGCCACGGCCCAAGCTGTTCCTTGGCCTCTTTTATCTACAGCTAGAGCTGAAGCAGCTGGGATGCAGGTCACCATGTCCTGAGGCTGCACAGAGCAGGGGGACCCTGGACCAACCCACAAAATCAGTATTCTCTCCTGGCTTCCAGACCTGTGATGGGAGAGGCTGCAATGAAGGTCTCTGATACGCCCTGGAGACTTTTCACCAATTGTATTGGTGATTAATATTCAGCCCCTTGTTACTTATGCAAATTTCTGCAGCAGACTTGTATTTCTCTCCAGAAAATGGGTTTTTCTATTCTATCACATCCTCAGGCTGTAAGTTTTCCAAATTTTTATCCTCTGCTTCCTCTAGATTACTTTGCCACTTAGAAACATCTTCCACCAGACACCCTAAATTATCTCTCCCAAGTTCAAAGTTCCACACATCTCTAGGGCAGAGGCAAAATGCTTCCAGTCTCTTTGCTACAGCATAGCAAGAGTCACCTTTAATCCGGTTCCCAAGAAGTTTCTCATCTCCATCTGAAACCACCTCAGTCTGGATTTCATTGTTCACATCACTATCAGCATTTTGGTCAAAACCATTCGAAAAGTCTCTACAAACTTTTCCACATCTTCCTGACTTCTTCTGAGCCCTCCAAACTGTTCCAGCCACTAACAGTTACCCAGTTCCAAAGTTGCTTACACATTTTCGGGTATCTTAACAGCACTACCCCCCACTACCTCAGTACAAATTTACTATATTAGTCCATTTTTACATTGTGATGTAGGAATACCAGAGACTGTGTAATTAATAAAGAAATGAAGTTTAATTAAATCACAGTTTCACAATGCTGAGGAGGCCTCAGAAACATACAACCATGGTGGAAGGTAGGTGAAGGGGAAGCAAGGCACCTTCTTACAGGGTGGCACGATGGAGTGAGTTCAAGCAGGGGAAATGCTAGTGGCTTATAAAGCCATCACATCCCATAAGACTTACTATCCTGAGAACAGCATGGGAAAGATTGCTCCCATGATCCAATTACCTCCACATGGCCCTGCCCTTGACACATGGGAATTATGGGGATTATAGTACAAGATGAGATTTCTGGTGGGGACACAGCCAAACTATATCAATATCTAACCAAAGAGGTGAAAGACCTCTTCCAGGAAAACTACAAAACACTGCTGAAAAAAATCATAGATAACACAAACAAATGGAAACCCATCTAATGCTCATGGATGCATAGAATCAATATTGTGAAAATAACCATACTGCCAAAAGGAATATAAACATTCAATGCAATTCTCATCAAAGCACCATCATCATTCTTCACAGAAGTAGAAAAAACAATCTTAAAGTTCATATGAAACCAAGAAAGAGCCCACATAGCGAGAGCAAGATAAGCAAAAAGAACAAATCTGGAGCCATCACTTTACCTGACTTCAAAATATACTACACGACTACAGTTACCAAAACAGCATGGTATTGGTATAAAAACAGGCATATAGACCAAAGGAACCAAATAGGGAGCCCAGAAATAAAGCCAAATACTTACAGCCTACTGATCTTCAAAAAAGCAAGCAAAAACATTAAGTAGGGAAAGGACAGCCTACTCAACAAATGGTGCTGGGATAATTGGGAAGCCACCTGTAGAATAAAACTGGGTCTTCATCCCTCAGCTTATAGAAAAATCAACTCAAGATGAATGAAGGACTTAAATCAAAGACCTGAAGCCATAAAAATTCTAGAAGATAACATAGGAAAAACCCTTCTAGACATTGGCTTAGGTGAAGAATTCATGACCAAGAGCTGCAAAGCACATGCAACCAAAACAAAGATAAAGACATGGGAACTAAGTAAACTTAAAAGCTTCTGCACAGTAAAAGAAACAATCAGCAGAGTAAACAGACAACACACAGAGTGGGAGAAAATCTTCACAAACTATGCGTCTGACAACAGGCTAATATCCAGAATCCACAAGGGACCCAAACAAATCAGCAAGTAAAAAACAAAAAATCTCATCAAAAAAGTGGGCTAAGGATATGAATAGACAATTATCAGAAGAATGTATACAAATGGACAACAAACATATAAAACAAACATATAAAAAATGCTTACCGTTACTATCAGGGAAATGCATATCAAAACTACAATGCAATATCACCTTACTCTTGCAAGAATGGCCATAATTTTAAAAATCATAAATAATAGATGTTGCTCTGGATGTGGTAAAAAGGGAACACTTTTAAACTGCTGGTGGGAATGTAAAATGGTACAACCACTATAGAAAACAGTATGGTAATTCCATAAATAATTAAAAATAGATTTACCATTTGATCCAGGAATCTTACTACTGGGTATATACTCAGAGGAAAAAAAAGTCGTTATACAAAAAAGACACTTGCACAAGCATGTTTATAGCAGCACAATTAGCAATTGCAAAAATATGGAACCAGCCCAAATGGTCAACAATCAATAAGTGGATTTTTTAAAAGTACAGAGACAACCTACAAAGTGGTAGAATATTTTTGCAATCTATCCATCTGACAAATATCTAATAAACAGAATCTACAAGGAACTTAAGCAAATTTACAAAAGAAAACCCCAAACAACCCCATTTAAACGTGGGCAAAGGGCAGGGCATGGTGGCTGATGCCTGTAATCCCAGCACTTTGGGAGGCCAAGGCAGGTGGATCGCCTGTGGTCAGGAGTTTGAGAGCAACCTAACCAACATGGTGAAACCCTGTCTCTACTAAATATACAAAAATTAGCTGGGTGTCGTGGCACATGCCTGTAGTCCCAGCTACTCATAAGGCTGAGGCAGAAGAATCATTTGAACCCAGGAGGTGGAGGTTGCAGTGAGCTGAGGTCGCACCACTGCACTCCATCCCGGGCAACAGAGCGAGACTCCATTTCAAAAAACAAAACAAAACAAAGCAAAACAAAACAAACAAAAGAAAAACAAAAGTGGGCAAAGTCATGAACAGACTCTTCTCAAAAGAAGACATAGATGCAGCCAACAAACATATGGAAAAAAGCTCAACGTCACTGATCATTAGAGAAATGCAAATCAAAACTACAATGAGATACCATCTCATGCCAGTCAGAATGATGATTATTAAAATGTTAAGAAACAACAGATGCTGGCAAGGTTGCAGAGAAATAGTAACGCTTTTACACTGTTGGTGGGAATGTAAATTAGTTCAAACATTGTGGAAGAGAGTGTGGTGATTCCTCAAAGATGTTGAACTGAAATACCATTTGACCCAGCAATTCCATTACTGAGTATATACCCAAAGGAACATTAATCATTCTATTATGAAGATTTATGCATGTGTACAGTCATTGAAGTACTATTTGCAATAGCAAAGGCATGGAATCAATTCAAATGCCCATCAATGATCAACTGGACAAAAAAAAAATGTGGTACTTTAAACCATAAAATACTCTGCAGCCATAAATAGTAATGAGATTATGCCTTTTGCAGGAACATGGATGAATGTGGAAGCCATTTTCCTCAGCAAACTAATGCAGGAACAGAAAACCAAACACCACACATTCTCACTGATATGGTTTGGCTGTGTCCCCACCCAAATCTCATCTATAATTCTCATGTGTTGTGGGAGGGACCTGGTGGGAGGTAATTGAATCATTGGGGAAGGTGGTTCCCGTTCTCATGACAGTAAGTCTCATGAGATCTGATGGTTATTATAAGGGGAAGTTTTTCTGCACAAGCTCTCTCTGCCTGCTGCCATCCATGTAAGATGGAAATTGATCCTCCTTGATTTCTGCCGTGATTACGAGGCTTCCCTAGCCACGTGAAACTGTAAGTCCAGGGAAATGAGGGGTCAGAGCCTCTACACAGAGTCCCTACTGGGGTACTGCCTGCCTAGTAGAGCTGTGAGAAGAGGGCCACAGTCCTCCAGACCCCAGAATGGTAGATCCACTGACAGTCGCACCATGTGCCTGGAAAAGCCGCAGACACTCAATGCCAGCCCAGGAAAGCAGCCAGGAGGGAAGCTGTATCCTTCAAAGCCACTGGGGTGGAGCTGCCCAAGACCCACCTCTTGCATCAGTGTGAACTGGATGTGAGACATAGAGTCAAAGGAGATCATTCTGGAGCCTTAATATTTGACTGCCCTGCTGGATTTCGGACTTGCATGGGGCCTGTAGCCACTTCGTTTTGGCCAGTGTCTCCCATTTGAAATGGCTGTATTGATCCAATGCCTGTACCCCCATTGTACATAGGAAGTAACTCACTTGCTTTTGATTTTTCAGGCTCATAAGCAGAAGGGACTTGCCTTGTCTCAGATGAGACTTTGGTCTGTGGACTTTTGAGTTAATGCTGAAATGAGTTAAGATTTTGGGAGACTGTTGGGAAGGCATGATTGATTTTGAAATCTGAGGACATGAGATTTGGGAGGGGCCAGGGATGCCATGAGATGGTTTGGCTGTGTCCCCACCCAGATCTCATCATGAATTCCCAGGTGTCTTGGGAGGTACCCAGTGGGATGTATTGAATCATGGGGTCAGGTCTTTCCCTGCTGTTTTCCTGGTAGTGAGTAAGTCTCACGGGATCTGATGGTTATTATAAGGGGGAGTTTTCTTGCATGAGCTCTCTCTTTCCCTGCTGCCATCCATGTAAGATGGGGACTTGCTCTTTCTTGCCTTCCACTGTGATTGTGAGGCTTCCCCAGGCACGTGGAACTGTAAGTCCAATTATAAACCTCTTTCTTTTGTAAATTGCCCAGTCTTGGGTATGTCTTTATCAACAGAATGAAAACAGACTAATACATAACTTATGAGTGGGAGCTGAAAAATGAGAACACATGGACACAGTGAGGGGAATGAGACACACTGGGTACTGTCAGGGGAGGGCGGGGTGGGGAGAGCATCAGGAAAAATAGCTAATGCATGCTGGGCTTACTACCTAGGTGATGGGTTGGTAGGTGCAGCAAACCACCATGGCACATGTTTGCCTATGTAACAAACCAGCACATCCTGCACATGTACCCCAGAACTTAAAATAAAATAAAGGAATAAGAGAAGTGGCATGCAGATTCAGCAGCTTTTAAGAGAATAATAAAGGCATGTTATGAACAATGTCATACCTATAATTGTGACAACTTAGTCAAAACAGTTGAAATTTCTTGAAGGACTCAAACTACCAAACTCACTTGAGAAGAAATAAATAACTTGAATAGGTCTGTATCTATTACGTAAATTTATAGTTTAAAACCTTCTACAAAGAAAACTCCAAGATCAGATGGCTTTATTGGTGACTACCAATAAATGGGGAGCTATTGTTTAATAGTTATGGAGATTCAGTTTGGGATGAAGACTATGTTCTGGAGATGTATAGTGGTGATTGTTGCACAACAATGGAAAAGTATTTATTGCCACTCAATTTTACACTTATAAATGATTAAAACTGTGATGTTTATGTTATCTATATTTTACCACAATATAAAAAATTGTAAAAATTCATCCGCTACCGACGTGTCACATATTAAAACAAATAAAAAAAATTCAGAAAAATAAATCACTGAAGAATACCTACACTCATAAATTATGATCCTACTTACTTTAAATTTAAGAACTGACAACAATAAATAATATTTTATTTAGAGATATGATACATATTGTTGGTTAAATTATAAAGAAAACTAAGATAAGATTAATAGATATTTAAGGGAATGATTAACTCTGAACAAAGGGAGTGCAATGTGAATGGGGAACACAAGAAGGTTATTTCTAAAGAACTATTAAGGTTTCCAAACTTATGTGGTAAGTAGACAAATGTTTCCTTTTTATTAGTCTTAAACTCTGCATATGTGTTTGATTCAATATTTTGTATGTATGATTTATTTCACAAGAAAGAGGTGGCTAGAAAGGTTGGAGGAGGTTATTAGATACTCAGTGGTTAGGCAAGGGTCATACATTTAACTTCTAATATCATCCAACATTGCCTAGCTCAAGAAGAAAATGCTTGTGGAGAGAACATCTCTAAAATTAAACATCAATAATTGATGCTTTCTTCAATTCGCTTTTGTTAACATTTTACTCTGTGATTAATTCAATAAATGCTATGTCTCCAAAAGTAGTTGACATATAACCCACTTTACATACATTCCAAAATTGCGAGTAGTGAGTTTAATGTTCTACTGACAAAAACATTTATTACACTTAAGAACTTCTGTATTATGTCCTTCAGTCACTGACATTAGTTTTGTTTTTTCTCTTTGCTCTGAAACATTGAGAATTCTTTTCACTTAATTCTAAACAATTAGAAAATTAAGTTAAGAAAAAATCAGCAGAAACCAAATTTTTGTATTTCTGTCATTGACAATGATTTGGACTATACCTGTAATGCAATTTATTACCTAAAAATAGGTTTGACAGCATTTCCTTACCTCGCATAAAGATTAAATGGTTTAATAAATGTATAGTGTTTGCATATACAACACATCTCTATCAATATACTAATGCTGATGTTGTGCATAACACAAACTCTGTTCTAGTGCCATTTTCTATAAGCACCTTAGTCTTACCACCAACTTGGAAATGCATTGACAATTTACTCTTTTGAAACCTACCTTGGGTTCCTTAAACCTGACCTCAGCATTATTTAACAAAGCGTAAAGAAAAAAATCATATTAAACCATAGCTGTGTCATCCTAGCTGAGTCTTGGCGAATGCTTCTGGATCTGCAGAGCAAGAGGGAATGACAGTAGCGATGGTAAAATTTTTGCATGTAAATAAGACCTCCACCTTTTTATTATGTATGAGAGCTTTCTTCCAGAATACAGAAATCTAAATCCATGTACTGAATAAATGAGGCTGCGGAGAAATAAAGGATACTGGTCCCTTTATAACAACAAAGAATATTGTTAACAAATGAGTTAACAACAATAAAACAAAATATTTAAAGTGGCCAAATTTTTCATAAGATTTTAGAAACGTATGCTGCAGAGCCTAATGCCATCTTTTGATGTAACAAAGCAATATCAATACTTTACATTTGTATAGTTCTTGATTATTTACAGATTGATTCCATATACTTATCTCACTTTGTCCTCACAACAGACTTATAAGTTAATATATTTCACAGCTGATGAGACACCTCAGAGAGGCTATGTGGCTTCTCTGACATCAAACAGCTAATGAATCAGAACATGATACTTAATGCCAGGTCTTTTTTATTCTAGTGGTTATTTACACAATTCCACACCCTAAAGGGCACATGCCTATGCACTTCATAAAGGAGAGAAACTGTAAGTTAATTGACAGCAAGTGTTATAATGAGGAACCTGTTTGATTATCCAGATGACTGATACCACAATTGGGGTATTTCACCAATTTAACAATACTTACTTATGAATTCATTAAATAGCTTGGCTTTTCATGAAAGGCCATGTATTTGTAACTAAATTTTAATTTAGAAATTAGAGAAGCAATTTTAGCAACTTAGTGATTTGCAGAAAGAAAAAAAACATTAAAAATTACTAATTTTTCCTCTTCTAGGGAACTAAACTACCTGCCTTATAATTAAAGGGCGTTTTAGTGTTTGTGTGTGTGTGCATGCATGTGTGGGGTGTGTGAGAGAGAAAAAGATACTTTTGTATATAGTATCAATGTGTCATTTTATTTTGCGTATTATCTATTTATTTATCTAGCTACCCATCCCAAGCAAGAATAATCAATATAAGCACATCCTTAACAAAATTTTCTAAACATGTATTCCCACTATGAATAATAATATCCAGTATCTATGTAAGCCCTATGTGCTAAGAAAAGCACATTTTAAAATGGTGTGTACTTATGACCTAATTTAAACATTTCAAATATTTCATGGTACTCTTCTTTTAGCCTTAAAATATAGAGACTCTCATCAGAAAGAATTGCATTCAATAATGTAACATCACGAGTAATACCAGAGTTACAGCTTTTTTTATTTAAATAACTTTGACTATGTTTGGGAGCAGAAATAGATTATTCTATTTGATTAACATTATGAGACTTAATAGCTTTTTAAAATTTTGGATTTATTTTGCTTCTATGTTTTAGCTTTTTTGCCTTGGGAAGTGGTGTTTACCTTGTAAGAAGACTGAAGGAAACTCAAGGGAAACCCATTTTCATAAAAACATGGGAAATTAATGAAGATCAGATATTTTTGCTCAAAGATAAGAAATGTACATGCAAACATATGTGTATACTCACAGAATATGCCTATTGTTTAGAAGCAAATATATGAGAGTTGGGAGAATAAAACAAGTTGCTATGTTTTTTCATGGAAGAAACAATAGTTGTTAAAATACTCTGATGTTTCTAACCCAAATGATACCATTTTTAACTGTGTAATAGAAAAGGACTGAACGTCTTGCTTACCCACCCTCATCTCCTAATATGTGGATGAATAAAGTGCAGACATACTATCTTGCCTTTGCTTTTGTTCTTCAATAAATAGGTAGTTTCACACTCTACATTCTTACTCTTTGCCACCTTTTCTTGAGACCGCCATAGAACTGCCTGTCAATTTATTCTTTCTCCCTAATGCCACTGTGCTCAGATCATTATTACAGGCTCTTTTCCACTTCTAACATCCAACTGAATTTTGCCTGTTTATTCAGTTCATAGACATCAGAAGATACTGAATGACTCGACATTGCTAATGAAACCCTTGAGACAATCCCTAGAGTTGAGATTGCAGGCTTGTTCTTCAGGGTACTAAGGCAGAACAGGAGTTGAAGCCTGAGCAACAAGAAAACATTGTCTTTCTTCATGAACACATTATATTTAATCAGTTGACCTTAAGGAAAGTCATCCTTTGGGATGACAAAATAGTTTGGTTTATCCAACATAATTATTTTTAAAAACCATAATTGTTTAGAAAGAAATGATTTGACCTTTAGCATATATAATGAAAAACCATAATCTCATTGTATTTTTCCTCAGATTGGTTGAATTTCATTGTGAAAATGTACATACAAGGGAACCGTGTCTTGCTTAGGCTCTCATTAAAACTATCTGTTGAAGAAAGAAGAGAGAAATGACCTTCCTGTCATCAATTACCTCGAAAGCTGGTCAAATTCATATTATAGATAATATGAAATCATTTTTACATTTGAAATATGCACTACTTTCAAATTCAATTAAATTCAGTTTTCAAATGCACTTTTAAGTTCATTCACTCAGGTTGTTTCTACACAACACATTAGTCGGTACAACTAAGTTTGACAGTTGATTTATTTATTAAAATGTTTTTGAAATTCACTGATGAATTCAGTCAAACCAGTGAAACTAGACATGTCCTTTAAAACTCAGTTTTTTTAAAAAAAGCAAACAGTATTTTGATGTTTGCTTCAGTATTCCCACTAGATGGCAAACTTTAGTCATAAATGCAGAAGTCATTTTAAAAACAATATAAGAAGGTTTTTTGTTATGTGACAAAAATGGCTAACAAGATGTTAACATTAATTTTTATTATAATCATCATTTTATCACGCTTAAGGTAAAAGTCTTAACAAGATATTTGCCGGAGTAGTTCTAAAATACTAAATTTGGAAAAGCAAAACAGGATAATCTGTAAAGTAAGGTATAAAATAAAAGGTATGGCAATAACAAGAAAGCTTTCAAATCCTTGATAACTCCAGCAATCCTGGACTGTTCGTTAGGGAAAAGATCGATCTTATAAAGGGAATAGAGAGAAAACAAGAAAATAATTTTTTAAATTTAATTTTTTAAATTTAAATCTAATTTCCATGATTCTTGTTATAACTTTCATATTTGTGATATATGATTGCCAGAAAAGCAGAAAGTTGATAATAAGTTAAAAAGAAAGGAAATATGTTAAAGGTAAGCTTCTAAATTAAGTGTAGGACCAAAAATAACAGATGCTAGTTTTCTGAAGAGTTTTAAGTGAGCCATAAATAAGTTTTTTTTTTTAATTTGGGGAAACAATCTTTTATAAGATACTATTCTATGCAAGTATTATAACAAATAAATCTCTGAAAGATCATTGAACACTATGGCCAGGCATCTGAAAATCCCCTGATTGTTGTATAAGATTCTGTTATACTGGTTTGAAAGGCTTTCAAGTAGATATTTTCTATCACAGTCCAAAGGCTACATTAAAAAAGAGAACATTTATATATTTAAAAGTCATGTACTGATTTTCAACGTGATTGCCTACAGACAAATATAATGCTTTCCCTCCAAGACTCAGTCTCACTGATTAAAATTTAATATTCTGTTTAAATGAATTTTATTAATTTCTATTATGCAAATGTAAATAAGGTAAATTGAAAAGAAAACATGGCATATTTGTTACTCAGGTATATCCACTTCCAAAGTTACTGCTTAGTAGTTTATGATATTTTCACTGTAAAGTAGTTTAACCTCTGACTTTGCAGTTTTGAGGGAATTGTGCTACCTAATCAGCCACTACGTCTACAGTTTTCCATTTAGCAGATACTAACATCATTAGTAAGATAATCTATAATGGAACTATAGAAACTCACAATTGCAGTTAGGTACAAAAGTCCTTAATGATGACAACCCACAGGAAGATTGACAATTTGTGACATTTTACAACATGCAATATTGTAGAATGTTGTGCTTTGATGTGTATGCCCAAGAGCTATATACAGCAATAAGTCATTGGTGCTCTTGGGTTCCTATTAGAACCTCATGGATCGCATTATCCCAGAACATTCCTGAAGGAAAGCATGCTCCTAGAATGACACACACACACACACACACACACACACACACACACACACATATATATATATATAGAGAGAGAGAGAAAGAGAGAAAGAAAGAGAGAGAAAAAGAAGGTAGAATTATAGAAGTCTGGGTTATGTGTATTGTATATCATGGGTTTGATTAAAATGTTAAATTCTACAATGCTTTATAAATGTGATGTGAAACATAGGAAAGAAATCAGTTGACTATCAATTTAAGAGAACTTTTATATCATAATTACTTTATTATTATTAAGGAAATACAGATAATAATTTTATTTGATATATAATTCAATTAACCACAAACTAAAAATCTGTTCATTTATATCAACGGAAGGTACAACTCTGTTCACCCACCAATGTTGACCCAAAACATGAATTTCTAATACAGAAATTGCAAAACATACAAACCCCAAATTTTACAAGTTTCATTAGATTAATATGAAAGCTAAATGTGGGACTAAAGATTAATGGTCCCCATGACTTTCTCTTCTGTCATTCTTCACACATTTTTCATGTGGTTCAACCACCTACTCCCTCCAACCTGCCATTTGTACAAACATTGAAAAGTTTCCCAGGCCCGAACACTGATTCATGATTGAAAAATAAATATCTTCATTACTTATTTATTCCTTCTGGACTTCAGGCATTAACAGAAAAATTGTCTTCAACTTAACCCGGTCAAAAAATACCTTCAATGGGATTCATTACTTGTATATATTATTTGTGAAATTGTTAAAGATAATTTGTTTCATTGTGCATTTACTGCTCAGAAAAGGAAAAAACAAAACAGATTGGCAAACATTCTAAGGAAATGGATTGACTTCTTCAGGGACAGAAGGTAGGTGCAAAGTGGAAAGAGTTTCTATGGGTACCTTATGGCTTCCCTTTCTTTCTGTTTTCTGTATTCTAAGTTACTTTGTGTCTTATTTCTAGTTGGTTTTACACTTTTGCTATGGGTGAGTGGCATATTTTTTTACTTTATTTTGTTTAATTATTGTTATTTCTCAAATCTAGTCTCTCTTTTTTTACTCTCCATTGAAACGTTAACAAATGGAGAAAAGTATAACTATCAGTGAGTCACCAGGCAAGTCAGAGAAACCAAGGAGGAAATATTTATAGATTGGATTTTCCACACTATCTCTTCTTTAGCCTTATTTTTTTTGAGACAGAGTCTCGTTCTATCACCCAGGCTGGAGTGCAGTGGTACGACCTTGGTCACTGCAAGCTCTGCCTTCTGGGTTTAAGCGATTCTCCCAGCTCAGCCTCCCAAGTAGTTGGGACTATAGGCCCTCACTACCATGCCTGGCTAATTTTTTTTTTTTTTTTTTTTTTTTTTTTTTTTTTGGTGGAGACAGGGTTTCACCATGTTGGCCAGGCTGGTCTCGAACTTCTGACCTCAAGTAATCTGGCTGCCTTGGCCTCCCAAAGTACTAGTATTACAGGCGTGAGCCACCATGCCTAGCCACTTTAGCTATTTTAAAATTCCCATATGTGGAAAATATTTTTGAACTTTTATATCACCTTCAGAAAAACTAATAGTTTGTTATTTGTTGAGAATACAAAAAAAAAAAAAACTCATAGTATAAACATTCAGATATCGCAGCAGGTCACAATATATTTATGTCTGTGTATGTCTGTGTATGTAATTCTCCTCTGCACCTCACCCTCCCCCACCCCCCAAAAAAACTGACTATCAAAAATCTCAGAATGAGTAAATTATTTAGATTGCCACACGGTGCAAGTAGCTGGCAGAATCATTTTTTGACTGCCAAGAAAAACTACGGTAATCCTAAAGTACTAGATACAAATCTATTTTGACCAGTTTGAACCTCCTCCCTAGTACAGACACATATATTTTTTCTATAATATAGATATAATCCAAGGAAAACTGAGATACCTTGGTTTTATAAAATATGCATTCAGTGTCATGCATACATATTTGTGCTGATAATTCTTATGGATAAAGCAGCATGTGAGGGAGAAAAGAACACTCTACAGGAAGTATATAGAGAAGTTAACCTTATATTTTGTTATAACGTAGGCAAACCGGTTAGAATATTAACTAAGAATTTATAGCTACTGAGTTGTTATGATCTTATGCAGACAGAGCCATAGGCATGGAGGATATCAGAGAGAGAGCTCATGCCCCCAAGGATCCAATCTCTTACTCCCTAGTGTGACTATTATATTATCCCCTCCTTTTGTTTCTTCTTCCTGACATTCATGAAGCAAAATAATAATATCTTACTTCCAATTCACTCACTGACATTTCTACTGGTAACACTCTCGTTTTGAAAAGTGAGCTGTAAGCATCTCTCCTGCATTTTTAATGCTGAACCAAAATAGCTTCCAAAAACTAAAATTCATTAAATCCCATAAAGATTGCTATTTTTTCCTTTTAAATGGAGAAATTAAAGGGTCATCTATAAGATCTACTTCACAATACAAAAGCTGAGCACATTATAACAGTGAGCTCACAAAAGAAATCAAGAAAGCCTCTACTCACTGCAGTTAAACAGACTGAAAAACGCAGCCTCACTTTCCTGTCAGTTGGAGACAGCAAGGAGTCTCCTGAAAGAAAAGCTCTCACAGGAATTCATACCACCTCACTTTACTGCCAATTAAAATCACAGGAAAAACAGCAGGGGCATTTCAGCTGATTCTAATTACCATGAGACCGTAAAGGGCTACTCAGAGATAGCTTAAAATCCGCAAACTATGGTTTATAGAAATAGATAAATAAGTGTATGCTGGAAGGAGTGAGAGTGATGATAACCTCTTACGCTGGCCCAGGTAGATCTATCAAGTGGCCTTCAAAGATAGGGGACATTCTGCTGCTGCTATACTGTCTGACTGACAGAATGATGTAGATTGTCATGAAAGACAGAAGAGAAAAGGCTGTCACTTTCATCACAACACAACTGGTTGACAGCTCTCCATAACTGCCACGTGGAAGTAAAGTAGCAGCTGGAAATCTAGGAATATTCTGAGATGGTGAACCTCCATGCCAAGGGGTACATACACTGGGCACTCGAATTGAGGGCTCATACATCTAGGGTGTCATGGGTTCTTAATGTTCCTCTTTACCCCTCAATATCACATCTGTTTTTGGATTATGTTTAAGTCAGGTTTACTGGGAGCTATAAAATGAATAAAACTCTCTCCAAGCAGTCCCTTTTTCATCATATGTATTTTACTTGGACAGTTATGAAAATTCAATAGGATTTTTCAGTCAAAAGGCAAGATCAGATTTGTACTTTGAATCATGCTTAGACTCCAGAGTATGCCAAATGTCACTTCAGAGTGGGGAAAAAAAGGTATTTCCCTAACTCATTCAGGCTTTGAATACCATTACATAAATTTCAGTTAAAAGTAGTCCTCGAGATAAAAATTGGTCATTTGCATACTGTAAAGAAAAAGTTTTTTAAATCAACTTTTGGTTCACAGACATATGAAAATCCAATGAAAATTATAAATCTTCAGATAATGTAATTTCATGTATTCACAAAATGTTGAATGCAAATGTAAATGTTTCCTGTGTTCCTTTAGTTCCATTGATTTATATTAAGAACTTCTGCTCCCAAAGACCAAATATGGAAACGAAACAGTCAGACTTCAAAGAAAATAATTTGTCATTGTTGGTTTTCTTTATCCAAACTATTCTGAGAGGGTGGTTCTTTGACAATGGTGCTATAGCTAAAGTAAAAGCACCTGTAGAATTCCGCAATTCAAATTACATAATTTGATATTATTTGAAGAGCTTATCAATTGAGTGAGGAACTTATAAAAACAAACTTAAAATATCCAACTATTTTTTTGAATCAAACATAACTAGAGTAGATAAACAATTTTGCTGTGATTCAGAGAATTAATGTATATCTCCAAAGTGTGTTTACATACATAATTACAGGCAGTGCAAAACCAGAAGACTGTGCAATTAACTGTGTAGTATTAGTTTTTACTTTGGAAATTCAAGCTTCAACTTAATAAAATGACTCTCTTCATCTTGGATTCCTCTGAAGATTCTGGTTTCAGGTTCCCTCAAGCACTTCAATCTGCACGGCAATGATAAAATTTGGAATTCCTGAGGTTTTAAAAATAATTAACTCAGTTTTACCAGTTGTAAAATTAAAACTTACAGCTCCAACCAAGCCCTAACTTGGATAGAATATTTTACTGTGAACCATATTTTTATAGAAGCTTGTATAAACTAGATGATTGATTTCAACTTTTCTTTAAAATCTGTTTAATTCTAAATAAAATTATGCTAAATGTCCTCAGTAATATCTTATCTAGAAACGCATATAGCCCCATAGAATATGAGGCAACATATCCCATTTTTGAAAGTGCTTTGTAATATAACTCTGTGGTCAAGTATTCTCTGCACTCTACTTCCAAAACTTACCCACTATTCAGCCAGTATAATTCTTTTCTTTATTATTTATTTATTTATTTATTTATTATTGTACCTTAAGTTTTAGGGTACATGTGCACAATGTGCAGGTTAGTTACATATGTATGCATGTGCCATGCTGGTGCGCTGCACCCACTAACTCGTCATCTAGCATTAGGTAAATCCCCCAATGCTATCCCTCCCCCCTCCCCCCACCCCACAACAGTCCCCAGAGTGTGTTGTTCCCCTTCCTGTGTCCATGTGTTCTCATTGTTCAATTCCCACCTATGAGTGAGAATATGCGGTGTTTGGTTTTTTGTTCTTGCGATAGTTTACTGAGAATGATGATTTCCAATTTCATCCATGTCCCTACAAAGGACATGAACTCATCATTTTTTATGGCTGCATAGTATTCCATGGTGTATATGTGCCACATTTTCTTAATCCAGTCTATCATTGTTGGACATTTGGGTTGGTTCCAAGTCTTTGCTATTCTGAATAATGCCGCAATAAACATACGTGTGCATGTGTCTTTATAGCAGCATGATTTGTAGTCCTTTGGGTATATACCCAGTAATGGGATGGCTGGGTCAAATGGTATTTCTAGTTCTAGATCCCCGAGGAATCGCCACACTGACTTCCACAATGGTTGAACTAGTTTACAGTCCCACCAACAGTGTAAAAGTGTTCCTATTTCTCCACATCCTCTCCAGCACCTGTTTCCTGACTTTTTAATGATTGCCATTCTAACTGGGTGTGAAATGGTATCTCACTGTGGTTTTGATTTGCATTTCTCTGATGGCCAGTGACGGAGAGCATTTTTTCATGTGTTTTTTGGCTGCATAAATGTCTTCTTTTGAGAAGTGTCTGTTCATGTCCTTTGCCCACTTCTCGATGGTGTTGTTTGTTTTTTTCTTGTAAATTTGTTTGAGTTCATTGTAGATTCTGGATATTAGCCCTTTGTCAGATGAGTAGGTTGAGAAAATTTTCTCCCATTTTGTAGGTTGCCTGTTCACTCTGATGGTAGTTTCTTTTGCTGTGCAGAAGCTCTTTAGTTTAATTAGATCCCATTTGTCAATTTTGTCTTTTGTTGCCATTGCTTTTGGTGTTTTAGACATGAAGTCCTTGCCCATGCCTATGTCCTGAATGGTAATGCCTAGGTTTTCTTCTAGGGTTTTTATGGTTTTAGGTCTAACATTTAAGTCTTTAATCCATCTTGAATTGATTTTTGTATAAGGTGTAAGGAAGGGGTCCGGTTTCAGCTTTCTACATATGGCTAGCCAGTTTTCGCAGCATCATTTATTAAATAGGGAATCCTTTCCCCATTGCTTGTTTTTGTCAGGTTTGTCAAAGATCAGATAGTTGTAGATATGCGGCATTATTTCTGAGGGCTCTGTTCTGTTCCATTGATCTATATCTCTGTTTTGGTACCAGTACCATGCTGTTTTGGTTACTGTAGCCTTGTAGTATAGTTTGAAGTCAGGTAGTGTGATGCCTCCAGCTTCGTTCTTTTGGCTGAGGATTGACTTGGCGATGCGGGATCTTTTTTGCTTCCATATGAACTTTAAAGTAGTTTTTTCCAATTCTGTGAAGAAAGGCATTGGTAGCTTGATGGGGATGGCATTGAATCTGTAAATTACCTTGGGCAGTATGGCCATTTTCATGATATTGATTCTTCCTACCCATGAGCATGGAATGTTCTTCCATTTGTTTGTATCCTCTTTTATTTCATTGAGCAGTGGTTTGTAGTTCTCCTTGAAGAGGTCCTTCACATCCCTTGTAAGCTGGATTCCTAGGTATTTTATTCTCTTTGAAGCAATTGTCAATGGGAGTTCACTCATGATTTGGCTCTCTGTTTGTCTGTTATTGGTGTATGAGAATGCTTGTGATTTTTGTACATTGATTTTGTATCCTGAGACTTTGCTGAAGTTGCTTATCAGCTTAAGGAGATTTTGGGCTGAGACAATGGGGTTTTCTAGGTATAGAATCATGTCGTCTGCAAACAGGGACAATTTGACTTCCTCTTCTCCTAATTGAATACCCTTTATTTCCTTCTCCTGCCTAATTGCCCTGGCCAGAACTTCCAACACTATGTTGAATAGGAGTGGTGAGAGAGAGCATCCCTGTCTTGTGCCAGTTTTCAAAGGGAATGCTTCCAGTTTTTGCCCATTCAGTATGATATTGGCTGTGAGTTTGTCATAGATAGCTCTTATTATTTTGAGATACGTCCCATCAATACCTAATTTATTGAGAGTTTTTAGCATGAAGGGTTGTTGAATTTTGTCAAAGGCCTTTTCTGCATCTATTGAGATAATCATGTGGTTTTTGTCTTTGGTTCTGTTTATATGCTGGATTACATTTATTGATTTGCGTATATTGAAGCAGCCTTGCATCTCAGGGATGAAGCCCACCTGACCATGGTGGATAAGCTTTTTGATGTGCTGCTGGATTTGGTTTGCCAGTATTTTATGGAGGATTTTTGCATCAATGTTCATCAAGGATATTGGTCTAAAATTCTCTTTTTTGGTTGTGTCTCTGCCCCAGCCGGTATAATTCTTAAATTGTCTTTAGTTACTTCAAATAAGTGAAATAATTCATCAAGTCAAACCCTACTTTTTTTTTATTATACTTTAAGTTTTAGGGTATGTGTGTACAACGTGCAGGTTTGTTATATATGTATAAATACAAGGAGATGTTCCTAATGTCAAACCCTACTTTTATTTGAACATCTCCTTTATTTATACAACATACTCAGCGATGACCTAGAGAAATCAGACATGACCATTACACAAATGAACAGTGGAAGAACTCTAGTAGTTGCATATGTCCAAAACTGATATTTTCCTATGTAATTACACTTATTTAACATTTTGAGAACCCAAAGAATATTAGTGCTGTGCATAATTATTTTCCTGTTTAAGTGATTAACTCTTCTAAAGTATACAAGATATGAGACACAAAACAGAATTGATGCATAAGATCTTAAATGAGATTCAATCCAAAGTGTCTTATCATCCTTTATTTTTTCCTGGGTGTAAACACAAGAGTTGAGAATTCTATAGTAAGTCAATGGAAGCAAGCCTTATTCCCTTTCAATTTCTAGAAAACATAGTTCAATTCTTTTCAGCCTGAATCACTGAAGCCTATCAAACGCTTGGCTAACAAAAAATTCAAGATAATCAAAACCTGACTACTTTAATTGCTCTATACTCCCCTCCTCTGACCATCCTAATGGCTAAATAAAACTTGGAAACTCATAAGCTGAGGAAACACTTACACTCTCTCTCCAGTTCAGTTCTGCCACCTTTAATATATTGGCTTTTTGGCTGGTACTCATTTGAATTTTGCTTTGTTTACAAACTATTTTATTTCAAGATGCATCAGTTTACCATTGGACTCAATGATTACTTAAACTTGGTTTTTGTTTCAGATTACATTCTTTTGGCTTTGATGAACTTTGTTTCACAGCACAGCATCACAGCTGCACGGTGGCTGTTAAGAGATGCCCATTGCATTCTTGGTCTTCGGTTAACACCCAGCTCAAAAATTTCTCTTGCTTGACTGAAATAACAGTGTAATTTACAGTGGAATTTGCCTTGCTACCACAGATCTAGGATCTTGTGTCCCTAGCACAACTACACCACACCTTCCTCTATTTTCAGTCCGCACAACTGGAATTCTGCCTCAATTCAGCCTGACTTGTGCTCTACTATTCTACAGAGACTAAGTCCTAGATCAATGGACCATTTGCAGTGTTCACTTAAATACACTAGAGAAAGATGAATATCAATAAAACTGCCTGTCTCCCTTGTCAATATATGTAATCATGCTGTATATACTGATTACCCATTGACAGTCAGCCCTCCATATCCATGGGTTCTGCATTCATGGATTCAACCAACCGCTGGTATTTGGAAACAAAGTTTCAGTTCTGAACGTGTACAGACTATTTCTTGTTATTATTCCCTAAGCAATATAGTATAACAACAATTCACATAGGATTTATATTGTATTAGGTGTTATAAGTAATTTAGAAATGATTTAAAATATACGGGAGGATGTACATAGGTTATATGCAAATACTATGCCATTGTATATAAGGGACTTGAGCATTCATTAATGTTGGTATCTGTAGGGGTCTTGGAACAAGTGTTCTATAATATTAAGGGACAACGGTACTGTCTGCCTCATGTAATACCAATGCTGTACCCCTCTCACTAGATTGGATTTTCTTGGACGTTGATACCTGCCTTCACCAAATTCTGGTTTGAAACACCATGGGGCACTGAGCCAGTCTTCTGCTCTTCCTTAGACGAGCCTCTTCTTTCTCCTGAGGAGCCTAGGTATTATACATTCTCAAGAGGTTTCATGTAGGAACTCAGCTCAATTATGCACAGATGAGTACTTCTTGTAGTACCTACCTTTGCTCCATTTAATTCCCAACATTATCCAGGCTGTTCTCAGATTCATCTCCTGTGTTGATCTATCCTTCTGATCTCAATCTCCTTCCTCCATGAACTCTCCTTGCATCCCTTTAGAAGACTGACCTACAATTTTAATTCAGCATTCTCCAAAATGCAAGAACTTAGTAAAATACTCCTGCATTTCTGATTCACGTTATCTATAAGAGTCAATTCAGGCATCTAGAGGAAAACTATGCAATTTAAACTATATAGATTCCCTTCAATACTTGACCAAAATATCTTACTACAATCAAATCCTTTGAAAGAAATTACAAGTATGTTCAAGAGCATGGTATTATAATTAAAATATAGCCAAAAATCTGTGTTCTGAAAAAATCTGTATCAAAAGAAAAGATGATATCTAGACAAAAAAAGTGTTTTAATCTTCATAAATATATGAAGAAGAAAGCAAATCCTTTGATTACTTTTACCAATACCTATACCTAACCACATGTTATGATAACTATGAGAAGTTTACACTTATTTTTTGTGAGGGTAATAAAATGCACAGGTATTAAAAATATTTCATTAATTTTTATTGTTTTTGCTTAAGGTTATAAAAGCTGACATAGAGTTTTAAAAATTCATGTTATAATCAGAGATTCACCTTTCAATCTCCCTCTCAAAAATGTAAGGTCAGGGTCTTCATCCACCTGGCAAATTTGTGATTCACCAATTTCATGAATCATCTGTTCTTTGAGGTTGCCTCTAGTTTATACTAAAATCACTGTACCTCATTTACATTTACCTCTAAAGGACTAATGATGTTGCACTGTTCCACCGAGCTTGATTTTAAAGTAGTAAAATACAATAATAATTTTTAAAAAACTGACCATGATGAGATTTTCCTGACTTCATACTGATCCTCCTGTTACTTTTCTTCCTCTTCCTGTTTCTTTTTATATCATTTTTTGTTTTAATCTTGCCACACGTTTGTCACCCTACCTTTTCCTATATAACCCTGGCAATATGGATTTGAAAGCAAAATATCTTGAATCCTGAGTTTAAAAAATTATTCTCTCTTAAATTTAGGGTAAGAAGTATATAGTATTTATAATACAATATGTTGTAGCTCAGCACAATGAAATATCAATTCACCATTCATTTATTAAATTCTTATATATTTCATTCAACAATGTTTATTTTTGAGAGATCTTAAGAATGATAACTATTTATAGAAAAAGTTGAGGTAAGAGTAAGACACATAAAGAAAAAAATTGAAATTATGAAAGTAAGCAGAGAGAGGTGGTTGAGATTGGTACTCAGAATGATACTATTATTCCTGTGAGTTCAGTTATCTATTTTTCCATACTACAGAAAATAGAAAATCTCAACCCTCACTTGAAAAAAACAATTTTAGAAAATGAGGGAAGAGTTCTATTTCCATAGCTCATTCTGCCTTTAAATAATCTAATGTACCAATTAGTACAATTTGTAATGTGCACACCAGCTCACCAAGAGCTGCATTGACTAACATAACCAGTTTCTAATTTTATAGTTCCCCAAGCTGCATTAGAATGAGAGACATAAATGAACATAACTTGTTCTATTTTCTATTGCATTTTAAAAATATTTTTTTATCTAAATGATAACATTGTATATTCTTTTTTATAATAATGCAAAACATTGAGCTCCATACTTCTCCATGTATTCATTATCTGGCAAATTACAGAGATAACTTGGAATATCAAAATATTTTTCAGTACTATTTTTCACACATGGAGATATTCAAGTCGGCCTGGGTATTCTATTGATCACTTGGGGGAAACATGTCTATAAAACTAATGGGAAATAATTCTCACTGGGATGTAAATAGGTGGTAATAACTTATTTCTAGTTGGAAATCATTTTTATCTTCCAAGATAGCAAGGTCGTATACATACCAATAACAATGGATAAAAGCTTCTCAGTACTTACATTAAGAATAATTCACCTGTCTGAATCAGAAGCATACAGACTATGTATTTTATTCCACCATTAAGATACTGGGGACATATTCAGTCAAGTTGGTAGTCAACGTTTTGTTCTTAATTAAAACTGTACTGAAAAGAAATTAAAACAAAAGATTTGTTGTGATTCACAACTACGAAAGTCTAGGCAACCTCTTTTTTCTGGTTTCAAGCAATAATACTTGTGCTATAGTGCAGTAAATTACATGCTGGTTAGAGTTCAGCCACTTAAGCCAAATTATTATATAGTTTACACTTGAGGATGAAAATCTAGAATGGCATTATGGCTTTAAATCTTCCCAATACAGAAAAAAAGATTTCTAACAAAAGAAATGTATGTAGATAAATTACCAACTTTGCATGCTGGAAATTTGTAATAACAATAGTTTCTGTCATACTGAGTAATATTTAGTAAATGTACTTGCATAAGGCTACTGTGTTCATAAACTATTGTGTCCAAGTGCATAGGCTCTGTCCTTAGAAGCTATGAGTTGAAATTCCGGCGCCGTCTACTTGGAAATTGTGTTACCCTAAGACAGTTTTAAAAATTCTCTGTGTGTTTGATCCAACATCCAGAAACTGGGATGGTACCTACCTTACAGAGTAACTGCAGAATTATAAAAAATAATCCATGCAAAATGTTTGGAGGAATTCCTGACACATAATAAAAACCAATAATTGTTAGGTATATAATTTCAATCATTATTATTATCATTATCATTATTATTGATGTAGTTTTGTTGTTAGATAATGTGTTACTCACAGCTAAGATGTGGTGATTGACAAGAATAATTCTATAGCTGTTCTGGATTGCAGTTTTCTCAGAAATAGGTACTCTCTCCTTTCACCTAAAGGATTTCTGAGAACTGATAAAGAACAGAAGTTCATAAGAAAAAATATGAGAAAACAACAACAGAAACCCAACAGACTTAAGTCACAGTAGCCTTGGAGAAGATACAGGCATAGAAATGAGATTTTTTAAAAGTCTAGAGATAAGCCTTCTGTCAGTCATATCTATCATTATAATGTAAGAAATAATAAATATAGAGCCATTCATGACTGCTGATTCCAGGGAAAATTTGTTTTCATCATTCCTTACTTCTCCATTTCAATGATTTTTCTCCATACTACAATATCCCTTTTCTCACAGGTGTCCAAGAATCTCACAAGGTTGATTACTCCTCTTAAGGAAATTGAGCTCTGGCGAACTACCTTGAACATATTGATGGCTTAGGTTATGAATCATCACAGGAATATTAAATGTTAAAATAAGAATTTCAGGTGATAAAATGCTTAATACAAAACAAAGAATTATCAAGAATGGCATTTCACTTCAATCAGGGATGTATTTTTAATGAGGAGCTTCCACAAGTGACTTAAGACCTACCTTTCAGCCAATTACCCTCAGCTTTCTTTCTACTGTGTTATATATTCCAGGAAACATGAAGAGGTCTCATATATATATATTAGGTCTCAATTTCTAAAATTTAAGACAAGAGATATATTCTAGATTCAGAGGGAGCAGGATTTATGTAGGTATATTTTCATTCAACTTTTAAATTAATAAAATAAAAATATAAATGTTAAAAGATATAAAAACAATATCGTCAGTACAATCAATAAAAATGAAAAAAAAATCAATTCCAAAATAAAAGAATAAAGAGAAATAATGGAGAGTCTTTCTTTAAAAGTTTCTACATCTACATTAAAATATGCAAAATCTCTTAATTCTAACTTTACAATTGTAAGTTGCAACATAACCAGAAATGTATGACTAGATACTAATAAAAATTAAAATTAATAAGGGCATTTTGATTTTTATCCTACAAGTAAAATTGAATGTATCGGGCAGTTTTTTCATTGAAAAAATGTTAAATCTACCAGAAATACTTGGGATGAATAAGTATGCTTCATGGAAGCAGAAACTATAAATTGCATTCCATTCAAGTCCTCCACGGGATTGACTCGGCACTGTCTGTCAGTTGTCTGTTTACACTGTATAATAAAACATATGTCTTCCAACAGACACAGCATAACTTCCTCTTATTCTCTCCAAACTAAATAATAACCTTTGCTTTTACCAAATACTATTTTTAAATTACTGACTCTTGCATGTGCACAGTTGAAAAGGTCTGGCCTATTGGCTATGGAATTTTTATCTGGGGATCACCAGTGGCCATTTTAATTGATTGTTTATATCTCAGCTGTAACCTAACCAGAAGTCATACTTTTTTTCCTTTTCAATAAAAAGTACCACACAGCATATGAGGATACAACAGGCCACTATTCTTGGAAATATATTCATTCAGTAAGAAGCATTCTAAGCCAAAACACCCTCTTTCAACAGCCAAAGTTGAATAATCATGTAAGTGGTCATTTTACATTTTCTGGAAATTAGATTGTCATGTTGCTATAGTATGGATGTTTGTCCCTGCCCAAATCTCATGTTGAATCATGTTGGAGGCGGAGCCTGGTGGGAGAAGTTTGGATCATGGGAGAGTATCCCTCATGAATGGCTTGGGCCATCTCCTTGGTAATAAGTGAGTTCTCACTTGAGTTCACCTGAAATCTGGTTGTTTAAAAGTGTGTGGCACCTCCCCGCCCCCACTCTCTCTCTCACTTGCTCCTGCTTTCAACATGTGACATGCCTGGCCCTCCTTCACCTACTACCATGGTTGAAAGCTCCTTGAGGTTTCACCAGAAGCCAAGCAGATGCCAGCATCATGCTTCCTGTAAAGACAGAACTCAGAGTTAATTAAACCTCTTTTCTTTTATAAATTACCTAGTCTCAAGTATTTATATCTATCTATTCATATATATGCATATATATGCATATATACACACACACACACACACACATATATATATGTGTGTGTGTGTATATATATATATATATATAGAGAGAGAGAGAGAGAGTCTCACTATGTCACCCAGGCCAATATTGAACTCCTGGGCTCAAGCAATCCTCCTGCCTCGGCCTACAGTCATGAGCCACCACGTCTGGCTTCAGTTATTTCTTTACAGCAATGCAAGAACAGCCTGATACACATGTTAATGGAAATTGAAAGGCCAAGAAGCAAACACACCTTATATATTACCCATAGTGTCTGAATCTGTGAGATACTTGGTCTCAAAAACGGGAATTTGTAAAAATTGTATTTCAGTCTTGTGAACAACGTAGATGTAGTTCTCATACTGATTACTACTGCAAGTGTCCCATCTTCACTGACTATTTAATCAACATGGAATGAACAAAGGCAAGGCAATAATATATTGAATCAATACTGTAAATTGCTCACATTAAAGTAGCAGCTTTGAAGGAGGCAAACATTGAAAATAAATAGAGGTTTGATTATATTTATCACCAGTAACCATGGCATCTTCAAGACACTTGCTTTCTTCCTTAGTTTTACTGTCTGGAATTTCTCTCCATTGTAGTAGAAAGGCAAAAGCTGTCACTCAGTTGTTAATACCATAAGGACTTTGACTACTTTCTAAAAATAAAGCAGAGAAGAAAAGATGAAGAGAACAGATGACTGGAAGATGAATCACTTCATGATTGCTGTTTTCATAAGGATCAGGACAGCTCAGATTATTTACTATTTTACAATGTAGAAGCAATTCATAAATCTAATAAAATATACCTATTATATCATGAAGTGGATTATTTTAGATTATGGGCAATCACTTTACCTTTTTTGTTTCGTTTGTTTTCTGGAGGGGTTAACGATCATATGCCCACCATATAACCATAATCAAAATAGAATAAAACTTAAACTCCACACTTTTCCAGGTGATAATACACTTCTTACTTTTATCTCGACAAGTTCTCCAAACACCATTTATCCTCTCTATCATGATGAACCAGGAAGAATATTGTATTAGTGTTCTATTACTATGCAACAAATTACCACAAACTTAATGGCATAAAAAGACATTCATTTATCAGCCCGCAGTTCTGCAGGTCAGAAGTTTAGCATGGCATTGCTAAGTTCACTGCTCAAAGAATCACAGTGCTGGAATCAAGGCCTCACCTGGTTGAGTTTTTTTTCTGAATGACCTGGGGAAAAATCTACTTCCATGCTCATTCAGGTTGTTGGCAAAATTCATTTCATGCAGTTTTATGACTGAAGGTCCCATTTTTTTACTGACTGTGATTCAGAGAAAGCTCTCAACTCATAGAAGCACTCTTCATTCTTTGTCATGTGCCCCTCTCCACCTTCAAATCCAGCAATAGACAATTACTTATGTATGGAATCCCTCTGATTTCTAGATCCAGATGGAAAGGGCTCGTGTGATTAAGTTAGACCCACCCAGATTATATCCCTTTTGATTAACTCAATTTGAATTGGTTAATAACTTGAATTACTTCTAAAATATCCCTTTTGACATGAAATATAATGTAATTACAAAATCAGCATCTTATATTCACAGAATCTTCACACATTCAATGGAAGAGGCACATTCAATGCAAAGGGATTATACAATGGGAGTGGGTTATTGGAGGTCATCTTAGAATCCTACCTTCCTACAGTCAACTCTCTGATCCTCAATGACTCCCATCCCTCCCAAATGCAAAATACATCAACCACACCAAAGGAACCCCAGGGTCTCATTTAATGATAACATTAGCTCAAACTCTAAAATCTCATAAAATAGGTATTTATGAGGCTTCCGGATATAAAATTTCTGAAGGCTTGTGAAAATAAACATACAAGTAGTCTTTCCTCACTACCCCAACATACAATATTGGAATAATCATAACATAACACTAGTAGACATTATAATTCAAAAGAGTCAGAATAGAAGCTAAAAATAACTTAGTGGCTCATGATCATATTGAAATCTATCAGGGAAAACATTAGTTTTTCTTTAATTAGGTTTTTAACGCCTGGGAATAAACTTTCTTGGGCCTAAGCTCTGCCCTTGGGCTCTAGGCTCTACTTTCTGAATTCTTGGCTCATCTGCTGGGTTCTCAGTTCCACCCTCTGGACTGTCATCTCTGTGTTCTGAGCCATCATCTCTTTCTTGAAAAGTATCAAGTGTTGTCATCCTTCTTGTCAGTAAAATTTTGTAGGTCCAAAAGCCTCTTTTCATTTCCTTTAAGTCTAAGATGGTAATATTTTTTGTTATATAAATTTTCCAAGAACCTTGTGGGCCTTCCAGGGATACCAGGGGGATTCACTGCACTAGACAAAAACAACACTCGCCAACATCCGTATTGCTACTCACAATCTGTTGAAAGAAACCTAAAATTTTTCTGTCATGCTCTCCAGCCCACTTCCCAGGTCTAGTCTTCACCAATGTCTGGTTCTAAAGACAGTTACTAATTTATATGTAGTTTTTACTCATTATAGACACCAAAATCGGCATCATTTTTCTATTACTGCCTAAAAATTACCACAAAGAAGGATTTAAATTAATACACATTTATCAGCTCATTTTGTAGGTCAGAAGTCTCAGTAATTCATAGATCATAGTAATCATACCTGGGTCATTACTATGTGGATTTCCAGAAGGTTCTCTCTTCATATTGAAATCCAACAACTCAAAAATAGTATGTATATAAATCTTGAAAACCAGAAACAAATAGGCTCTAACTAGTATATATCCTGGAAAAAAAATTCTGAAGCTTTGGGCTTCCAGTACCAACAACACAACAGAGATACCTTATACTGATACATCCCCAACACCTACCTAACAGCATATAATATGATGGATGAAATAACAAACTAAAATGCTTACATATAACAAAGGCTTTACAAAATAAAATAAAATAAAATCCTACATGCCAAAAATGGTAACCTAAACAGGAACTTAAAGCTACAATAGTAAGTTTATGAACTGGCTTGAAATGGCCTATTAGACATTAATATAGGCTCTAATTCCTAGGGTTGAGGGTTTGATGCTGAAATCAAGATAGAAGACATGACATTGGCTTTTTGAGAGAGAGAGAGAGCGACAGAGAGAGAGAGAGAGATAATGAATGTACTGATCTGAGAAATTGCCTCCTCATTTAAAGAGTAATTTAAATAACTCTTGCCAGTTGACCAGGAAAGCATTCAAACAAAAGTATCTTATAAAAAATCAAAACATCATACCTTTGCAATATGTAGGTGTGGAATCTGAATTTATACTACCCATGAGGTACAGGAATCCCACAACTGAGAAAAGCAATGTATAAAATACATTGGCATAGGCCTTGCTCTACATCAAAGAAACTGATGAAACTGATGTAAAACCTTTCTGTAGGAACAAACATAGGACAAACAGCACAGAGCATTCCTGCAGGGGGGAAATCTCTTCAAAAGTTTAAGTCAAAAACCAAAATTACAAACCATATAAGGGAAAAAGTATCTTCTGTGAAGAAGAATCACCAGACTCAAAAAACAGGTAGATTGGCACCTCAATGACTTCAGATGACTGAACACCAGAAATAAACCATAAAGTAAATGTTTAAACAATTAGGGAGTTAAACGAAGAAACAGAACATGAGATAAACATAATGAGCACTGTGAAAAAAGTACCAAGTGCATCTGCAAAAGATCTAAGATTTAGAAATAATCTAAGTGTTAAAATGTAGAAAAATGGATAGTAAACTGTGAAAGGGTCACACAATAGAATACTGTCTCACAGTTAATAAACCAAATCTATATTTTCAATAATGAAACAATAGAATACTATCTCACAGTTAATAAACCAAATCTGTATTTTCAATAATGAATACATCTTCAAAATGTCATAAAAAGCAACTTGGTATCATTTATATAAATTACGTACTTTTGAAAAACATGGGATGAAACTGTAGATAACTACAGTAACATAAAGTTGTAATTAAAGCATAAAAATATATATTGATAGGACAAATGCAAATCAGGAAAGTGCTTATCTGTCTGGGGTGATGGGGTTAGGGGAGATGTAGAAGGCCTATCTGTTTCAGTAGTGCTTTAGTTTTTAAAAAATTAATAGAACTAAATCAAACACAATGACATATGAACATTTGTTAAATCTGGATAGAGTTTTATAGATTACTATTAGATTATTTTCTATAATGTTATGGACAGTGGTAATTCCATAACATTAAAAACATTTTAAAAGGAGAGAAAAACATCACAATTTTTTTTCATAGACTAGAGCTTGGCCAACATCACTAGAATAAAGATACTAATCCAAACATAAGTTGAAAAAGTCATTTTAAAGTAAACTACTTTTACCAAAGAAAAATCTAGTTGCTTCATTTTTAAATAAGAACTGTCGTTAGTTTGGGAGTCTTGATTTTTTGTGGGAAGTTGGTAGAAAAATGTGTACATGAGCTCTGGAACGTGGGCTCGAGCAAGACATAATCTGACTCTTAGTTTCTTATCTGAAATTTTGAGTAAAATCTATATTCACAATTTTCTGAGAATTAAATGAGATAACATGAAAAGGACTTAATGTAGTTGCTGGGTTGCCCTTTAGGTTGGGAAATGATTGTCATAGCCCTAAAACTTTTAGCCCACATTTTCAAGATCAGTATGAAAGATTGATCAAAGACATTATATTCATATATATATATATTTATATATATATTTCTAAAACACAACAAATCATGAGCAGACATGATTTCAATAAACAATTTGTTTATAAAGAAAAACATGTCTTTTTTTCAAGATGGTGGATTACAGGCATTGCTAGCATACCTTTCCTACGTGGAAGAACAAAATAGTGTATAGAGATTCACACTGTGAACTTTTCTTCAAGAAGCAATGCAGGAATTGAACAGGAAATCCAAAAGAATCTACAGACCCTTTGAAGGAAGGAGGATGCTGCAGCCTACACCATGTGTCAGGCAAAGGGCTGTGAGACCCCAGAGTGTAAGAGGCATAGAAACTGCCTCTGGGATATATACCTCAACCAGGGCTGAACATCCAGGCCATGGGGGAAGACCTTAACCCTACTTAGCACAAGAATCAACTTGAGGAGGGGTGTGGAATATAAAAGTAGAAGCAGTAGCAGGAAGACCCTTGCATGCACTCTCAGTTTCCAGTGTGGACCAAGGAAAGCCATTCCTTATAATTCCTCACAGGGGACGCTGCAGAAGGCAACCAAATGGATCAGGCAGTGCTCACAGGTGGAAAGAAGCCCCCAGTTGGGTTTCATGATACAACTTCAGATGAGAACAAACCCCCTTGTCCAGGACTAAGGCAAGGGAGAATGAAAAGTGAGCTGTAGCTGTGACTACAGCATCTGTGAGTGCAGGAGCTGGGCAGCTAGCTTTGCAGCAAAGAGGGAGGGGCATGGTCTGAAAGCTGTGGTTCCTATTTCTGCAAGGACAGCTGATGACTTAGGGCAGTTTCAAAGTTTTTTTTTTTTTTTTAGACAGGATCTCATTCTGCCACCCAGGCTGGAGTACGGTAGCATGCTCACAGCTCACTGAAGCCTTTAACTCCTGGGCTCAGGTGAATCTCCCACCTCAGCCTTCTGAGGAGCTGGAACCATAGGTGCATGCCATCACATCCAGCTAATTTTTTGTATTTTTCAGAGAGGGGGTTTTGCCATGTTGCCCAGGCTGGTCTTGAACTCCTGGGCTCAAGCAATCCGCATGCTTCAGCCTCCCCAAATGCTGGGATTACAGGCATGAGCCAACTTGACCAGCTAGTTTCAAGTTCTGAGTGCAGGTTGCCTAGAACTTAGCCTGCTACTGCTCATGGAGCACTGTGGGGCTGGATCTGCCTCGCCAAGTGCATGGAATATATGTGGGGCTTATGTGTGGGGCTTACCACTCACTGCCTGCTACTCCCCATACCCTGCATGAATTCTTCCGTGCAACAGAGGCAGCAATACTCATCTCTAGAACATCAACATAGTGGCCTGAGAACTGTTCCCATCCCCCAACACCCATAGGGGCTGCTGCTTGCCCTGCACATGGAGACTTAGAGCATGAAGCAGCCTGTCCCAGCCCCCACCTGGCTTTGCCCTGCCACCTGCTCTGGTAGTTTAACACAAAGGACAGAAACTCTTGAGAGCTAAGTGGCACCAATCATTGCCTGAAAAACCAGAGTACCCTCATTGGGCAACATAAGGCAAGCTAAAATCCCACTGTTACCACTGCAGCTGGTGCTCCTTTGCAAGTGCTACCTCCTGGCTGGAGACCAAGCAACACAGTTCATTACAACATTTTCTGGTAGAATATTATTGTGCCCAGGTAGGAGAAAACAGCTACATGATCTCAGCTATCACCACTGACTGCACCACTCTGGCTTACAAGGAGGCCCCGAGTCTGTTCACATAACCAGTTCATTACTACTATAACCGGCATTGGAGAAAGCCAACACACTAAGGCTATCAATAACCAAGGAATCTCACAGAGTTTATGTCACTCCCTTAACATCTCCATTAGAGCCAGTGCTGTTGCCCACTTCTGGGACACTTGAGGACAGGTTACATCACCACATTCCTTGCAGAAATGCCTAAGCACTAGCCTGGAGTGTGACAACTTCACTAGGTGGCCAGACTCAGAGGGGCAACAACACTCATTGTAGTGTGGCTCCCAAGGATTCCCACTCCCAGAGATGGGGGGAGTGTATCACATCAAGGGGACACCCCATAGGATAAAAGAATCTGGATGGGAGGCCTTGAGAACCAGATATTTTTTGCTGGTGAGAAGTTTCTTTCAGCAAGACACTGTTACAGTGATGGGCTCAACGGGGAACGTCTGCAGCTCTATCTCAACCATGAGACAGTCCTGGTGCAAATGAAGGGTCTTGAGAAAAGAACATCTTTCCATCTTTGTCCACCACCCCAGGCACAATTAGGACTTCTCCCATGGGAGCTCTGCATAGGTGCAACTATAGACAGCCTTTCTGGAACATATCAGGGTGACTGCATCTCCACAGAAAGAGCACCCTCCAGGTTCAGGCTTTCACGAAAGACAAACTCACAATTCCTCTCTGCTAGGAACATCAACATCTCTACAGATAAAAAGAGGTACCTGTCTGATTTGAATACTTGGAGCACTGGGACAAGAATTTGTTTAAGAAGAAGATAACTATCCTGCTGATCTGGCAGAAGAACTGAGGTGGCTCCAAACTTTCCCCCTGATAAGACATCAGCGTCGTGACTCACTGAGAACTTCTCTAGCCACCTCTGCCAAGGCTTGGACTTCTGCCCACCATTGGGTATTGTATTTACCCACCTGCTTTAGACACAATCAGCTCCCACCCAGGGACACTTCTTGTACTGGCTTGACATTTGAACCTTCAAGCCAGTGAATAAAATACCAGGGAAAAATAAATAAATAAATAAGTATATCCCACAGGTGAATAAGATAAGCCTCAAGATACGTCTACTATTGCATCCCTGTAGGAGATAGTGAACATTCTCATACACCGAATACATTGCTACTACAATCAGCATATGAGAAAGCCATCATACAAAAACTCTCTATAACCAAGGAACTCTTGCAGAGTCTCCACCTCTGAAAACACCAAGAACCATATTAGACTATAATTAACTATAAACATTAGAGTCACATCCTTAGGGGAAAAATAAATTACAAACCAAACAAACAAACAAACAAAATACAGTAAAATCAAACATACATTCAAGAATAATTAGAAGAAATAGTCTAACAAAAACAGAAGGAACAAGAAAACTAATCCTGGCAATAGGACAAAACAGGGTTTTTTTTTTGGCTTTAATATGTAGGTACTTTTTTTAAATTTTATTATTATTATACTTTAAGTTTTAGGGTACATGTGCACAATGTGCAGGTTAGTTACATATGTATAAATGTGCCATGCTGGTGTGCTGCACCCATTAACTCATCATTTAGCATTAGGTATATCTCCTAAAGCTGTCCCTCCCCCCTCACCCCCCCCACCCCACAACATTCCCCAGAGTGTGATGTTCCCCTTCCTGTGTCCATGTGTTGTCATTGTTCAATTCCCACCTATGAGTGAGAATATGCAGTGTTTGGTTTTTTGTTCTTGCGATAGTTTACTGAGAATGATGATTTCCAATTTCATCCATGTCCCTACAAAGGACATGAACTCATCATTTTTTATGGCTGTATAGAATTTCATGGTGTATATGTGCCACATTTTCTTAATCCAGTCTATCATTGTTGGACATTTAGGTTGGTTCCAAATCTTTGCTATTGTGAATAATGCCGCAATAAACATATGTGTGCATGTGTCTTTATAGCAGCATGATTTGTAGTCCTTTGGGTATATACCCAGTAATGGGATGGCTGGGTCAAATGGTATTTCTAGTTCTAGATCCCTGAGGAATCGCCACACTGACTTCCACAATGGTTGAACTAGTTTACAGTCCCACCAACAGTGTAAAAGTGTTCCTATTTCTCCACATCCTCTCCAGCACCTGTTGTTTCCTGACTTTTGAATGATCGCCATTCTAACAAGGAGAATTACAAAACACTGCTCAATGAAATAAAAGAGGATACAAACAAATGGAAGAACATTCCATGCTCATGGGTAGGAAGAATCAATATCATGAAAATGGCCATACTGCCCAAGGTAATTTATAGATTCAATGCCATCCCCATCAAGCTACCAATGACTTTCTTCACAGAATTGGAAAAAACTACTTTAAAGTTCATATGGAACCAAAAAAGAGCCCGCATCGCCAAGTCAATCCTAAGCCAAAAGAACAAAGCTGGAGGCATCACACTACCTGACTTCAAACTATACTACAAGGCTACAGTAACCAAAACAGCATGGTACTGGTACAAAAACAGAGATATAGATCAATGGAACAGAACAGAGCCCTCAGAAATAACGCTGCATGTCTACAACTATCTGATCTTTGACAAACCTGAGAAAAACAAGCAATGGGGAAAGGATTCCCTATTTAATAAATGGTACTGGGAAAACTGGCTAGCCATATCTAGAAAGCTGAAATTGGATCCCTTCCTTACACCTTATACAAAAATTAATTCAAGATGGATTAAAGACTTAAACGTTAGACCTAAAACCATAAAACCTCTAGAAGAAAACCTAGGCATTACCATTCAGGACATAGGCATGGGCAAGGACTTCATGTCTAAAACACCAAAAGCAATGGCCACAAAAGACAAAATTGACAAATGGGATCTAATGAAACTAAAGGGCTTCTGCACAGCAAAAGAAGCTACCATCAGAGTGAACAGGCAACCTACAAAATGGGAGAAAATTTTCTCAACCTACTCATCTGACAAAGGGCTAATATCCAGAATCTACAATGAACTCAAACACATTTACAAGAAAAAAACAAACAACCCCATCGAAAAGTGGGCGAAGGACATGAACAGACACTTCTCAAAAGAAGACATTTATGCAGCCAAAAAACACATGAAAAAATGCTCACCATCACTGGCCATCAGAGAAATGCAAATCAAAACCACAATGAGATACTATCAAAACAGGGTTCTATAACTCCCCCAAAAGATCACACTAGCTCTCCAGCAATGAATCCAAACCAAGATATAATTTTTGAAATATCAAATAAGGAATTCAAAGGGTCAATTATTAAGCTACTCAAGGAGATATCAGAGAAAGGTGAAAAACATCTTAAAGAAATTGAAAACAGAATTCAGGATATGAATAAAAAATTTTCTAGAGAGATAGATATCAAAAAGAAAAAACAATCAGAACTTCTGGAAATAAAAGACTGACTCAGGAAATTACCAAATTTAGTGGAAAGTTCTAACAATACACTATAATAAGTAGAAGAAAGAATTTCCGACTTAGAAGATAAGGCCTTTTAATCAACCAATCATACAAAAATTAAAAAAAAGAATCAAAAGAAATGAACAAAGTCTGCAAAAATCATGGGATTATGTAAAACTGCCAAATCTAAGAATAATTGGTGTTCCTCAGGTGGAAGATAAAACAATAAGTCTGGAAAACTTATTTCAGGGAATAATTGAGGAAAACTTTTCTGGCCTGGCTATAGATCTAGATACCCAAATCTAATGAGCTCAAAGAACTCCTGGGAAGTGCAGTGCAAAAAGAACTTCACTGAGCTTTACAGTCATCAAGCTACCTAAAGTCAACATGAAAGAAAAAATTCCAAGAGTACTAAGAAAAAAGCACCAAGTAACCCAAAATTAAAGCCTATCAGGCTAACAGCAGACTTCTCAGCAGAAATCTTTCAAGCCAGAAGAGATTGGATCCTATCATCAACCTTACCGAACAGAACAACTGTCAGCCAATAATTTTGATTCTTTCAAAACTAAGTTTCATAAATGGAAGACAAATAAAGTCATTTTCAGACAAAGAAATACTTAGGGAATTTGTCTCTACAAAACTAGCACTACAAAAAATGTAAAAAGTAATCCTAAACCTTGAAATACTTAATATGCACCAAAATAGAACCTCCATAAACTTAAAACTCACAGGCCTGTAAAACAATAACACAATTTTAAAAAGCAAACTATCTAGGTAACAATTAACATAATGAAGAGAAAAGTACCTCACATCTCAGTGTTAGCATTGAACAGGAATGACCTAAATGCTCCACTTAAAAGATACATAATGGTGGAATGGATAAAAAATTACAAACCAATTATCTGCTGTCCTCAAGATACTCACCTAACATGGAAGGATTCATATAAACTCAAGGTAAATGGGTGGAAAAGGATATTTCATGCAAATGGAAAGAAAAGCAGACAGAATTAGCTATTCTTATATAAGAGAAAACAAGACTTCAAAGCCACGATACTAAAAAAATACAAAGATGGTCACTATATAACAATAAAATGATCAATACAACAAGAAGATATTACAATTCTAAATTTATATGCACCTAATGCTGCACTCCCAGATTCATAAAGCATTTATTACTAGATGTAAGAAATGAAATAGACAGCAACACAATAATAGTGGGAGACTTCAATACACCACTGACAGCACCAGATAGATCATTGAGATGGAAAACATATTAGAAAGTTATCACACTATAAATAAACACATACCTGATACTGGGTAATTTATAAAGAAAAGAGGTTTGATTTACTCACAGTTCAGCATGGCTGGCGAGGCCTCAGGAAATGTGTAATCATGTTAGAAGAGGAAGCAAAAATCTTCTTCTTCACCTGGAGGCAGGAAGGAGAAGTGTCATGCAAAATGGGGAAAAGCCTCTTATAAAACCATCAGATCTTTGAAAACTCACTCACTATCATGAGAATGGCAGCATGGGGTAACCATCCCCATGATTCAATTACCTCGCACCGGGTCCCTCCCATTACATGTGGGAATAATGAGAACTACAAGATGAGATTTGGTTGGAGAGACAGTCAAAACATATAAGAAGTCAACAACAACAACAACAACAACAACAAAATAGACTTAAATGAGACACTAAAACAAATGGACTTAATAGATATTTACAAAACATTCTATCCAAGGACTGCAGAATATACTTTCTTCTCATCAGCACATGGAACATTCTCCAAGATAGATCATATGATAGGCCAAAAAACAAGTCTCAATAAATTCTAAAAAAATAAAAATCATATCAAGTATCTTCTCAGACTTCAGCAGAATAAAACTAGAAATCAACTCCAAAAGGAACCGTCAAAACTATGCAATTACATGGAAATTAAATAATCTGTTCTTGAATGATATCTGGGTTAACAATGAAATTAATATGGAAATTAAAAAATTATTCAAAGTGAATAATAATAATGACAAAAGTTATCAAAACCTCTAGGATAAAGCAAAAGCACTCCTAAAAGAAACGTTTATAGCACTAAATGCCTACATGAAAATGTCTGAAGCAGTACAAATTGACAACCTAACGTGACACCTCAAGGAATGAGAGAAACAAGAACAAACTAAACCCAAAGATAGAAGGAAATAAGTAACAAGTTTGGAGCAAAACTAAATAAAATTCAAACAAAAAATATAAAAGATCAATAAAATAATAAGCTGGTTATTTGAAAAAATAAACAAAATAGGTGAACCATTAGCTAGATTTACTAAGAAGATAGAAGATCCAAATAAGCTGAATTAGAAATGAAATGAGAGACATTACAAACAACACCACGGAAATGCAAAAGATCATTTGAGACTCCTATGCACACCTTTATGCACACAAACTAGAAAAACTAGAGAAAACTGATAAATTCCTGGAAACATACAACCTCGTATATCAATTCAGGAAGAAATAGAAACCCTGCACAGACCAATAACAAGCAATGAATTTGAATCAGTAATTAAAACACTGCCAACAACAACACAAAAATGCCCAGTATCAGGTGGATTCACAGCTCTGAATTCTAACAGATACTCAAAGAATAATTGGTACCAATTCTTCTGAAACTGTTCCAAAAAATTGAGAAAGAGGAAATCTTCCCTAATTCATTCTGTGAAGCCAGAGTCACCCTGACACCAAAACCGGGAAAGGGCACAACAAAATAAGAAAACTACAGACCAATATCCCTGATGAACACAGATGCAAAAATCCTCAACAATATACTATTTAACTGAATTCAACAGTACGTTAAATAGATAATACATCATGATCAAGTGAGTTTCATCCTAGGGATACAGGGATAGCTTAACATATACAAGTCAATAAATGTGATACATCACATAAGCATAGTTAAAAACAAAAACCATATGAGCATCCCAATAGACACAGAAAAAGCATTTGATAAAATCCAGCATTCTTTTATGATTAAAAATCCTCAACAAAATAGGAATAGAAGGGACTTTCCTCGAAGTAATAAAAGCCATATATAACAAACCCACAGTAAACATCATACTTCATGGGGAAAAGTTGAAAGCAGTCCTCCTGACAATAGGAACCAAGCAAGGATGCCCACTTTCATTACTCCTATTTAACATAATTCTGGAAGTCCTATTCAGAGCAATTAGGCAAGGGAAAGAAATAAAGGACATCCAAATTGGAAAAGAAGAAGTCAAACTATCACTGTTTGCAGATGATAAGATTGTATAACTAGAAAATCCTAAAGACTCCTCCAGGAGACTCCTAGATTTGACAAATGAATACAAAAAGTATCAAGTTACAAAATCAATGTACCCAAATTAGTTGCATTGCTGTACGCCAAGAATGACCAAGCTGAGAATCAAATCAAGAAGTCAATTTCTTGATTTGAAAGCTGAAAAATAAATAAAATAAAATAAAAATAAAATATTTAGAAATATACTTAGTCAAGGAAGTGAAAGATCTCTACTAGGAAAACTACAAAACACTGCTGAAAGACATCATAAATGACACAAACAAATGGAAATGCTTCTCATGCTCATGAGTAGGAAGAATCAATATTGTAAAAATGACCATACTGTCCAAAGAAATCTACAGATTCAATGCAATTCCCATCAAAATACCAACATCATTTTTCATAGAATTAGAAAAAAAATCCTCAAATTCATATGGAACCAAAAAAAGAGCCCAAATAGTCAAAGCAACCCTAAGCCAGAAGAACAAATCTGGAGGCATAATATTACTGGACTTCAAAATTATACTACAAGGCTGTAGTTACCAAAGCAGCATAATACTGTTATAGAAATAGACCAATAGACCAATGGAACAGAATAGAGAACCCAGAAATAAAGACAAATACATACAACCAACTGATCTTTGACAAAGCATACCAAAGCATAAATTGGGAAATGGACACCCTATTTAATAAATGGTGCTGGGAAAACTGGCAACTTACATGTAGAATAAAATTGGATCCCTATATCTCACTTTATATTAAAATCAACTCAAGATGGATCAAAGACTTAAATCTAAGGCCCGAGACTATAAAAACCCTATAATGTTCGAAAAAACTCTTCTATTAATTGGCCCAGGCAAAGAATTCATAATTGAGACCCCAAAAGCAAATGAAACAAAACCAAAAATAAATAAATGGGTCTTAATTAAACCAAAACGCTTCTGCACAGCAAAAGAAATAATCATCAGAGTAAACAAACAACGCACAGAATAGGAGAAAATATTTGCAAATTATGCATTCCACCAAAGACTAGTATCCAGAATCTACAAGGAACACAAATGAATCAGTAACAAAAGAAACAAATAATCCCATCAAAAAGTGGGCAAAAGACATGAATAAACATTTTTCAAAAGAAGATGTACAAATGGCCAACAAACATATGTAAAAAGGCTCAACATCAGTAATCATCAGGGAGATGCAAATTAAAACCACAATGAGTTACCACCTTACTCCTGCAAGGATGGCCAATATTAAAAAGTAAAAAAACAATAGATGTTGGCATGGATGTGGGGAAAAGGGAATGCTTATAAACTGCTGCTGGGTAAATTAGTACAACCTCTATGGAAAACAGTATGGGGATTCCTTAAAGAGCTAAAAGTAGATCTACCATTCAATCCAGCAATCTCACTACTGGGTATCTACCCAAAGGAAAAGTCATTATATGAAAAAGACACTTATGCAGTTATGTTTATAGCAGCACAGTTCACAATTGCAAAGATGTGGAGCCAACCTAAGTGCCCATCAACTAATGAATTGATAAAAAAATGTATATATACACCATGGAATACTATTTAGCAATAAAAAGGGATAAAATCATGTCTTTTACAGCAACTTGGATGGAGCTAGAGGCCATTATTCTAAGTGAAGTAACACAGGAGTGAAAAACCAAAAACCGTATGTCCTCATGTGTAAGTGGGAGCTAACTTACGAGTATGTAAAGGCATACACAGTGATATTATTGATTATGGAGACCCAGAAGGAGGAGAGTGGGCGGGGGGCTAAGGAAAAAGTCTACACATTAGGTACAATATACACTACTGAAGTGAAGGGTGCACTAAAATCTCAGAATTTACCACTATATAATTTATCCATGTAACAACAACAACAAAAAAACCCACTTGTACTCGAAAAGCTATTGAAATAAAAATTAGAAAAGAATAAAAACATCCCTTCTTCACATTGCACTTTTCAAAATAAGAGAGAGAACAAACTATGGGTCAAGTTTTGAGATGCTAATTTGAAGTCATTAGACGTTACTACCTTTGTGTTCATTTAGGATACATTGGTAAATGTGTTGTCTGAGGAATTTTATTCTTCTTTTGATTTGGTACCTAATTGGTCACTGTAATAAGCAATTCTAACTCACCTACCATGTTATACTTGCCTATACATCCCTTATACTGTTCTTTTAGTGTAATAGGTTTTCCCATCATTAGTAATGCCCCTTGCTCCTAATTTACTTGTGGAAAATCATGCTTTGCTGGGGATGCAAGGAGCTCCGCTATTTCATCATCTCTTCAGCCTTACAATGTCCAGCCAGCATGGATGGCTCATTAAGCTATGTAGCAAAAATAATTTTTTTGTGCTGCTCAAGAGGTAGGTAGGACATACAAGTATAAATTTTTCCTGTTATTTCATTTTTCTTCTGATCTTTATAGGGTTTTTATCCAGTATGCGTTAGAAGGAAGTATTTCAATAAAAATCCATTTCAAAAGAATTTTTGAAAAAGTTACTGTTGACTAGTTACTTCATTAGTGAACTCTGTTTAGCCTCCTCATGTTCCAAGTGATACATAGCATTTTGGGTTTCAGAGTTACTCACCAAAATATTTTGATAGATTTTCTTTTTAAGGCAAGAGATTTTTAGAGTAAATTAACAGGCTGTGTTAGTGAAAAGACTGGAGGTACTGGTCCCAGTTTTTGATCTTTGAACACACAGAATCTGGCAGTAGAGCATGGAAGTGGTCAGTAACAATTTACAAATCGCTTTCATATTGGATTTGATCTTACAGAAACGTTGTTGAGGTAGGTATTAGTTTATACCCATTCTGAAAATGATAGGAACTAAGACATAGCACAAGACAAATGGCTTCCCAAAGGTCAACCACTGTGTAGCATAGGACCAGAATTTGACCTTCAGTTTTTTTGAACCAAAAATCTTGTTCTTTCTACTATCTTTCTGCCCCTCTCAAAAGTTTTCATCTGAGATTTCATTGTTACATTTGTCTAATTCTAGTCAATTGGGTAGCAATTTTGGGATTCAAGAACTGAGAGTTTCAAAATTTCACTGTTAATGTAACTGAATTCCTCATTTACCTATGAAGAGATTAAAAAAATGGAATTTGGTGGACTTGGTTAAGGATAAAATGAAATATCTATAACATCTTGATATAAGACAATTTATTAATATCTTCTCCTGAATTCCCTTATGCCCTCAGATTGTAAAGGATTAAATATCCATATACAAGTGGACACTGAATATAAAATGCAGCAGAATAGAGAAAACTGTTTTCACATTGTTACGAACACCTTTAAGTACTTTGACCTCAATTCTACCCACACTCATGCACATAAATACCACCACTCTGTTAAATACAAAACTTATTTCAATAATACCAGTGTACCTAATGCAATAATAGCATAAAATTACAGTACCAAAAAAAGAAAAAGAGAGTTCCTGAATGAGAGTCAGTGTTTAAAGGTAAAAATTAAACCAAGGTATTCAACTGAATTTCATTTGCTAAAGGCAATATTAGGGTGAGTTGCATACCTAGTTTTGCTGTAAAACATTCACTCAGACCCTAAATCAATAGTAGTTACTAGTATCTAAATTCTTCTTATCTGCCTCATAGTATATTAGCTCCACAACTGACCATATATTGAAATGAATGACAGAAAAATGCAAATAAATATTTAAATATTTAAAGTATTTGAAAATAACCATAGCATCTATCATGACTGCTCTAAATATGTTTGCTTTCAATCTAGTATTTCCAAAGAAGTTTACAGTTCTCACTTTATGACATGGCCACAATATTTACATTTGTAGCCATTTCTATTCATAGTTAAGTGCAAAAGTGCACATTTCAAAGAATAGAAGCATGGCTTAGAAGTAGTCTAGTTTGTGATGATTTTATTATCATAAAAATCAATCAGTATTTCTAACAGATTAATGATATTCACAAATCTTTTGACACTATTCCCATTGTGAAGTAGGAGTCTATGCCCTTTCCCCTTGAGTTTTGTGGGTTGTGTGATTACTTTGACAAATAAAATAATGGCAGAACCGACCCAGTGTCAGTTTCCATGCTCAGGTTTTAAGAGACTAACAGCTTTTATTTTTATCTCTTGGAACACTCTCTCAGATGCCTGAGCCATCATATAAGAAGTCTTACTACAATGTTGGAGAAAATGTAGAGAGACTCTGATATTAAATTGAGAGAGAAAAGAGCCCACCTAAGTCCAGCTTTCCCTACCAATGTGCCCAGCCTGTAGTCGAAGAAATTTTGGACCTCCCAGACAAATGAGCCAGCAGCTGAATATTGCAGAATGACCTAAGTCACATCATGAGAAGAAATATTGTTTAGTCAGACATGCCATGCCTGAATTTTTGACACACAAAAATCTAAGATATATTAACAGGTCTGTTGTTTTAAGCCACCAAATTTTGAGAGAGTTGACACACAGCAGTGCGTAACCATAATTCAGTAACTATCACGTATTCCCAGCATTTGACTGCTTTGCTCTCTCCATAAAACTTCAGGCGACAATTTAACGAAATATATTTTCCAAAATTTACTATTTGGGGATTTGAAATTTTTAAAAATTAAAATATGTTTGTAATCCATAGTTTCTGTGGAAACAGGATATTCAGTGTTCCAGTGTTGGACAACAATGACTGTACTGGGGACAAAATGCTTTCTAAATGAGACATATGTGGTCTAAAAACATCACAGGAAAATCCTAAGGTAGAAATTAAAGTTAAAATGACATCTCTTTAATTATTTATAGTTGTTTAGGTGAAATAATGTTATGACTTGTGGCTGAAATTACCATTGCCAGTATCACGTAGTAATTTCCATTCATGCCAAATGGCAACGGACTTCTACTTAAATAAGTATACTTGTGTTCGTTGGAAAATTTACTACACCATTTTATGAACTAGCCAGGAAGTTGTCAGGAAATATCAGAGATAAGAGTTAATGTTTGCAAAGGAAAAAAGAAAACATAACAGCAACCATATAACACTATTTCTGAAAATAAGAAAGGGTTCATTTTTGCAGAAATGATATTATGAAACTATAAATCACTCGCTGTATTAAAAGGATGTAGGTTTTGAGAACGCACAAATGTCATATAATGTGCCTAGTTTCTTCATATATAAAATTAAGTCTTCATTAAGCACACATTTTAGAACACAAGACTTTTCACAGGAAGCCTAAAAGCCATTAAAATGCATACCATTATCTTGAAGAAGGTGATAAGTGTTCAAAAATATATATATACTAAAATAAAGTCACTTTGCTTCTCTTTTAGAGGTGATATTTAATTTTAAATTTCACATGACATTAAAAGAGCATGAGATTTGATGTTTACTAAATGGAAATTGCATTTAAAAAATGTTGAATCATTGCTGTAGAAAGTTTTCTAGGATAAGATAGTAGAAATTACTGCAAAATACTTTGAAAATTGTTAACACTGAGTGGGCTTGTAGAGTTAATGCCCTTCCACATGGTGATTTGATTATAAGCCAAAGGCATCCCTTCTCCAGTGTGGTGAGGTGGAAAGAGTTCTGAACTTAGAATTAGTAGATCTGACATCTAGTCTTTGATCTGCAACTAACAAGCCCTTAGACCACAGGCAAGTGACTTTTTCTCCCTGGCCTTTGTTTCTTCAGTTTTGAAAAGGAGCATTTTCATAAGATTTCTAAGGTCCCTTCCAGCTATAATATTCTATGACCGTATCTTCCTCACTGAGTCTACTAAAATTTCTATATTATTTACTTCCTTGGGTTAAAAAACTGAGTGCTCTTTTTAAAGGCAAATATTGTCTGAGAAATGTCCCACATTAAGTCATTTTTAGCCATTAAAACCTCAGCTTGATTCAGTTAATTAGATTACCTAACAGGGACCTGAGGAAATAGAACTAAAATAAGGAAAGTTTGATACAAAGGGAAAAGGCAGAAAAATGATGGCACAGTGTACCAAAAAGTGAAAAGTTAGTACATTAGATATTGGGCATTAACCTAGTCAACTTCAATAATTGCCTGGGAGAATGTTTAGTAATATTTTCATGGGTGCCATACAATAATATTATGCACATACTCTAATTGGGGCGCTATGAAATATAAAAGAGGTGCTACTTTTGGCAACTTAGGCTTCAAATATTTTATCCTGGATCTGCTGTCTCAAATATAGCAAGTGGCCGGCCATTATTTTGTGATGAGAGAAAATGATTACATGGAAGAAAAAAATGCTGGTGCCTTGCTCCATACAAAGGGAACTATAACAACTCATTTTGTAACTACGACACAATAAACAAAGCCCATCCAGGGTGCAACAGATTTCTGCTTCTATGGAACTATGTGAGGGTTTTCACCAGCCTTAAATTACATCTGCATTCAATAATAAAAAAGAAAGCATAAGAGTCCTCTCTCTCCTGTTTAAGACTTTTCAAAATACACAAAACTTACACTTTTGTCTAACTGACCAGATGTTAGTCACATGACCACAAATAGCTGCAAAAGATTCTAGAAACAAAATGTTTCATCCTGACTGTCATTGTGTTCTATTAAAATTGGGATTCTCTTATTCTGGATAAAGGGAAATATGTTATTGGAGGGCAGTGGCAGTCTCAGCCACATAAGACCCTATCAGTGTCAGAGACCTCCACACACATACATGTATCTCACTAATTTTGCTTATGAATAGTAAGTCTGCAGGTGAGATAAAAATTCAGTTCCTCAGGAGAAGCCTTAAATAAGAAATTATTAAGTACTTCAACACCTCATTTTGAAGGACATATTTATCATCTAACAAAGATGAGGAAATTACGATCTCAGGGTATATTAGTTTTGAAGGCTAGCCTATACCATTGTTTTACAAATAATATAAAATTTTACAGAAATCCTTTAAAGTGTATAACTAAAAGTTATTAATATCTTCTCTGTATATAAAAATGTTCATTGGCTCCAAAGTAGATTTTTAAAAATTAATTTAATTTATTCTTTAGGATTTTTCCACCTCTTACATATGGACTAGTCTACACTGATACTCAACTTTGTGACGTGGTACTACCATAATTATTTAAATACACAATACAATAATATACAATATATAAAAGTACACTTTCTGTCTTGGATTGCACATAATTATGACTTTGAAGCACCAGAAAACATTCAAATGAGAAAATTACTGATTAGGTATATCTTTCACTATAATGACCCTTACAGAGAGCATTCTGTATTAATTTCTGCCAAAATTTCAGGAAACAAGTTGCTTTTCAAGTAATTAGGTAGTAACAAAGATAAAAAAAATTTTTCAAACTAACCTTCTTCTAAAACTTTTTATAACTTTGCCAAGAGTGTCTATAAATTTCAAGACCAAAAACATAATTTATAAAGGGACACATTCTTTTTGCATCTTACTTGAAAAACCGGGTTTTACATGCCTTTGCTACCTATTGAAGAAATGTCAAAGAGAAACATATCTCTTTTATAAAATGAAGTTTCAGAGGGTAACCAGGTATATTTTATTTTAAGTTGCTGATTTGTTTATATATTCTGTTAGCTTAATGAAGAAAGTGCATGTAAATAATGTAGAGCCAAGGGGATATGGTATTGTATTTTTTTTAAAAGAAAAAAAAGAAGAAGCATTCTAAGACCAAAAAATCATGGGCCACTGGAACCAACCAAAAAGCTTACTGTTGTGCTGCAATCAGAAGTGACTCATTTTGAACAAAGGCTTCACAAAATATGTGAGGCAAACAGAGGCTGAGCCACAAGCAGTGACAAGCCTGAAAATAGTAGGTATATCTGTAAAATGAAACCAGATGACAAATGGTGTCAGAACAGCAGAATATTATTGTAGGTTACCCACATGATGCCATTTCAGGGACACTAGACAAACATATTCCCTACTGGCCCAGACATGCAGGCTAAAAGTCTCAGATCAGCCAAACATACTATGAATTACAAGAGTGGAGTAATGTAATAGCCTACTGTTAGTCATTAATGCCAAAACTCAAATTTATTTCTTGTCCTAACACTCTTCATCGCACTGGATAGTTAAGGTTGATGTTAAGAAGGTAGTTAGGATATGTCTGAAGCAAAGCAGGACTGGCAGAGTTAGGTTGGTAACAGGGCTACCTAGGAGGATTGACAGGAGGCAGATCACAGAAACCTTCACTAAGTAGCAGGAAATAGGACTTTGGCGAGATACCAGGACACCTAGTAACAAGTAAATAAAATAAGCCTCAATCTCAAAAGTTATGTTTTCATTATGTTTACACAATAAACATTGTATTTATACACATAAAATAGGTAATAGTTTAGCTTAATCAGGGATATGAAAAAATCTATAAAATGTCTACTAATAAGAATGCTAACCTATACTACAGAATTGGAATCCTTTAACTGTCAGTCTTCATACCAATCAATATGCATTTATCAAATTCCTACCATTGGGTTAGCAGGCACTGGCTATCTAAAAATAAAGAAGGTAGTTTCTTAATTTTTGAAGTTCAGAAAGTAGGTCCTTATAGACAAAGAATTCCCATGAAGCTGAGAAATAATATTATCAAACTACTGCTGCATCAATTTTCCATATTTAAAAGTCATTTTCAAATTTGAATTTCAATTTATTTTCTACAAGAGATCATAAAGTCACTGCCACTTGGCAGCGCATAAAATACTTGAAGCATCGTGGTGAAATTCTTCATTGCTCAAAGCTTGGTTCTTTGTACACAGTGAGTTGTACTTTGTGAAATAGTAAGTCTTTAGTCAGCAAACATGTCCTTGCTTATACAGCTCTGGGTATACTGCCAGGACTCTGCAAATAACAAAATTACAATAATTAAACAGTTATTCATGAATGAAAACACTTAACCCAAGAGTGTTCCAGTAGAAAGGGCAGGAAGAGCTAATATATTAGTCAGCAACACACACACACCAGATGGAAGAATGAGTTTTTAAAATGTAATTTGAAACAAAGGATAAAGGGACAGTCTGAGAGACCCAAATTCCTAAATCCAGTGTTTTGGGGCAGGAGCCAATGAGTAAAAGAGAATTTTATGCATGCAGATATTTAATTAAGGTCCCAGTAATATTGTAGACTAAGTGCTCTTTCATTTGCCTTTATCTTAGGAACCCAGAGAACTAAGAAATCAGTGAAGTGTGTGGTTGATAGTACCTAATCTAACAGCTTACCATGAAAGAAACCAAAGTTCACATTCAATAGATAAATATTTAGCTATTTTTATTGTAATGTTTTCCCTGCTCCTTTCAGAAATTGTTGAATACAGAAAAGAATAAGGACAGAATCACTAGATCTCACCGAAAAACAAGGTTCACAAAATGTTAGTGGATTTTTTCTAGTATTTAAAGACACACACACGGAATCATACTGTAAACACTTTTTTTAATTTGTATAAATACATAGTAAGTGATTATATTTGTGGGGTACATGAGATGTTATGATACAAGCATGCAATGGACAATGGACATAATCACATCATGGAGAATGGGGTATCCATTGTCTCAAGTGTTTATCCTTTGTGTTAAAAACAATCCAATTACACATTTTTACTTATTTTAAAAAATACAATTAAGTTGTTATTGACAATATTCATCCTGTTGTTCTCAAACGGTATGCCTAATTTATTCTTTCGATTTATTGTACATATTAACTATCCCCACCACCTCCTCAGCTCCCAACCAAGCTTCCTAGCCTCTGCTAAACATCCTTCTACTATCTCCATGAGTTCAATTGTTTTGATTTTCAGATCCCACAAATAAGAGAGGACATGTGATCTGTGTCTTCCTGGGCCTGCTTATTTCACTTAACATAATGATCTCCAGTTTCATCCATGTTGTTGCAAATGATAGGATTTCTTTCTCATTATGGCTGAATAGTACTTTATTGTGTATATATACCACATTTTCTTTATCCATTCATCTGTTGAGGGACACTTAGGTTGCTTCCAAATCTTAGCTAATGTAAACAGTGCTGCAACAAACAAGGGATTGAAGACATCTATTTGATGTACTGATTTCCTCTCTTTTGGGCATATACACAGGATTAGGATTGCTGAATCATATATATGGTAGCTTAATTTTACTTTTTTGAGGAACCTTCAAACTTTTCTCTAATTATTGTACTAATTTAGATTACCACCCACAGTGTACCAGATTTCCTTTTTCTCCACATCCTCACCAGCATTTGTTATTGCCTATATTTTGGATAGAAGCCATTTTAACTGGGGTGAGATGATATTTCATTATAGTTTTGATTTGTATTTCTCTGATGATCCATGATGTTGGACACCTTTTCATATGCCTGTTTCTCATTTGTATGTCTTCTTTTGAGAAATGTCTATTCAAATCTCTTGCCCATTATTTGAATTATCTGATTCCTTTCATTCCTATAGAGTTGTTTGAGCTCCTTTTATATTCTGGTTATTAATTTATTGTCAGCTGGGTAATTTGCAAATATTTTCTCCCATTGTATGCGTTCTGTGTTCCCTTTCTTGTTTTTATCTTTTGCTGAGCAGAAGATTTTCAATTTGTCCATTTTTACTCTTGTTGCCTGTGCTTATAGAGAATTGCTTAAGAAATTTTTGCCCAGACCAATGCCTGGGAGATTTTCCCTAATGTTTTCTGGTAGTAGTTTCATGGTTTGGGGTCTTAGATTTAAGTCTTTAATCCATTTAATTCGAATTTTGTATATGGCAATAAATAGTGGTCTGGTTTTAGTATTCTGGAAATCCAGAAGAAAACTGGATATCCAGTTTTCCCAGCACTATTTATTAGGAAGACTGTCTTTTTCCCAGAGTATGTTAGTGGCCCCTTTGTCAAAAATGCATTCATTGTAGGTGTATGAATTTGTTTTTGAGTCCTCCATTCTGTTCCATTGGTCTATGTGTCTGCTTTTATGCCAATATCAGACTGCTTTGGTTACTATAGCTCTGTAGTATAATTTGAAGTCAGGTAATGTGATTCCTCCAGTTTTGTTTTTTTGGCTTATAAGAGCCTTGGCTAAGTGGGGTCTTCTATAGTTCCATATAAATTTTAGAATTGTTTTTCCTATTTCTCTGCAGAATATCATTTGTATTTTGATAGGGATTGCATTGAATCTGTAGATTACTTTGGGTAGTATGGCATTTTAACAGTATTGATTCTTCCAATTCATGAACATGGAGTATCTTTCCATTTTTCGGTGTCCTCTTCAATTTCTTCCATCAGTGTTTCATAGTTTTTATTGTAGAGCTCTTTTACTTATTTGGTTAATTGCTAGGTATTTAATTTGATTTGTGGCTATTATTAATGAAATTCCTTTTTTTTTTTTTTTTTTTTTTTTTTTTTTTTTAGCTAGAGTACAACTCTCTTGTCCAGGCAGTGATGCAATTATGGCTCACTGGGGCCTCAATCTCTTCAGTCTAAGGTGATCCTCTTACCTCAGCCTCCCGAGTTGGTGGTACTACAGGCACGTGCCACCATGTGAGCTTAATTTTTGTATATTTTTTGTACAGACGAGGTTTTGCCATGTTGCTCAGGCTGGTCTTGAACACAGTCTCAGGCAATATGCCGGCTTAGGCTGCCAAAGTGTTGAAATTACAATTGTGAGCCACTGTGCCCGCCAGAACTACTTTTTAAATTTTTTTTTCAGATTGTTCACTGTTGGCATATACAAATGCTACTGATTTTGTTTGCTGAATTTATATCCCACAACTTTACTGAATTCGTTTTTCAGTTCTAATAATTTCTTTGTGGAGTCTTTAGGATTGTGCAAATATAAAATCATGTCACCTGCAAATAAGAATAATTTGATTTCTTCCTTTCCCATTTGGATGCCCTTCATTATTATTTTTTTCTTGTCTTGTTTCTCTAGATAGGACTTCCAGTACTATGTTGAATAACAGTGGTGAAAGTGCTTATTTTGTTCCAGGACTTAGAGGAAATATTTTCCACCTTTGCCCATTCAATATAATACTAACTGTGGGTCTGTAATATATGGCTTTTATTATATTGAGGTATGTACTTTCTAGACCCATTTTTTTGAGGGTTGTCATTGTAAAGAGGTGTTTAATTCTTTTTCAACATCAATTGAAATGATCATATGGCTTTTGTCTTTCATTCTGTTGATGTGATGCACCAACAACATTAATTGACTTGTGTAAGTTGGACCATTTTTGCATCCCAGGGATGTATCCCACTTGGTCATAATGAATGATCTTTTAATGTATTGTTGAATTCTGTTTGGCATATTTTTTGAGGATTTTTGCATAAATATTTATCAGATATTGGCCTATAGTTTTCTCTTTTCAATGTGTCTTTGTCTGGCTTTGATATCAGGCTAATACTGGCTTCATATAATAAGTATGGAGGTATTCCTTCCTCCTCTGTTTTTCAGAATAGTTTGAGTATAATTGGAATTCTCTTAAAAATTTTTCATAAAATTCAAGTGAAGTCATCAGGTCCCAGCCTTTTCTTTACTGGGGATCTTTTTATTATGGCTTCAATCGTATTGCTATTGGTCTGTTCAGATTTCAGGTTTCTTTCTAGTTCAATCTTGGTAAGTTTATGTGTTTAGGAACTCGTTCATTTCTTCCAATTTATTGGCATATAGTTGCTCATAGTAACCACTAATGTTCCTTTGCATTTCTGCAGTATCAGTTGTAACTTATTTGTTTTCACCTCTGACTTTATAAATTCATATCTTTTCTTATTTTTCTTAGTTATTCTGGATAAAGTTTTGTCGATTTTGTTACCTTTCCAAAAAACCAACTTTTTGTTTCATTCATCTTTTGTTTTCTTCACTTCCATTTTATTTATTTCTGCTCTGATGTTTATTATTTCTTTTAATAATTTCGTTTTCTTGAATTTTGCTTTTCTAATTTTTAAGATACATCATTAGATTGTTTGTTTGAAGTTTATCTTGTTTATCTCTGGTCTGAGGCACTTAAACCTGGGAGTGGACAGACCCAAGCACCCCTGTGGAAACAACCAGTGCGACTGTGCTGGGTCAGACCTGAGGCCAGCTCAGTGCTATGCCTCGCTCAAGGCCTTCTGTAACCACTCCTTTGATATTACCTATGTTCACTCAGGTTTCTGGGGCTCTACAATCATCAGGTGACATAGGCAGCCAGGCTTGTACTCTTCCCTTCAAAGTAGTGCATTTCCTCTGGTCCTGGTTGATCCAGTTATGCCAACTGGGAGTCAGAGATTAGAGTCAGAAGCCTTGGAAGTCTATCTGGTATTGTAGTGTACTGCAGCTGAGCTTGTACTCAGACCACAAAATGCAGACTTTCCCATTCTTCCTTTATTTTTCCAAATGCAGAGGAGCCTCCTTACCCTGTAGCAATTGCCACCACAGATCACTGGGAGTTCTGCTAGGTTACTGTCGATGCTTTCTTAGGTAAGCATTTGGTGAATGTTTCCTGGCTAGAATCTCACCTTTCAGGGCATTGGGCTCCCCTCTGGATCTAGCAGGTTTAGAAATGCCGTTCAAGTGTCAAGTCCTATAATCAGGAACCTCAAAAGCCTGCTTGGTGCTCTATCCCTTTGTGGCCATGCTGGTACCTAAGGTGCAAGACAAAGTTCCCTTTACTTTTCCCTCTGCTTTTCTCAAGCCAAAGTTTTGACCCATAGCCACCACAGGTGGTAATGTGCTGAGTTTCACCTCGAGCCAGTACATCTCAGATGCTCACCAAGGCCCTCGATGTAGTAACTGGGTATTTCTGATTATTATTCAGGGACCGAAGAGTCTTCAATTATCAGGTAATGAAAGCTGCCAGGACTAGTTCCTACCCTTCAAGGCAATGGGTACCCTTCTGGCCCAGGGTATGTCTAGAAATGTTGTCTTAGAGCTAGGTCCTGGAACAGGGTCCTCATAACTCAGATCAGTGACCTATCCTGCTGCAGTTTAGCTGGTATCCTGGATCCATAATGAAATCTTCCCCACTCTCCCCTCTCCTCTCCTCAAGTGGAAGAAAGGGGACTTTTTTTTATAGCCATGAGCTCCGCACTCTGGGGGTAGATGCCAGCACTCCCTTAGCCACCTTAGCTAGTGTCTCACTAGGTTACTTGCCTCCCCACCCCCAAGTCCACTGTGTTTGGCCCAGTTCAGCCTTAGGTCTCACCTAAGAGTTGTAGTCATTATGACCTTGACTTCATTTCAAATTTATTTAGAGACCCAGATACTTTGGCCCTTAGTGGCAAGGTTTGTACGAATTCGCGTTTGGATTGCTGGGATCAGTGATCCCCCGCTGGCTAGGCTAGGGCTGGTTTAAATGCTCCTTCCATGATTGGGTGTCAGTTGATTTTGGTTCTGTTTTCCTTTCTGTTCTAATGGAACAGAAATGAGTTCAATGCCTCATAATTGCTGAGTTCTCATTTCTCCAGTGTCCAGAGACAATCTCCACACAATACCACTGCTGCTACGGGAGTGGGGGAAAGGTGGCATCAGTGATTCAAGGCTGTTTTTTATATCTTGTCAGTGGGTCTTTCAGCAATACATAGTTAAAAATAGATACTATGAGTGCTCACCTGATTTTTGGTCCTTATGAGGTTGTCTTGTTTGTGTAGACAGTTGTTACATTGTTGTCCATGCAGGGGGAACAATAAGTGGTGCTTTCTAGTCTGCCGTCTTGCTCCACCTCCCTCTCTCTCTGTATACCCATTTTAAAGTTCTTTCTTAGCATTGCAAGCATGGAATTTTTCCATGTCATTAAGAATATTGTGAAAATTATATTTTCATAGGTTTTGAAATAATGAGATATAATTTACTTAAAATGCATTGTACAAATCTTAAGGGTACAGTTTCAATGAGTTTTGACAAGTGCATACACTCATATAGTGAACACCTCATCATGATACAGAATATTTCCATCATCTCAGAAAGTTCCTGCAAGCCCTTTTCTACTCAGTCACCCTCAGGAGAAAACCACTATTGTAATGCATTTTTACCATAGATTAGTTTCATCTGTTATTGAACATCACAAAATTTAATCATTCATTATGTAATCTTTTGTGTCTACCTTTTTGTACTTAACAGAACATCTATGAGATTCATCCATGCTTTTGCATGTATAGTTAATACTTTAATAATATCCAATGATATATATATAACTTTTATATCCATCTCCTTCTAGTTCAATATATATACTATTTTCAATTTATAGTATTTATTACCTGAATAATGTGCTATCATATGGATATGCCTTTATGTTTCCATTTCTCGTGGACATTTACACTATTATCACATTCTGGTTATAAGCAATACTACAATCAGCATATTTATAAATAAACATTTGCTTGAGTACATGCTTATTTCCTAAAAATGTGGTTCTGGTAGAATTTCCCTGTTTGTCAGATATGGATATATTTTAAGACTTTGTTATAGTTTTATCAAATCATCTTCAGATGTTCTTTACAAATTCACAATACTCATAATAATGAAAGTGACTTTATTACTCCCTATACTTGCCTAAAGTGATCATTAACATTATCAATTTTTTCAATTTGCACATCAATGTTCTTTTAATTTTGTCTTCAGTGGATATTAGTAAAAGTGACTATTTTGTTCATATACTGAACATTTATATTTCTTCTTCTATGGCAACTATTAATAACCTTTTTTGCTTTACATTGGAAATTTGGGGTTTTATTAGTGATTTGTAGGTGCTTTAAAAACATAAATAAATTTTTCCTCATTGTTTGCCTTATTTGATACTCATAATATTTTACTAGTTAGATTGTTAGCATTTTAATTGTTTATTTTTATATATACAGGCATACATTTATTATTAATTGTGGCACAATATGCATAACATAAAATTTATCATCTTAACCTTTTTAGTTATACAATTCAGTAGTGTTAAGTACAATCACGTTGTTTTGCAATCAACCTCCAGAGCTCTTTTCATCTTGCAAAACTGAAACTTTATGTCTAATAAACAATAACTCCCTGTTTTCCCTTCCCCACATTCTACCACCATTCTACTTTCTGTCTTTATATTTATAACTACTCTAGGTATCTCATATACATGGTATCATATTGACATTTTTTGACTGCTGTAATTAATTTAGTATAATGTCCTCAACGTTCATACATGTTGTAGCATGTGTCAAAATATCCTTCCTTTTTAAGCTGAAGAATATTCCATTGTATGTATATACCAAATTTTATTTATCCATTTATCCATCAAGGGATACTTGGGTTGCTTTCACGTTTTGGCTATTGTGAATAATACTGCTGTGAACATGGATATACAAATATCTCTTTGAGATCTTGCTTTCAAATCTTTTAGGTATATACCCAGAAGTAGAACTGCTAGCTCATATGGTAAATCTGTGTTTAGTTATATGAAAAAATGCCATATTGTTTTCCATAGTGGCTGCACCATTTTACATTCCTACCAGTAAAGCACAAGGGTTCCAATTTTTTCACACCCTCACCAACACTTACTATTTTCAGTTTTTGTTTGGTTTTGTTTTTTATAGTAGCCACCCTAATAAGGAGGTGGTAACAGGTATATATATATACCTGTTCTATACATATATATATGTGTGTATATATATATATATATATACACACATATATATATACACACATATATACATGTTCATACATATATATATATGTAGAAAATTATATCAGAATTTTCTATTGAGAATTTTTTTATGGCAAAAAAGTTCTTTCACAGCCTGTTACATTTTTTTAGTTTTCATTTACATAGGTTTAATTATTATTCTTCTGGTGTTCCCCAGTCTGATACTTTTCTCTAGATGTTTTTCAGGTTCACTCTTTTATATTTAATTTTTACTCCAAATTAGTTCTAATAAATGAATTCACTAAGACTTTTCTGGAACTCAAACTCTTCACCTACTAACCTGAAGGTCGTAGAGATTTTCACTGAGAACAACTAAAAATTATATGCTTCTAATTAATTGTCAAAATGTTAATAATAAGTTTACAAAAATACATACAAAATACATGATGAAGATATGATACAACAGGTAATATCATAATGGATGCTTAATTGGCAAGAAATTTGGTATTATGAAGAAATGAAAATTTTTTTTTGTCTGGAATTTTTATTTTTTAGGTCTCCACAGTAAACTAAAGGAAATTCTATAAAAGATGTGTGCTTATTACAATAACAGAAAAAGTCATCAGTAACTAGACTGGCCAACAATGCAAAGATTATTTAAATTATGATATATAATAATTTAGGTATCTTGTAGCCATTTGAAAAGAATGTATAACATGCAAAATGTTTTTGTCATAACTTCCATTGAAGAAAAATCTATGCACAGAAGGAGAACTCTATTAGGATGTACATTGAATTTTTAATGTTAATTATTGTTGAGTAATGAGACTATTTCTGATTTTTTCAAAAATATCTGTAATTTCCAAATTTTTTAAAGTTAACATTTATTACTTTTATAATGGAAAACAATAACCACATTTACTTAAATATAATACTAACTATCATGCATTGAATAATTTTCTGTGGTGTTTACATTCAATTTCCAATCTAATAATCACAATAAACATGTTAAACATGTGTGATTTCTTTCACACACATAGTTGTAATTCTGCTGGGCTCAGAGTCAGTGGTCATGAAGGGCATGGAATCTAGTGAGAAACCAGCCCAGACAGCTAAGGGAATGATTGCACCACCCCTTCCCTAATCCCAGGCAGCACAAGCTTCAGAAACAAAACGTGGCACATATACACCATGGAATACTATGCAGCCATAAAAAATGATGAGTTCATGTCCTTTGTAGGGACATGAATGAAGCTGGAAACCATCATTCTCGGCAAACTATCTCAAGGACAAAAAACCAAACACCGCATGTTCTCACTCATAGGTGGGAATTGAACAATGAGAACACATGGACACAGGAAGGGGAACATCACACACTGGGGACTGTTCTGGGGTGGGGGAGGGGGGAGGGATAGCATTATGTGATACACCTAATGCTGAATGACGAGTTAATGGGTGCAGCACACCAACATGGCACATGTATACATATGTAACAAACCTGCACGTTGTGCACATGTACCCTAGAACTTAAAGTATAATTTAAAAAAAAAAAGTGATTTCTTCCTTCCACTTGAAGAGAGGAGAAGAAAGAGTAAAGTGGGCTGTGCCTTGCATCCTGGATACCAGCTCAGCCATAATAAGCTAAGACACCCAGCACATTCGTGAGGCCCACATTCCAGGCCCTAAATCCCAGATGACATTTCTAGACACACCCGGGGCCATAAGAGAACACATCACTTTGAAGGGAAGGACCTAGTCATGGCAAGAATTGTCACCTGATGAATAAGGAGCTCATGAGCCCCGAAGAACAAGCAGCAATACTCAGGTAGTACATCGTGGGTGCTGCATGAGATTCTGAGACATGCTGGCTTCAGGTAAAACCCAGTACACTCCAAGATTTGATGGCTAAAGTGAGAGATTCCTGTTTGAGAAAAGCAGGGGGAAATGTCAAGAGAAGCTTTGTACCTTAGGCACCAGCTCAGCCATAGTTGGGTTAGAACACCAAGAAGGATCTTGAGGTCACCGATTCCAGGCCTTGACTCTTGGATGGCATTTCGCGACCTGCCCTGGGCCAGAGGAAACCACAATGCCCTGAGGAGTATGTCTCAGGCCTGGAAGCAGTCACCACAGGCTGACAGAGGAGCCCTTGGGCCTTAATTGAACATTGGTGGTAACCTGGCGGTCCCTCGATGTGTTTTTAGTGGTGTTGGCCATGAGGAGAGGCTCCTTTGCCTGTGGAAAGGGAAGAAAAGAGTGGAAAAGGCTTTGTCTTGTAGTTTGAGTGACAGCTCAGCTGCAGTAAAATTGAGCACAAGATGCATTTCTAAGGTTTGTGACCAGTCCTTGGCTCCCAGACAGCATCTCTGGGCCTCCCCAGAGCCAGGGGAAACTGGATGCCTGGCTGGCTTCAACACTTGCTGATACTGGAGCCCTAGGGTTTTGATGGAACATAGGTTGTAGCCAGGTAGTGGTTACAGAGGGTCTTAGGTAAGACTACCCAGTTCTGTGCTGGCTTCAGGTCTGACCCAATGCGGTCCTAGTGGTTGTAGGCACAGGGCTGTTTATGCCACTCTACCCCCAGCTGCAGGTGGCTCAAGGAAGGGAAATAGGGAGAGAAAGAGACAGAGAAAAAACTATGTCATTTGTTCAGGAGAAAGTAAAGGAAGAAAACAAAAACATCTGCCTGGTAATCCAGATAATTCTTTCAGATATTACCCAAGACGACTGATACCTCTGTGAGTCTGCAAAAACCACAGCATTACTGACCTTGGAGTACCCCCAATGCAGATACAGCTTAGATCACAACATCCAAGTCCTTTCAAATACCCGGAAAGCTTTCCCAAGAAGAATTGGAAAGAACAATCCCAGACTATGAAAACTACAATAAATACCCAACTTTTCAGTGCCCAAATATCTTTAAACATCCACAAGCATCAAGATCATCCAGGGAAACATGAATTCACCAGGAGAACTAAGTAAGCCACAAGGGAACAATCCTGGAGAAACAGAGATATGCGACATTTCAGAGAGAATTCAAAATAGCTGTTTTGAGAAAACTGAAAAAAAATTAAGATGATACAGAGAACAAATTCAGAATTCTATCAGATAAATTCAACATAGGGATTGAAATAATTGAAAACAATCAAGCTGAAATTCTAGAGTCAAAAAATGTAATTGACCATACTGAAAAATGCATCAGTCTTTTAATAGCAAAATTGATCAAGCAGAAGAATGAGTTAGTGAACTTAAGGACTGGCTATTTGAAAATACACAGTCAGAGGATGCAAAAGAAAATAGAATGAAAAACAATAAAGCATACCTACAGAATCTAGAAAACAACATCAAAGGGGCAAATTCAAGAGCTATTGGCCTTAAAGAGGAGGTATAGAAAGAGATGTGTGTAGAAAGTTTATTCAAATGAATAACAGAGAACTTCTTAAACTAGAGAAAGATATCAAGATTTAAGTATAAAAATGTTATAGAACAACCAAGCAGATTTAACCGAAGTAATAGTACCTCAAGAAATTTAATAATTAAACTCACAAAGTCAAAAGAATAAAGAAAGGATTCTGAAAAGAGCACGAGAAAATAAACAAATAACATATAATGGAGCTTCAATGCATCTGGCCACAGTCTTTTCAGTAGAAACCTTACAGGTCAGAAGAGAGTGGCATGAAATGTTTAAAGTGCTGAAAAAAATTACCCTATTATATAGTTGGGACGTGTGTCACTGCCCAAATCTCATGTTGAAATGTCATCTCCAATGTTGGAGGTGAAGCCTGGTGGGAGGTGATTGAATTGTTGTGGCGATTTTTCTCATGAATGACTTAGCACCATCTCCTTGATGCTGTATTCACAACAGTGAGTGATACCTCGCAAGGTATCATTTAAAAGTGTGTGGCCCTTTTTGCTCTCTCTTGCTCCTGCCCTCACTAAGTGAGGTGCCTGCTCCTGCTTCACCTTCTGCCCTGATTACAAGTTTTCTGAGGCTTACCCAGAGGCGCATGCCACAGCTATGATTCCTGTGCAGCCTGCAGAACCAGGAGCCAATTAAACCTTTTTTCTTTTAAATTACCCAGTCTCAGGTATTTCTTTGTAGCAATGTGAGAATGGCCTAATACAGAAAATTGGTACCGAAGAGTGCGGCATTGCTATAGAGATACCAGACAATGTGGAAGCAGTTTTGGAACTGGGTAACAGGCAGAGGTTGTAAGATACTTTGGAAAGTTCAGAAGAAGACAGGAAGATGAGGGAAAGGTTGAAACTTCTTAGAGGCTGATTCAATGGTTGTAACCAAATTGCTGATAGTGATATGGACAGTGAAGGCCAGGCTTAGGAGGTCTCAGATGGAAATGAGAAACTTATTGAGAACTGGAGCAAAGGTCATGCATGTTATGCCTTACCAAAGAGCTTGGCTGGATTGTGTCTATGCCCTAGGGATCTGTGAAAGTTTAAACTTCACAGTGATAATTGAAGGTATTTGTCAAAATACATTTCTAAGCAGTAAAGTGTTCAAGAGGTGGCTTGGGTGCTTCTAACAACTGATGCTTAGATGTGGGGGTAAGTAAATGACTTTAAGTTTGAACTTATATTTAGTAAGGAAGCAGAGAATAAAAGTTTGAAAAATTTGCAACCTGGCCTTGTGGTAGAAAAAAATGCCCATTTTCAGGAGAAGAAAACAATCCAGTTGCTCAGCGACCACTTGCTAGAGAAATTCACATAACTAAGAAGAAGGCAGGTGCTAATAGACAATATAATGGGAAAAACACTTTGAAGGCATTTCAGAAATCTAAGAGGCAACCCCTCTCATCAAACCACCTGAGGCCTAGGAGGACAGAATGGTTTTGTAGGAAAGTCCCAGGGCCCTGCTGCCCTGTGTAGCCTTGAGGTATTGCTCCCTACACCCCGGCCACTTAAGCTCCAGCCATGGCATGAAGGGGTACAAGTACAGCTTGGGCCACTGCTTCAGAGGGTGCAAGGTATAAGCCTTGGCAGATTTTATGGGATGTTAAGTCTGCAGGTGCATAGAATGAGAGAGTGTGCAAGGATTGGCACTGTCTACCTAGATTTCAGAAGATTTATGGGAAAGCCTGAGTGCCAAGCAGAAACCTGCTGCTGGGATTTAGGAGCCCTCACAGATAACTTCTACTAGGGCATTGTAGAGAGGAAATGTGGAGTTGGAGTCCCCAGCAAAAGCCCCACTGGAGTACTGCCTAGTAGAGCTATGAGAAGAGGGACACCATTCTCCAGATTACAGAATTGTAGACACACTGGCATCTTGCACCCTGTGCCTAGAAAAGCCACAGACACTCAGCAACCTGTGAGAGCAGCCTCCAGGGCTGGACCCTACTAAGCCACAGGGACAGAGCTTCCCAAGTCCCTGGGAGCTTATTCCTTGCATCAGTGTACCCTGGATATTGGACATGAAATCAAAGGAGACTATTTTGGAGCTTTAATATTTAATGACTGCTCTCCTGGGTTTGGAACTTGTGTGGAGCCCTTAGCCACCTTCTTTTGGCTGATTTCTCCTTTATGGGACAGAAATGTTTAACCAATTCTTGTACCCCCATTGTATTTTGGAAGTAACTAACTAGTTTATGATTTTGCAGGCTCAGAGGTGGAAAAAACTTGCCTTGTTTCAGATGAGACTTTGCACTTTGGACTTTCGAGTTAACACTGGAATGACTTAAGACTTTGGATGATTATTGGGGAGGCATGATTGTATTTTAAAATGTGAGATGGACATGGGATTTGGGAAGGGTTAGGATCAGAATAATATAGTTTGGATGTGTGCTCCCACCCAAATATCATGTTGAAATGTAATCCCCAATGTTGGAGGTGGGTCCTGGTTGGAGGGGATTGGATCATGGGGACAGTTGTCTCAAGAATGGTTTAACACCATCCCCTTGGTGCTGTCCTCATAATAGTGAGTGGTTTCTTGTGAGATCTGATCATTTAAAAGTATATTGCACTCCCCCCTCTTTCTCTTGCTCCTTCTCCCACCATGTGAGGCTCCTGCTACCGCTTCATCTTTCACCATGATTGTATGCTTCCTGAGGCCTCCAAAGAACCTGATACTGGAGCTATGCATCCATTAAAGTCTGCAGATTGTGAACCAATTATACCTCTTTTCTGATAAAGTACCCAGTCTCAGGTATTTTTATAGCAATGCAAGAATAGTTTAATACACCCTAGAATAGCATATCTAGTGAAGATACATTTTAAACATGAAAAAGAAACAGATACTTTCCCAGGCAAACAAAAGCTGAGGAATTTCATCAACACCAGACCTGTCCTAGAAAATGCCAAAGGGAATTCTTCAATCAGATAGAAAAGAACATTAATGGGTAACAAGAAATCATCTGAAGATACAAAACTTTTGATTTTGCAGGCTCATAGTTGGAAGAAACTTGCCTTGTAACTACACAGTAAAACACAGTATAACACTGTAATCGTGGTGTGTAAACAACTCTTATCTTAAATATAAAGACAGAAATGTGAACCAGTAAAAATAATAACTACACCTTTTAAAGACATAGACAGTACAATTATATATAAATACACACAGCAAAATGTTAAGAAGTAGGGAATGAAGTAAAAGTGTAGAATGTTTACTAGTTTTCTTTTTGCTTTTATATTAGGCTGTTCTTGCATTGTTACAAATAAATATCTGAGACTGGGTAATCTATAAAGAAAAGAGGTTTAATTCACTAACAGTTCTGCAGGATGTACAGGAATTATGGCTTCTGATGAGGCCTCAGAAAACTTTTACTCATGGAGGAAGGCAAAGCCAGAACTTACACATCACATAGTTAAAAGCAGGAGTGAGAGAGAGAGACAGAGTAGGGAGGCGATGCCACACACTTTTACAAGACCAGATCTTGTGAGAACTCACTCACTATCACAAAGAGAGCACCAAGCAATAAGAGATGCATTTCCATGACCCAAACACATCCCCCTAGGCCCCACTTCCAGCATTGGGGATTACAATTCAACATAAGATTTAAATAGACACACGTATCTAAATTATATCAGCTTGTTTGTTTGGTTATGTAATCAGTGTTCAGTTTCCATCAATTTAGAATAATGGGTTATAAGAGTGTTTGCAAGTGTCATGATGGCCACAAATAAAAAATGTTAATATGCAACAAATAAAAAGCAAATAAGTAAATCATATCAACAGAGAAATTCATCTTTGATTAAAAAAAAAAGAAAAAAAGAAAAAAAGAAAGAAGGAAAGAAGACCACAAACCACCAGGAACCAAATATTAATAACAAAATAGCAGGAGTAAGTTCTTACTTATCGATAACAACATTGGCTGTAAATGGACTAAGCTCTTCAGTCAAAAGACATAGAGTGGCTGAATGGATAATCAAAAAAGACCCTTGATTTGTTGCCTACAAGAAACACACTTCACGACTTCACCTATAAAGGCACACACAGACTGAAAATAAAGGAATAAAAAAAAAATGCCATGACAATGGAAAACAACAAAGCAGGAGTAATAGTATTTACACAAGAAAAATAGATTTCAGACCAAAAATATAAGAAAAGGCAAACAGGGTCATTATATAATGATAAAGGGTTCAATTTAGCAAGAGGATACAGTAATTGTAAATATGTTTGCATCCAACGTTGGAGCACTCAGATATATAAAGTCAATATTATTAGGAGTAAAGGGAAAGATAGACCTCAGCAATAGTAGATGGAGACATCAACAACCACTTTCAACATTGGACAGACCTTCCAGGCAAAAAATCCACAAAGAATCATCAGACTTAATCTGCACTGTAGATAAAATGGACCTATTAAATATTTATAGAACATTTTATCCAATGGCTACAGAATACACATTTTTTTCTGAAGCTCATGGATCCTTCTCAAGGATACACTATACGTTAGGTCACAAAACTAGTCTTAAAACATTAAAAAAAATTGAAATAATATCAAGCATGCATCTCCACTGATCACAATACAGTAAAAATACAAATTCATAATGAAAAGAATTTTGGAAACTATGCAAAAACATGGAAATTAGACCATATGCTCCTGAATTACCAGTGGGTCAATGAAGAAATCAATAAAGGAATTTATAAATTTCTTGAAACAAATGATAATGGAAACACAATATATCAAAATCCATGGGATGCAGCAAAAGCAGTACAAAGAGGTAAGTTTACAGCTATAAGCACCTGCATCAAAAAAGGAAGAAAAGCTTCAAATAAATAACCTAATAATGCATCTGAAAGAACCAGAAAACCAAGAGCAAACCAAACCCAAAATTAGTAGAAGAAAAGAAATAATAAAGATCAGAGCAGAAATTAATAAATTTGCAATGAAAAACAAATACAAAAGATCAATGAAAAAAAAGTTGTTTTTTGGAAAATTTAAACAAAATTGACAATTCTTTAGCCAGACTAAGAAAAAAAGAGAAGACCCAAATAAGTAAAACCAGAAAAAAAGAGACATTACGACCAATACAGCAGAAATTCAAAGGATCATTAGTGGTTAATATGAGCAACTGTATGCCAATGAATTGAATTATAGAGAGAATATAAATTCCCAGACACATACAATCTACCAAGATTGAACCATGAAGAAATCTCAAACCTGAGCAGATCTAAAGCCAGTAAAGAGATCAAAGATGTAATAAAAAGTCCCCCAGTAAGGAAAACCTCAGGACCCAGTGTCTTCTCTGCTAAATTCTACCGAACAGTTAAAGAGGAGCTAATAGCAGTCCTACTCAAAAGATTCTGAAAAATAGATGTGAAGGAAATGCTTCCAAACTCATTCTACAAGGCCAGTATTACCCTGATGCCAAAAAGAAATATACATCAAAAACAGAAAGCTATACACCAATATCCCTGATGAACATTGATGCAAAAATCTTCAACAAAATCCTAACAATTCTAATTTAACAAAACATTAAAAATGCCATTCATCATGACCAAGTGGAATAATTGTTTTTTACTGACAAAAGGATGGTTCAACCTAAACAAATCAATTAATGTGGTACATCATATCCACCGAATGGAAGACAAAAGCCAAAGGATTATTTCAATTGACGCTGAAAAAGCATTTTAAAAAAATTCAACATCCCTTCATGGTAAAAACCTACAAAAACTTGGGTATACTCATAGTCTCAACCCAAAAGCTCTTTACACTGATAAACAACTTCAGCTAAGTCTCAGGATACAAAATTAATGTGCAAAATCACTGGCAAATCAAGCTGAGAGCCAAATCAGGAACACAATATCATTCACAATTGCTAAAAAACAATAAAAGACCAAGGAATAAGGCTAACAAGGGAGGGGAAAGATTTCTACAAGCAGAACTACAAAATACTGCTCAAAGAAATCAGAGATGACACAAACAAATGGAAAAATATTCCATGCTCATGGATGTAAAAAAATCAATGTTGTTAAAATGGCTATACTGCCTAAAGCAATTTACAGATTCAATGCTATTCCCATTAAACTACCAAGGACATTCTTCACAGAACTAGAAAAAAATATTCCAAAATTTATATGAAATCAAAAAGGTGCCTGAATAACCAAGACAATTCTAAGCAAAAAGAACAAAGCTGGAGGCATCATGCTACCCAGCTTCAAACTATACTAGGCTATAGCTTGAAGGATACGGTAACCAAAACAGCATAGTACTGGTACAACAACAGACACAGACCAATGGAACCCAGAATGCAGAACCCAGAAATAAGGCTGCACATCTACAACTATCTGATCTTCAAGAAACCTGACAAAAACAAGCAATGGGGAAAGGATTTCTTATTCAATACCTGGTACTGGGATAACTGGATAGCCATATGCAAAACATTGAAACTGGAACCCTTACTTACACCATATAAAAAATTAACTCAAGATGGGTTAAACACTTAAATGTAAAATTCAAACCTATAACAACCCTGGAAGAAAACTTAGGCAATACACTTCTGGACATAGGAAAGAGCAAAGATTTCACGATGAAGATACCAAAAGCAATTGCAGCAAAAGCAAAAACTGACAAACTGGATCTAATTAAACTAAAAAGCTTCTCCACAGCTAAAGAAACTATCAGCAGAATAAACAGAAAACCTACAGAATGGGAAAATTTGTTTGCAAGCGATGCATCTGACAAAGGTCTAATATCAAGCATCTATAAGGAACTTAAATCCAAATTTACAGAAAAAAACAAACAACCCTATAAAAAAGTGAGCAAATGACATGAACAGACATGTTTCAAAACAAGACATACATGAGACCAACAGTCATATTTTAAAAATTCAACATCACTGATCATTAGAGAAATGCAACTGAAAACCACAATGAGATACCATCTCATATCAGTCAGAATAACTATTATTAAAAAGCCAAAAAATAACAGATGCTGGTGAAGTTGCAGAGAAAAGGGAACACTTATGCACTGTCGGCAGGAGTGTAAATTAGTTCAGCCATGGTGGAAGATGGTGTGGTGATTTCTCAAAGAATTAAATATAGAAATGCCATTAGACCCAATAATGTCATTACTTAGTATATATCCAAAGATATATACATCATTCTATATAAAAGATACATGCACACATATGCTCATTGTAGCACCATTCACAATAGCAAGGACATGGAATCAAACTAAATGCCCGTCAATGATAGACTGGATAAAGAAAATATGGTACAGGTACTCCACGGAACGCTATGCAATTATGCAGCCATAAAAAAGCATGAGATCATGTCCTTTGCAGGGACATGGATGGAGCTGGAGGCCATTATCCTTACCAAACTAACACAGGAACAGAAAAACAAATACCACATGTTTTCACTTATAAGTAGAACCTAAATGAAAAGAACACATGGACACATAGAGAGGAAAAACACATACTGGGGCCTATCAGAAGGTGGAAGGTTGGAGGAGGGAGAGGATCAGGAAAAATAACTAATGGGTACCAGGCTAAATAATTACAAGATGAAATAGTCTGTACAAATAAAAAAATCCCATGACACAAGTTTATCTATCTAACAAACCTGCACATGTACCCCTAAACTTAAAAGGTAAATCAAAAGAAACTGGGTATAGAGTGAAAATACCCCAACATAATAAAAGAAATACACGACAGGCCCACACCTAGAATCATACTGAATGTAACAATATAGAAAGCCTTTCCTCTAAGATCAGGACCATAACAAGGGTTCCCACTTTTACTACTGTTATTGTAACATAGCACTGGATGTCCTAGTTAGGGGAATCAGGCAATAGACAGAAACAAAGGACATCCAAATTGAAAATAAATAAGTCAAATTCTCCTTGTTTACAAATGAGAGATCTTATATTTGGAAAAATCAATAGACTCCAGCATAACACTATTAGAATTGATAAATTCAGTAAAGTTGCAGGTTTCACTCACCATGCAAAAATTAGTAGCATTTCTATATGCCAAAAGCAAACAATCTGAAAAAATAATCAAGAAAACAATTCCATTTACAATAGCTACAAATAAAATAAAATACCTAGAAGTTAATTTACCCAAAAATGTGACACATATCTACAATAAAAAGTATAAACCACATGGTGTTGCCTCACCCAGGAAGTGCAGGGGGTCAGAGAACTCCCTCTCCAAGCCAAGGGAAGCCATGAGGGACGGTGCTATTTAGCTCGGATACTATGCTTTTCCCATGGTCTTCACAACCCACAGACTAGGAGATTCCCTCGGGTGCCTACACCACAAGGGCCCTGGGTTTCAAGCACAAAACTGGGAAGCTGTTTGAGCAGATACCGAGCTAGCTGAACACCTTTCACCACCCTCCCCCCGACCAGTGGTGCATGGAATGCCAGCAAGTCAGAACCATTCTCTCCCCTGGAAAGGGGGCTGAAGCCAGGGAGCCAAGTGGTCTTGCTCAGTGGATCCCACCCCCATGGAGCCCAGCAAGCTAAGTGCCACTGGCTTGAAATTCTTGCTGCCAGCAAAGCAGTCTAAAGTCAACCTGGGACATGCAAGCTTGGTGGGTGGAGGGGCATCCGCCATTACCGAGGCTTGAGTAGGTGGTTTCCCCCTCACAGTGTAAACAAAGCTACTGGGAAGTTCAGACTGGGCAGAGCCCACTGGAGTGCTGCAAAGCTGCTGTAGCCAGACTGCCTCTCTAGATTCCTCCTCTCTGGGGAGGGCATCTCTGAAAGAAAGGCAGCAGCCCCAGTCAGTGGTTTATAGATAAAACTCCCATCTCCCTGGGACAGGCACCTGGGGGAAGGGGCGGCTGTAGGAGCAGCTTCAGCTGGCTTAAACTTTCCTGCCTGCTGGCTCTGAAGAGAGCGGCAGATCTCCCAGCACGGTGCTTGAGATCTGCATCTGCTAAGGGACAGACTGCCTCTTCAAGTGGGTCCCTGATTCCTGTGCCTCCTGACAGGGAGACACCACCCAGCATGGGTCGACAGACACCTCATACAGGAGAGATGCAGCTGGCATCTGGCGGGTGTCCCTCTAGGATGAAGCTTCCAGAGGAAGGAGCAGGCAGCAGTCTTTGCTATTCTGCAGCCTCTGCTGGTGATACCCAGGCAAACAGGGTCTGGAGTGGACCCTCAACTAACTCCAGCAGAACTGCAAAAACTCCATCCAAAGGTCACCCACAGCAAAGACCAAAGATAGACAAATCCACGAAGATGAGGAAAAACCAGCACAAGAATGAAAAGGAATGAACAAAGCCTCCAAGAAATATGGGTCTATGTGAAAAGACCAAACCTACATTTAATTAGTGTACCTGAAAGTGACGGGGAGAATGGAACCAAGTTGGAAAACACTTTTCAGGATATTATTCAGGAGAACTTCTCCAACCTATCAAGACAGGCCAATATTTAAATTCAGGAAATACAGAGAACACTGCAAAGATACTAATCGAGAAGAGCAACCCCATGACATATATTAGTCAGATTCACCAAGGTGGAAAAGAAGAAAAAAATGTTAAGAGCAGCCAGGGAGAAAGGTCGGGTTACCCACAAAGGGAAGTCCTTCAGACTAACAGTGGGTCTGTCTGCAGAAACCCTACAAGCAAGAAGAGAGTGGGGGCCAATATTCAACATTATTAAAGAAATAATTTTCAACCCAGAATTTCATATGCAGCCAAACTAAACTTTATAAGTGAAGGAGAAATAAAAATCCCTTACAGACAAGCAATTGCTGAGGGATTTTGTCACCACCAGGCCTGCCTTACAAGAGCTTCTGAAAAAGCACTAAATATGGAAAGGAAAAACTGGTACCAACCACTGCAAAAACAAACCAAAATGTAAAGACTATTGACACTATGAATAAACTGTATCAACTAATGGGCAAAATAACCAGCTAGCATTATAATGTACAGGAACAAATTCACAGATAACAATATTAACCTTAAATGTAAATGGTCTAAATGCCACAATTAAAAGGCACAGACTGGCAAATTGGATAGAGTCAAGATCCATCAATGTGCTGTATTCAGGAGACACATCTCACAGGCAAAGACACACATAGGCTCAGAATAAAGGGATGGAGGAAGATTTACCAAGTAAATGGAAAGCAAAAGAAAAGCAGGGGTTGCAATCCTAGCCTCTGATAAAACAGACTTTAAACCAACAAAGATCAAAAAAGACAAAGAAGATTATTACATAATGGTAAAAGGATCAATGCAATATGAAGAGCTAACTATCCTAAATATATATGCACCCAATACAGGAGCACCCAGATTCATAAAGCAAGTTCTTAGGGACATAAAAAGAGACTTAGACTCCCACACAATAATAGTGGGAGACTTTAACACCCCACTGTCAATATTAGACATATCAACAAAACAGAAAATGAACAAGGTTATTCAGGACTCGAAGTCAGCTCTGGATCAAGTGGACCTAATAGACATCTACAGAACTCTCTACCTCAAATCAACAGAATATACTTTCTTCTCAGCACCACATTGCACTTATTCTAAAATTGACCACGTGATTGGAAGGAAAACACTCCTCAGCAAATGCAAAAGTACTCAGTAAACTAGGTATCGATGGAACATATCTCAAAATAATAAAGATTTAATGCAACTCCTATTAAAATACCAATGATATTCTTCACAAAAATAGAAAAAGCAATCCTAAATTTTCTGGAGAACCATAAAAGATTCAGTATAGGGAAAGCTATTTGAAGTAAAAAGAACAAAACTGGAGAAATCACATTACCTGGCTTCACATTATACCACACACTTATAGTCACCAAAACAGTAGGGTACTGGCACAAAAAAGACACATAGAACAATGGAACAGAATAAAGAACCCCAAAACAAATCCTCACACCTACATTGAACTCATTTTAGACAAAGGTATCAAGAACATCCATTGAGGGAAAAGACTATCTCTTCAATAAATGGTGCTGGGAAAACTAGTTATCTGGGAAAACTAGTTATCTGTGTGCAGAAGAATGAAACTACACCCCTATCTCCTGTCACATACAAAAATAAAATAAAAATGAATTAAAGATGTAATTCTAACACATCAAACTCTGAAACTACTACAAGAAAACATTGGGGAAACTCTCCAGGACATTGGAGTGTGCAAAGATTTCTTGAGTAATGCCCCACGAGTACAGGCAACCAACGCAATGATGGAAAAAATGAATCACTTGAAGTTAAAAAGCTTCTGAACAACAAAGGAAACAATAAACAAAGTAAACAGACAACTCACAGAATGGAAGAAAATATTTGCAAACTACCCACCTTACAAGGAATTAATAACCAGAACATATAGGAAGCTAAAACTCTGTAGGAAAAAGCTAATAATCCATTTAATGAACGGGCAAAATATTTGAATAGACATTTCTGAAAATAAGGCATACTAATGGCAAACAGGTTTATAAAAAGGTCCTAAACATCGTTGATCATCAGATGAATTCAAATCAAAACTACAATGGGATATCATCTCAACCCAGTTAAAATGGTTTATATCCAAAAGACAGACAATAACAAATGCTGACAAGGATATGGAGAAAAAAGAACTTTCATACAGTGTTGGTAGGAATGTAAATTAATACAACCACTATGGAGAACAGTTTGGAAGTTAATTAAAACACTGAAAACTGAACTATCGTATGATCCAGCAACCCCCTGCTGGGTATGCACCCAAAGGAATGGAAATCAGTATATCGAAGAGATATAGGCTCTCCCATGTTTACTGCAACACTGTTTACAATATTCAAGCTTTGAAAGCAATCTAAGTGTCCATCAACAGATTAATGGATAAAGGAAATGTAGCATTTATAGACAATGGAATAATAATCAGATAGCTGAATACTATGGATGAATAATTGGATTCAGCCATAGAAAAGCATGAGTTTCAGTCATTTGCAACAACATGGATGGAACTGGAGATCATTATGTTAGGTGAAATATACAGGTTCAGAAAGATAAACTTTTCATGCCCTCACTTACTTGTGAGAACTAAAAAATAAAACAATTGAATTTAGGGATATAGAGAGTAGAAGTATGGTTACCAGAGGCTGAGAATAGTAGTGGGGGAGTTTGGGGGTAAGTGCAGATGGTTAATGGACTAAAAAAAATAGAAATAATGAATAAGATGCAGTATTTGATAGCACAACAGGGGGACTATAGCCAATAATAATTTAATTTTACATTTTAAAATAACTAAAAGAGTATAATTGCTTTGTTTATAACACAAAGGATAAATGCTTGAGAGGATTCATACCCCATTTACTCTGATATGATTATTACTCATTGCATGCCTGTATCAAAATATTTCATGAACCCCATAAATATATACAATGACTACGTACCCACATAAATTAAAAATATAAGTTAAAAAAGACTATGATAAATTATGCACATTGAACATGTTTCTAAAAAGTAAAAAAAATTCCCCCAAAATTTCAAATAAAATGTATAAAAACTGATTTCTTGAAAAAGCCAATGGGATGAAGTCCAAACTTGTAAACATAAAATACAAGGATCTCCATTATTGTCTCTGCCTAATTCTCCAGCTTCATGCTCCCACCCACAAATATGACTGATGATACATACCCCTAATCCAACGAGGCAGAACTACAAGCAGTTCTCTTACATGCACCCCATGGTTTTTTTTGTTTTGTTTTGTTTTTCTAATCTTCGTGTCTTTGCTCCTCTTTACCCCTGCCTGGAATGATAGTCCTCCTGACCAATTTCATTTTGCTTTACTCTACCTTGCTCATCAGCTTCCACCTTATACATCATTTCCTACAGGATTCTTTACCTAATAGACCATCCCATCTGAGCTAGGTGAAGTAACCTTTTCCTATATTGCCATAAATCTCCCCGCATATCCCCATCATGGTAATCTATCAGATAAAAATGGCCTGTTTATATATTTCTCTCCCTTTCTAGGCCATGAGCCTCTTGAGGTTTTTTTATTCATGTTCCTACCCCAGTGCCTCATTTCATGCTTGGCACATAGAAGATATTCCAACATACAATAACTAAATCAATGGATAGAGGAATGAAAGGATAGATGACAAATTTATTATAGTTACTTAAAATGTGGACTTAAATGAGTAAGTCACCAATCTAATTTCCCTGGATGAGAGTATATTAATCTACAAAACGAAGAAGACTGTACGTTCTCTATGTCTTCTTCTAAATCAAAATTTCTCCATTTTTTATTCCTATAACATTGGATCTCTATTGTGTCACTTCTTGGAATTCTTAATCATTCATTAAGTTTATCTAAATAGTATAAAACATTTGAGGAACAGAAGACAGTGGTGTTTCACTGCTAACACCGATGAAATGATATGCAAAGAAGTGAGAAATGTTAAGGCATTGAGAAAAACTTTTTGTACCCCACATTTATTTACACAGCATAAACACTACAGAAATAACTGAAAAAAAGATATCCTTTGATTTGACCCCTGTGTCCTGCATAGAAAAGCTTATGTGTAAAATCCTACATGGCATGATTGGGACCAAAAATATGCTGAAGTCACTTTTTGTTAACTTATACTAATTCCACTGTTAGCAGTTTAGGTAATTCTGCCTGCCAGGGCACTCATTGAGAATTACACCCAAAGTGAATTGTCTTCATCCTGAAGTCAGGGGTCCTGCATATCTTTAAGGATCTGCACTTCTTGATATTCTAAATGCAATTCTAAGTGTTCAAAGATACACTGTTTTAGAGTCCATTATCCTTAACTACAAGCCATTGCAGGAAAATTGTGATCTGTTCCAACACTGGCAGAGAAACCGGTCATGTAAGACTTATTAAGAGCCTATTTATTATTTTTCAGCACCATGCCTTCCTATGCTTTCAGGGGACTTCAAAACATTCATTAAAAATGGAAATAAAATGTAAAATAAAAGTATATATAAATTTTATTTCTCAACATAAACTCCATCAAATTAAACACTGATTTGTAAGTAATAAAGCCAGCTATTTAGTCCATCCCTAAAGAACTGAGGATCCTTGGAATTGAACCATGTCAATTCAGCCTGTTTTCATTATTAGCTGAAGAAAAATTGGTTCCCTTTAAAGATTTCTTAAGATTAGGAAAGAAAAAGAAGTCAGAACTTGCCAAATAACTACTGTAAGATGGATACCTAATGATTTTCTATTGAAACTCTTGCAAAGTTGCCCTTGTTTGATGAGAGTAACAAGAAGAAACTTTGCCATTGTGGAGAAGGACTTCCTGATGGAACTTTTCTGGAAATTTTTCTGCTAAAACTTTGCCTAATTTTCTCAAAATACTGTCATAATAATCAGATGTTATCATTATTTGACCCTCCAGAAAGTTAGCAAACAAAATGACTTGAGCATCTCAAAAAAAAACTGTTTCCATGACCTTTGCTCCTGACCAGTCAGCTTTTACTCTGACTAGACAACTTCTGCCTATTGGTAACCATTTGTTGACTGTGCTTTGTCTTCAGGATTGTACTGGTAAAGCCATGCTTCATCTCTCTTTACATTTCTTCTAAGAAATGCTTCAAGATCTTTATCCCACTTGTTTAACATTTTTATTGAAAGCTCTGCTCTTGTCTGAAGCTGATGTGGTTGCAACAGTTTTGATAACCATCAAGTGAAAAGTTTGCTTAACTTTAATTTTTTAGTCAGGATTATGTAAGTTTATCCAATTGAGATGTCTATGGTAATGGTTATTCTTTGTGCTGTTAATTGTTGGTCATCTTCAATTAGGAGCAACAATATTTTATTTTTCTTTCAAATTGCTATAGATGATCTGCTGCTTTAGGCTTCAATCTTCAACATCATCTCATCATTTCATAAAATAAGTTGTATATTTGTAAACTGCTGATTTCTATGGGGACATTATCCCCATAAACTCTGAAAAGCATCAATGATTTCACCATTCTTCCACTCATGCTTCACCATAAATTTTGTGTTTGTTCTTGCTTCAATTTTAGTAGAATTCATGTTGCTCTGAAAGGGGCTGATTTCAAACTGATTTCTTATTCTCTTTAATCCCTCAAACTAGATCATGTTCAGATATGTTATAACAAGGTAGTTCACTTTTACTTTAGTGCAAAATACTTTGAAATCCAGGCATAGTTTATTCACAATACAAATTTTGAAAAACCTGTTGAAGACTCCCTGTATTTAAAGAGTATTTTTTTTTTTGAGATAGAGTCTTGCTCTGTTACCCAGGCTGGACTGCAGTGGCACAATCTCAGCTCACTGCAGCCATGACCTCCCAGGCTCAAACAATCCTCCCACTTCAGCCTCCTGAGTAATTGGGGATAAAGGTGCATGTCACCAGCTAATTTTTTGTATTTTTGTAGAGAGGGGATCTCGCTGTTGCCTAGGCTGGTCTCCAACTCCTGAGCTCAAGCAATCTACCCACCTCAGCCTCCCAAAGTGCTGGGATTACAGGCATAATCCACGGTACCTGGCCCTAAAGAGTAATTTTGATGATGCACCCCTTTTGCTTTACATTGCTGACTTTATAACCTACCTGATATGGTTTGGCCATGTCCCCACCCAGATCTTAGCTTGAATTTTAGCTCCCATAATTCCCATGTGCTGTGGAAGGGACCTAGGGGGAGATAATTGAATCATAGGAGGCGGTTTTCTCTATCCTGTTCTCGTGTTGGTAAATAAGTCTCACAAGATCTGATGATTTTCACTAGGCTGTCATTTTTCTCTCTTGCCTGCCGCCATGTAAGGTGCAGCTTTCACCTTCCACCATAATTGTGAGGACTCCCCAGCCACTTGGAACTGTTAAACCTCTTTTTCTTTATAAATTACCCAGTCTCAGATATGTCACTATCAGCAGCATGAAAATGGACTAATATGGTAAATTGGTACCAGTAGAGCAGGGGTGCTGCTATAAAGATACCCCAAAACATAGAAGCAACTTTGGAATGGATAACAGGCAGAGGTTGGAACAGTTTGGAGGGCTTAGAATAAGACAGGAAAATATGAGAATGTATGGAACTTCCTAGAGACTTGGTGAATGGCTTTGACCAAAATGCTGATAATGATATGGACAATGAAATTCAGGCTGAGGTGGTCTCAGATGGAGATGAGGAACTTGTTAGGAACTGGAGTAAAGGTGACTTGCTGTTTTAGCAAAGAGACTGGTGACATTTTGTTCCTGCCCTAGATATTTGTAGAACTTTGAACTTGAGGGAGATGATTTAGGGTATTTGGTGGAATAAATTGTTAAGCAGCAAAGCATTCAAGAGGTGATTTGGGTGCTGTTAAAAGCATTCAGTTTTAAAAGGGAAATAGCATAAAAGTTCTGAAAATTTGCAGCCTAAAGATGCAATAGAAAAGAAAAATCCGTTTTCTGAGGAGAAATTCAGGCCAGCTGCAGAAATTAACATAAGTAATAAGGAGCCAAATGTAAATCACCAAGACAATGGGGAAAATGTCTCCAGGGCATGTCAGAAGTCTTCACGGCAGCCCCTCCCATCATGGGCCCAGAGGCCTAGGAGGGAAAAATGGTTTCATGGGCTGGGTCCAGGGACTCCTGCTGTGTGCAGCCTTGGGACTTGGTGCCCTGAGTCCCAACCACTATAGTGTGGCTAAAAGGGGCCAACGTACAGCTCAAGCTGTTGCTTCAGAGGGGGCAAACCACAAGTCTTGGCTGCTTCCATGTGCTTTTGGGCCTGCAGGTGCACAGAAGGTAAGAATTGAGGTTTTGGACCCTTTGCCTAGATTTCAGAGGATGTATGGAAACACCTGGATGTCCAGGCAGAAGTTTGCTGCAGGGGTGGGGCGCTCATGGAGAATTTCTGCTAGGGCAGTGTGGAAGGGAAATGTGGAGTTGGAACCCCCACATAGAATCCCCACTGGGGCACTGCCTAGTGGAGCTGTGGAAAGAGGTCCACCAACCTCCAGACCCCTGAATGGTAAATCCACCAACAGTTTACACTGTGCACCTGAAAAAGGCACAAACACTCAATGCCAGCTCATGAAAGCAGCCAGAAGGGGAGTTGTACTGGCAAAGCCACAGGGACAAATCTGCCCAAGGCCATGAGAGCCCACCTCTTGCCTCAGGGTGAACTGGATGTGAGACATGGAGTCCAAGTATATCATTTTGGAACTTTAAGGTTTAATGACGGCTCTATTGGATTTTGGACTTGCATGGGGCCTGCATCCCCTTTGTTTTGGCCAATTTATCCTATTTGGAATGGGTATATTTATTCGATGCCTTTACCCCCATTGTACCTGGAAAGTAACTAATTTGCTTTTGATTTTACAGGCTTATAGTGAAAGGGACTTGCTTTGTCTCGGATGACACTTTGGAGTGTGGACTTTTGAGTTAAAGCTAAAATGAGTTAAGATTTTTGGGTGACTGTTGGGAAGGTATGATTGGTTTTCAAATGTGAGGACATGAGATTTGGGAGGGGGCAGGGATGGATGATATGGTTTGTCTGTGTCCCCACCCAAATCTTTGCTTGAATTGCAGCTCCCATAATTCCCACATGCTGTGGGAGGGGCCCAGGGGGAGATAATTAAATCATGGGGGAGGTTTCCTTCATACTGTTCTCTTATTCATGGTAGTGTGTAAGTCTCATGAGATCTGATAGTTTTATAAAGGGGTTTTCCTTTTATTTGGCTGTCACTTTTCTCTTTTGCCTGCCACCATGTAAGATGTGCCTTTCACCTTCTGCCATGACTTTGAGGCATCCCCAGCCATGTGGAAATGAGTCCCTTAAACCTTTTTTATATAAATTATCAATTCTTGGGTATGTCTTTATCAGCAGCATAAAAAGGAACTAATACACCACCCTATGTGAAATATGTCTCTATTCTACCCCTTTCTTTAATCTTCCTAAATTCCTAAAATCACTTTTAGTAGTATTATTTGGTTAGGGGTGATATTTGCATGATACTGAATAAGGGTCATGAAGGATGTAGAATAATTGGGTATTTGTAATGTTTTGTGGAAATTCCAGTGGTTTGCTTACAGCTAGGAGCAGCAACAGTTTTGAGCACCTAAACATCTAGTCAGGGATACAATTAACCAAAACAATGCCTTTGAGAAAGAAAAAACTAAAAAGCTTCCATTACTTAAAAAACATTATTTTCTTTCTTTTAATTTAATTTAATTTAATTTTAAGTTCCTGGATACATGTGCAGGATGTGCAGGTTTGTTATGTATAGGTAAATGTGTGCCATGGTGGTTTCCTGCACCTATCAACCCATCACCTAGGTATGAAGCCCCACATACAATAGCTGTTTATCCTGATGCTCTCCCTCTCCTTGCCCTCCTGATAGGCCCCAGTGTGTGTTGTTCCCTTCCCTGTGTCCATGTGTTCTTATTGTTCAGCTCCCACTTATAAGTGAGAATATGCAGTATTTCATTCTCTGTTAACTTTATTTTCATGTATCAGAAAGAGTTAATAATATACCAATTTCTCAGACCAAGAAACTTTGGTGCCATCTCTCAGAAAATTAAAAACATTGTACAAATCTTTGATGTATACAATGTGATGACGCCTTTATATACAGTGCCCTTGTAAAGTGCACAATCTGTAAAACCATGCACAAAAGCACAGATCTAGGAACCTAAGAAAGGTTTATCAAAAGGGCATAAGACAAAGACCAGAAGTAGAGGAGAACCAAAATTAAAAGCCTGTAAGAGCAGCAAACACAAACTTTGTCAAACATCGATTTACTCAGAACGTCTCACTGGTCGAGGAGACAGACTCATACCTCCTTACAACACAAGAGATGAGCTTCCAGCACAAGATTTTGCATTTTCAGTCCTGTTATGCCCATTGAAGACAAATATCAAGCAGAGTTACAACTATCAAAAATTACATAAGAATTGAGAATGTTGTTTCTAACTATAGTATGCATTGCTAATAAATTATTTCATACCTCACACCAAATCCATTTGCTATAGCTGAAATACAACCAAATTGGTTTTCCAGATATGCAGCACCTCATGCAAATTGAGTTAGTCTTGTACAGTGGTAACATAAGCTAGCATATTTCAAATATATATTTTCCAGTCACTGGAATTCTTAATCTCCTCTATCAGTTTTTTTATCAAAAGAAAAACAATATAAAAGATTTTTCACAGACAGATAATTTGACACACATACGCATGTGCATACACATACACACACATACAAATATTAGCCTACAGCAATTTCTTTCAGTTATTTTAATACTCATGGAATTTCAGAAGTAATGCATTAGCTGAGACTGCACTATAGTCACAAGAGAAAATCCAGCAACTGTGTTACAGATGCTTTTTCTCTTTTATGGAAGCTCCTCCTTGTTCTCATACAGATAGCTTTGTGGTCTAGTCACAGAGTTTTCAGATGCTGTGATATTTTGCTTGGCTGCTTTAACTACCTCAAGTATTATGCTTTTGTGGGATAAAGGTACAAAAAAATAAAAGATGTGTTATTCTTTATGTAAAAATTGCTGAACCAATATCTATAAGAATTTTAAATTGCTTGTCCAGGAGTGATGATGATTTATACTGTGATAGCTACATTCCCTTCATTCAAGACACACTACCATAAGATACTAGCCTCACATAATGGAGTGCTTTCTGGAGTCAATGCAGCAGAGTAATACGATTAAGAGGATACATTTGTGATAGTACTAGTACCTACTTTACAGCATTACTATGATGTTTAAATGAAGTAATCCACATTAAATGCTTGGCAATAAATGAAAGCTACTACTAGTAGTAGTATTTTAGGAGAATTTAGCTCATGATATTGACCTAATTACAATACATAGCATTATAAACAGTAATGTTAGCATAGATATATCATTCATTGGAAATGAGGACAAAAGTGAACTTCTTTTAAGCAGTAAATTTTAGGATCCTTAAAACCAATCTTAGAAGGACCCTGGTAGACCTCTTTTCAAGGAAGATAGCAAAAATAATAATAGTAAGTAAACAGAAATTACTCAACCAGAGGCAACATTGTACTTATCCATTGTACTTTATCCCTTGGAATTAGTTCCTTTTCTCATTATCCCCATTCATTGAATTTCAACATTTTTTATAGGATAATTATAGGTGCCAGTGAATATGTAAAAAAAGAAGTTTTGAATCAAGTTATCTATTGATAGAGAGCAGCCTCAGGTCATTTCTGTAAGACATAAAACAGGAAATGATATATTAGGTCATTCAACAGAATGACAAGTCAAATTATGCTCCTTTTACAAAGCAGAGATTTTCTTATTAGAATTTTCTTCAGTGCCTTCCATAGTCCAGATTAATAAATCTTAAGGGGATTAAACTCAACTTGCAGCTACTCCAATCATTAACTCCCCTATTAATTTAAAAGTTATCACTTTTCTAGTTGGGAGAAATAAACAGTACAGATTCATGGATGCACACAAAAGGCTACCCGAATTTCGTTCTCCCTAATTAGACTCTTCCCTTTTATTTCAACTAAGATTTAAAGTGTTTTAGCAATGATCTACTTCAGAATCACTAAGAAGCTGAGTGAGTCAATCTTCTTGCTAGAGATAAGCTGTAAAGAGATGGCTCTAAAATGCCTTTTTCCAGTAACAAGAATCTGGGTCTCCCAGGCTACGTTCATGAGACAAACGGATCCTCTATTAGATCCAGGAGACTTTCCTAGTGATTAATAATAAGTCCATTTCAATAAGTCCTGTCCCATTATTACTTTAAGGAAAATCAAATCAAATCAAATCAAATATTATACTGAAATTCATTCCCATTCATTCCACAAACATCTACTGAGCACCTACTATATCCAAAACACAAGATAGAGAGCAATATATACTGTTAAAGGGAGAAAAGGAGGGGAGAAAAAAATTGTGAGGGAGAAGTAAGAAGATCTTTTAAAGATGGTGGACTAAAGCAGTGATTTGCCTTCTTAACCTTAAAAATATTTTACTAGGTACCTATTGATTGCCAGACATTGTTGTAGTTGCTCCCAAATGCATATTTCTGAGAGGGATCTCTTACCAATAAAAAATATTGAACTTAGTCTCATCACACAACTGATACTCTTAACATTTTAAACATTAATATTGAGGGGAAGCTGTATCTAAACACAAAGGAAACATCTGACTTTGGGGCACACACTTCCTTCCCGCATCCTTTGAAACAGATAAATATCTCTATTAGAGAGCTCAAAATTCTCAACTCACACATTCAGCAGAGTTGAAGTTTTCCAATTGAAACACTTCCAAAATTATAAGATGAAATAATCGTCACATGAAAAATTACTTATCTTTGGGGAGATGTAGAAGATATTATTCATAAATGACAATACGACTTGATGAAGACTCCATATGACTATAGACACAAGAGTGAAGTTAAAGATATTCTAGCTCTAACCTACAGTGGTAGTTTTTCACAGTATATATGTCACTAATATACTTTTTATACCCAAACAATATTGAACTGCTTTTAAAATTAATATACACTCCCCTCCATTAATGTGCTCAAGCTAATCCTTTTGTTTAGGGTGTCTTTTTTTCCCCATATCCTCTTGTAGTTTATCAATCTCTTAAAAGGGAAAATTCAATAGCAAAGTGCTCTATGAAGCTTTCCCTCATCTTCCCTGGAGGAATTAATCCCTTCCCTATAGATCTCAGCAACTTGTCTATGCTTCCATTATAGTGCTTATCAAGTTTAATTGTTGTTAAAATAGTATGATGGTTAATTTTGAGTGTCAACTTGACTAGATTAAGAAATACCTTGATGACTGGTAAGGCATTATTTCTGGGTGTGTCTGTTGATGGTGGTTCTATAGGAGATTTGCATGTGAGTCAGTGGACTGAGTGGGGAAGATCCATCCTCAGTGTGGGTAGGCACCATCCAATCAGCAGGGGACCTGATTACAACAAAAAGGCAGAGAAAAGCAAATTATTTGTGTATCCTCTCTCTGTCTCTGTCTCTCTCTCTGTCTCCTGAACTGGGATGTTCATCTTCTCCTGCCCTTGGACATAAGAGAGGCAGGTTTTCTGGCCTTTGGACTCTAGGACTTGCACCTGCAGGCCTCTGGGTTTTCAGGCCTTTGGCCTTGGGCTGATACTCATACCATTGGTTTTTGTGGTTCTGAGGCCAGGGCACTTTTTTGTTTTTTTAAGCCACACTACAGTTTTCCTGGCTCTCCAGCTTGCAGGTGGTCTATCGTGGGATTTCACAGTTTCTCAGCCTCCATATTTGAGCAAACCAATTACCATAATAAATCCCCTTTCATCTATCATCTATCATCTATCTATCTATCTATCTATCTATCTATCTATCTATCTATCATCTATCATCTATCTATCCTATTGGTTCTGTTTCTCCAAAGAACCTGACTAATACAGATGGCCTATGTTTAGTGATGTCTGTGCTGCAAGATTGTAAGTACATCAAGAAAGGGTAGTTCTATTTTATTTATATTTGTGATTTGACATAACAGCTTAACATTGTGCCTTAGCCATAGGTGCCCAGTAAAATAAATTTATTTTAAAACCATGTAGAGAGGACACAAGGGGATATTGACCCCATGTGAAAATGATGCTATTCAGTTGATTTTTAAACATCAATGCACACACACACTAGCACACTGTCACATACTACATAATCATAATGACAGTGCACTTATTATAGTTGCACCGTTAGGCTAGTTTCTTTGAAAATACATTTCATTATTTCTTTGACATAAATTCATTTATGGAACAATCCTTACATGCTTATTATTTCATAAAATTATTAAATAATAATTATAGAAGTAGAACTAATGATTACAGAATATTTTTGATTGTGAATCAACATTTGACTTCACAACGTTTCATCCCATTACTCCTAGGTATATACCTTCTTTTGTTATTATAAGTATTTTCCCACCTCCAATACAGGGAAGCTATAATGCTATATTTAGCTCCTGTATGAGAGAGAGAGAGAGGGAGAGAGAGAGAGAGAAAGAGAGAGAGAGAGAGAAACATTTTAATGAATTGACTGACTCACAATTGTGGAGACTGGCAAGTCCAAAATCTGACAGGTAGCCTTGCGGGTTGGGACCCAGGGAAGAGTTGAGGTTGCAGCTCAAGTCCAAAGATAGTCTGTAGATGAATTTCCTCTTCCTTGGGAAATAGCAGCCTGTTTTACTTTAAGACCTCCAACAAATTGGTTGAATAAATCTATCCACATTATAAGAGTAATCTGCTTTTTTAAAAGTCTACTGATTTAAAGGTTAATCTTAGCTAAAAAATACCTTCACAGCAACATCAAGACCAGTGTTGCCCAAATGTCTGAGTACCATGGCCTAGTTAAACTTACACATAAATTTGAACATCACACCTCCCTAAGGTATTATTTAGCCAAGTAAAATATAGTTGTTATTTTAATCTTTTACATATGTCAAACTTATTTGTCTTCAATCATTTGTGTTGTTCTTCTCTGAATTTGTTCCAATCCTTTCATGATTGATGCCAGTTGAAAAAATGACATTAGTCAGTAATAATATCTCAGGTATAAATATAGGGCTAAGTATATAAACCATTGCTCTATTATAAAGAATTAAAAGAGCTGCAGTCTCCGCTCTTACTGTACATTACTCTAAAGGTATGACTCCTAAATAAGTTTCTACATTTACTATGTTGCCCCCATGGTCAGAATAACCAGCATTTCAGCATAATTCCAGAAATGACCCATAATGAACTTTGGTGAATTGCATTTTGTATGCAAAATCCTGTGACAGAGTCAAGTATTGCAGAACAATCTTTTGGCATAACTGTTGGGTATATCACAATTCATTTATAATTCTGAATTTGCTTAGTATATCCTGGAGTCTAATGTTGAAAGGCATCTTTTTAAATAGAAAATAGATGCCTATTTGAAATTATAAATTTCTCAGTTACCTAATGAAAGCTCAATATGTCTGAGTATTTTAAGAAAACAGAGAAATTACATGAGAATTCTTGGCTACTAAAAATTGTTCATATTTGAGCTTGCCGCATACAGATATTCTCCAAGTATGTGACTGAAGGGACAGATACTGGACATTTAGAGGAAAAAAGTATTTGTTTCACTTTTCAAGTGGATTTATTTACTCATGCTAGAGCAGTTAACAAATGTTGAAGTGATCTCAGCTCAGTTTATTAGCTCAAACTGGAAATATTTCCTCTAAATAAATGTACAATTCACAGATCTACTCAAAGAAATAAATTTTAATTGGAATCAGTTAATGAGATAGCGGATTTTACCTTTTTTTAATAAAAGAGCTAGGTTTCATTCTGATGTTAATTAACATTATTAATTAGTTTTATCCTATTATTTTATTTTAATGAGATGCTTACCTGTCTTCTGTATCATCTCCTCTGGGCCCCCACTGATATGCAAGTAAGAGCACTTGCTTGACATCAATGTTATAACAGCTCAGTTGTCTTTGCAGCCTAGCCGGAATCTGATTACATTATTATTTTTTTCTGACCCAGCTCTTTCCTTTTCATATTTTACTCTTGTTATCATGTGTTACAAAAGCCAAAGTAAAGTATGGTATAAAACAGAAAACTTAGAAAAAATCCCATTAAACAGACCCCAATAGACTGGAAACATCAATTAATCCTAATTTTTGTAGAAAAACTGAAGTCATGAGCAAAGAAACCAATGATATAAATTTTTTGAAAGCAACTTTGGGATCTAGACATGAAATTACAGGACCCTGAAATTCCAATTACACTTTCTCTTCTGCTCCCATAACTTTTTTCCCCCATATACAAGTATTTATTGGCATCCTTCTTTGGGAACAATCCAAAGTTGTCAATACTGAGTACAAAAGAACCTGAGGAGCAAGTAGAGTATCAAGGTCTAAATATGCAGCAAAATGACAACTGAAAATATGAAGGAGACAGGATCAGTTATTAGAAATGAAAATTAGAAATTCTTACATCTACCTAATCAAGGGGCCGAAGCTAGAATCCAACTGTCATGGATATGTTCTATGCCTGTGGGTATTTCCTGCTAGTTTCCTGATGCATTGTTGAGAGTGGAACTCTGCTTCTGCTTCTAGTGCTCCATAATCACATTATGGAATAATGGGGAAGGTATTGTTAATGTGGTTGTCCCACTAGTTTATCAGCTCCCAGAGGGCAAAAATCATGAGATATCTTTCTCTGATCACAGAATTTGACATAAGGTCTTTATGTATATGAATAACTTAACACAAATTTAGGGCAGTTTCATTCATTTCTTACGTGTTTTCCTTTCATGATTTTTTAAAGGAGAAACATCTCTTCATATTTTAGAAAGCATGCATTTACTCTCATTTTAGTGTAAGTAGAAATATGTTAGAAAATTATAAACAATAAAAATTAAAGCAAAAATTATAATACTTAAGCCTGGTTTGATAAAAGATTAAATAACTCAGACAACCACACTTACAAACCCCTTCCCTAATCTGTCTAGTTTGTTAAACTTTAGTATGTTGGAAAATAACTTTTTTGCCTTAATAAGTTAAACATTTCCCAAAATCTTTCATAGTATACCTAACTGGAATTACCTTCACAATTAATTCCCATCATTTATAACTGATAAATAAAAACAATTAGATACACACTATGCCTTAATCCTGAATAAGATTTGGGTTACTCCTCAGGAAAATTGGGAAGTACTTATCTAAAGTTCTTTGCCATTGACAGTTCAAGGCTCATTATTAAATATTTACTATTTATTTGATTTATTAACTTTCATTTACGAGAAGTCATCAGAAAACATTTGTAAATCCCTACTATGTATTTGGCAATGTGCTTCAGTGGACATGGATGAGGCATCCAAGAACCAGCATAAACATTCTGAGTAACTATCGAATTGTGGGAAAGTGAAGGACAAGGTAATAAAATGTCTTTAAAGGGAGAAATGTGAATATTTAAAGTCTTTAATAATTTTAGTTCTCTTTCTAATTTTGACCTAAAAGTTATATTCAGGATTAATGTTCTCCATTGTAAAACTGGTGTCTGAATTTATTCCCTTGGACTGTATTGCAATTTTTCAGGAAACTAGTCTTACCCAACTATTCCATTGGAAAGACTTTGATAGTGAGTAAAGCTGTTATATACATGCATGCTTGTGTCTTATATATAAAACAATATTTAGGAAAAAATGAACTTCTAATGGTAAAAGTTCTGGTACCAGCAGCAGGCTAATGAAAGAGAAACTAGTTTTGGAGATCAGGAACTTGTCAATATAGATTACACTGAAGAGCAATTACCCCATTCAGAAGAAAATTCTGAGGAAGGTGGGCAAACATGGCCATATATATTACCATTATTATTCCTGTGTAAGACCAATAATAACCTAAAAGTCATATTAGCATAAGTTTGGGACCAGGTTCAAAACAATTAAAAATGTAATTCTTAAAACATTAAACTAAGTAAATATACAAGTACTTGGAAACACCAAAATTTTAGACTATTTACTTTTTATAAAAATGAGTTTTCTTGATAGTTAGTATTTCAATTTAGGACACAGAAAGCTGTAATGATCATTACCTCCACACTTACAAAAAGGAAAAGGGCCAGGCCATCTGTAAATTCACAAGAATTTTTGAACCCATCAGAGAAATAAGGGCATATGGCAACAAAATAAAAACAATCTAAAGAAAGGTGCCTTCAAGGAGAGATGAGATATAAGTACTTGTTTACCTTAGGCAGATGACGCTGGAAGCTATACTAACCAGTAAACAGATTCCACTTAAATATTAAATGAAAATTACAAAATAAAGGCTGAGTAAGCATTGTTTTGATAATATGGTCTATGAAATTCAGACACAATAAGAATTTGCACCCATTTGCACACTCTTCTCCATAGCCCTCACTCATGGCTCATAAGAAAAACTGAGTGAAGGACAAGATTCCTGAAAAACTGTTTCTCCTGGTGTACACTTATGACAGGAGAACATCCGCCTCAGTGAGATTGTCATAATGTACAACCTGCTATAAGAATATAACAGGCTGTTATATTCTTACTATCTCACCTATAAAACAAAGCAACATCTGGACACATTTAATTTAAAATACTTTAACAACAACAAAAAAAAAAACAGAGAAAGAGGGAAAACAAATCTTGAAGAATGCCACAGAAAGCAGGATACATTTTATATATATGGAAAAATGATAAAAATTTTAGCAGACCTTTCTTCAGAAATTTCACAAGTGAAGAACGATGGAGTTATATCATAAAATGCTAATACCAAGCAAACATATCATTCAAAATGAAGGCAAAATAAAAGTCAGAGGATACAAAATCATCATGCAAAAATCAGTGGCATTCCTATACAAAACAACCGTCAAGCCAAAAGCCAAATCAGGAATAAACTCCCATTTGCAATTGCCTCATAAGTAATAAGATACCTAGGAATACAGCTAAAAAGCGAGGTGAAAGACCTTTACAAGGCGAACTACAAACCACTTTTCAAAGAAATCAGAGATGACACAAGCAAATGGAAAAATATTCAATGCTCATGTATAGAAAGCATCAATATTGTTAAAATGGCCATACTACCCAAAGCAATTGATAGATTCAGTGCTTTTCCTATTAAACTACCATTGACATTCTGAGAAAACTATTTTAAAATCCATATGGAACCAAAAAAGAGCCTGAATAGCCAAGGCAGTCCTAAGCAAAAAGAACAAAGCTGGAGGCATCATGCTACCCTGCTTCAAACTATACTACAAGGCTACAGTAATCAAACAGCATGACACCAGTACGAAAACAGGCACATAGACCCATAGAACAGAAAAGAGAACCCAGAAATAAGACTACATGCCTACAATTATCTGATCTTCAACAAACCTGACAAAAACAAGTGATGGGGAAAGGATTTCCTATTCAATAAATGGTACTGAGATAACTGGCTAGCCACATGCTGAAGATTGGAACTATTTCTTTCTTGCATTTACTCAAGATGGGCTAAAGATTTAAATGTAGAACCCAAAACTATAAAAACCCCAGAAGATAACCTAGGCAATACCATTCAGGACATAAGCATGAGCAAAGATTTCATGGCGAAAACATCAAAAGCATTTGCAACAAAAGCAAAAACTGAAAATGGGATCTAATTAAACTAAAGAGCTTCTGCACAGCAAAAGAAACTATCAACAGAGTAAACAGGAAACCTATAGAATGGGAGGAAATTTTTGAAAATTATGCATCTGACAAAGGTCTAATGTCCAGCATCTATAAAGAACTTAAAAAAATTACAAGAAAAAAAACAACTGCATTAAAAAATGAGCAAACAACATGAACAGACACTTCTCAAAAGAAGACATACATGTGACTAACAATCATTAAAAAAAATTCAACATCACTGATCATTAGAGAAAAACAACTGAAAACCACAATAAGATACCATCTCATGCCAGTCAGAAAGGCTATTATTAAAAAGTCAAAAAATACCAGACGCTGGCAGGGTTGTGGAGAAAAGAGAATGCTTATAAACTGTTGGTGGGTATGTAAATTAGTTCAGCCACTGGGGAAGACCATGTGGCAAATCCTCAAAGACCAAAAGACAAAAATATTATTACACCCAGCAATCCCATTACTAGGTATATACCCAAAGGAATAGAAATCATTCTATTATAAAGACACACACACACACACTCATTGCAGCACTATTCACAATAGCAAAAACATGGAATTAACCTAAATTCCCATCAATGATAGACTGAATAAAGAAAATATCATACATGTACACCATGGAATCCTATGGAGCCATAAAAAGGAATTAGATAATGTCCTTTGCAGGGACATGGATGGAGCTGGAAGTCATTATCCTTAACAAACTAACACAGATACAGAAAACCAATACTGCATGTTCTCACTTATAGTTGGGAGTTAAATGATGAGAACACATAGACACACACAGTAGAACAACACACACTATGGCCTTTTTGAGGGCAGAGAGTGAAAGAAGGTAGAGGATCAGGAAAAATAATTAATAAGTACTAGGCTTAATACATGGATGATGAAGTAATCTGTATAACAAACACCAATCACACAAGTTTACCTATATAACAAACGTATACTCGTGACCCTGAACTTAAAATAAAAGTTAACAATAGAAAAAAATAATGGCAAAATAAGAACATTTTCAGACAAACATAAACTTATGTAATTTATTGACAGCAGACTCACACTATAATAAATGTTAAAGAAAGTTCTTCAGGCAAAAGCAATATTATATTAAACACTTGGATCTATACAAATAAATGAAGACCACTGATAGTAGAAGAAATGAATTTAAATACAAAACTGATTTTTGCTCTCATTTTTAATTTATCTAAAGATAACTCACTAAACTAAAAATGGTAGTAACAAATTGTGTTTATAACATTTACAAAACAAAATGAATATCAGTAGCACAAAAGATAAGAGGGAAGAATTGGGAGTATACTATGGTAAGAAAGGAGGACTTAGTAGTATACTGTAGTAAGGAGAGGGGGTGTAATTGGAAGTATACTGCAGTAAGTTCTTTGTAATACACATGAAATGGTATAATGGTATTTAAACAAAATAAAATAAATAATGGATAAATCCAAAGCAAAGATTAAAATATGAAAACATATACAAAGAGAATGAGGAAATATAGTAGTCTCACCTTATCTGTGATTTCATCTTCTTTTCAAAAATATTACATGGAAAATTTCAGAAATAATTCACACATTTAAAAGTGCACACCATTCTGAGTAATGTGATGACATCTCCTGCTGTCCCGCTGCATCCTGCCCAGGTCATGAATCTTCCACTTGTCTAGCATACCCACACTATATACACTACCCTCTCATTACTGTGCAAGGAAAAACATAGTGTATGTGAGGTGTTTTCCTACCAGCGATTTCAGGCATCCACACAGGGTCTTGAAACATTTACCCTGCAAATAAAAGAGGCACTATTTTAATGAGAAAACTCAAGATGATAGATTTTAATCCAAGCATGTCAATCATTTTTAAAAATATAAATTGCCTAAGCTCATCAATTTAAGGACATATATTGTTAGGTTAGATAAAATAATGAAGAGTCAGCTATATGTAGTCTTAAGCCAATTTTAACTATACAGCCACATATAGGTTAAAAGTGTGTGTAAGAGTGTGCATGTGTGTATCTCTGTATATACACTAATAAAAATAAAGTTGTGGTAGTTTATTAATAGCAAGCAAAATACACTTTACAACAACGGATATTACCAAGGATAAAGAAAGACGCTACATAATAATAGTCGGTTCTCCAAGAAGACATAATAATCTTAAGTATTTGTGTATTGAACAACATAGTTTCAAAATAAATGAAGAACAAACTGATGGATCTGATAGGATAACTAGACAGATTAACAATTGCAGTTGGGTAGTTTAACACTTTCTCTTGATAACTGATAGAAAAAATATGCAGAAAATCAGTAAGTGTATAGAAGACTTGAACAACACTATTCAAAAACTGGCCTAATTGACATTTTAGACCACTCTATCCAATAGCAAGAGAATATTCAGTATTTTCTAATGCACAAAGAACGTTAACCAAGATAGATCAAATTCTGGGCAATGAAACAAAATTTAGAAATTAAAATATAATAGAAATCAGTGAAATTGAGAAGAAAAAAATAGAGAAAACAATGAAATTAAAAGCTTTTGTTGAGAGGAGCTGAGAAGCTGATGAGCCACTAGCCAAATTCACCAAGATAAAAAGAATATGAAATATTTAGTGTTAGGAATGAGCAAGAAGACATCATTCATATAAATTGAAAATGGCTATTCACCTAAAAACCTGTGTGAAAATGTTCATAGCATCTGTATTTGCAATCATCCAAAGCTAGGATCAACCTAAATGTTTCTCAACTAGGGAACGGATAAAAAGCATTGCAGTACATCAGTTCTACCCCATATTAAAATGATATGAACTCTTGGCACACACAATGTGAATGAAACTTGAATGCATTTATCTCAAAAGAAGAAAGCAGACTAAAAATGTTGCATGCTCTATGAGTCTGTTTTCATGGCATTTTTGCAAAGTCAAAACTGAAAGAACAGAATACAATTAAGTGGCTGCTAGTAGACAGGGTGGAGTGTGGGGTGAGTACAAACAAGGAATTTGAGGAGGTGAAAACACTGTTCTGTGTCTTGATTGTGGTGGTGGTTACATTACTGTATACATTGGCCAAAACTCAAAGAACTATACATTAAAGTGGGTGAATCTTTCTGTATGTAAATTGTACCTTAAAATAATAGAAAATCATACTCTTCATTAAAACTAGTCTCTGGTGATTGAAACCCAAAAAGTGGTGCTTCTTACAGTGAGGAGAGAGGTAGTGATTAAATGGAAAAGTGGATAAGGGAAATCTCTGGAATGATAACATTGTTCTGTATCTTGGCATATATACACCAAAACTGGCTGAGCTGAACATTCATGGTATATAAATTATACCTCATTTAAAAATGTTAAAAAATAAGCTTTCACTTCTAATTGATTTAATTAAATAAGAAAATAAAAATGCTGCTTGCAATAGTAAGTTATTTTTCTATGCTGAATTGTTGTGTAAGTTTTCCGATGAAAAGATGTCAGCAAAACTGGCCATTATTTAAAAATTGAAGATTCATTTTTACTTTTCAACAGATCTTCTCTCCCACTCCCACCAGATTCTTGGAGAAGAAAGTCTAATCAATTTAAGACAAGTTTTTCTCATTAATAACACATAGTGATATAAATTTTAAATTAAAATTTTTATGCTGATTCTTCTATGTTCTTATGTTCTTCAAAAAATGTATTTTGCAGAACATGCCTAAAAAGGCAATTTGAAAAAACAATATGGATCTAAGGTACTAAAATTTCTAACATCCAGCATAGGTTCTGAAATTTAATGTGCCACTTCAAATACATGGAGCAAGGAGATGGAACAAGGTGGTGGAATAGAAGTATTCACTAACCGTCCCCCCAGCAAGTACACCAATTTAACAACTGTCTACACAGAAAAAAAAAGCCGTCATAAGAACCAAAAATTAGATGAGCACTCATAGTACCTGATTTTAACTTCATATCCCTGAAAGAGGCACTGAAGATATAGAAAAAACAGTCCTAAATCAGTGACGCCACCCCTCCCCAACCCCACCCACAGCAGCAGCCTGGTGGAAACAGCATCTCTGGGTGCATGGAGAGAAAGCACACAGCAATTATGAGGCACTGAACTCAGTGCTGTCCTGTTAGAGCAAAAAGGAAAACTGGATCAAACTCAACTAATGACTGCCAATAAAGGGAGCATTTAAACCAGCCCTAGCCGGAGAAGAATCGCTTATCCCAGAGGTCCAAACTTGAGTCCCCACAAACTTCTCTACTTAGGGCCAAAGTGCTTTCAAGTAAACTTGAAAGTCAGTCTAGGCCATAAGGAATGCAACTCTTGGTTGAGTCTTAGGGCTGAACTAGGCCCAGAGCCAGAAACCTGGGGAGGCACATGACTCACTGACACTGCTGGGCAAGCCAAGAAAGTGCTGGCATTATCCTTCCTCTAAGCTCAAGCTGCACAGCTCATGGCTCCAAAACAGACCTCTTCCTTCCACTTGAGGAGAGAAGAAGGAAGAGTGGGGAGGACTTTATGTTGGGTCTTGGAAACAGCTCAGCCTCAGCAAGGTAGGGCACCAGTCAGAATAATGAGACCCCCATTCCAGTCCATAGCTCTCAGATAACATTTCTAGACAAACCCTGGACCAGAAGAGAACTGGCTACCTTGAAGGAAAGGACCCAGTCCTGCCAGCATTTATCATCTGCTAAATGAAGAGCGCTTGGGCCCTGAATAACCCACAGCAATACCCAGATACTACATTGAAGGCCTTGGTGAGCCTCTGAGACTTATGGGCTCTATGTAAGGCTCAGCACATTTCCAGTTGTGGTGGCTATGGGGCGACACTCCTGCTTGACAAAAGCACAGGGAAAAGTAAAGAGGACTTTGTCTTGAACCTTAGGTACCAGCACAGCCACAGGGCAGTAGAGCTGGATCCCAAAGAGGCTCCTGGGGTCCCTGATTTCAGGGCTTGATGCTGGCATGGCACTTCTGGACCCGTCCTGGGCCAGAGCAGAGCTCACTGCCCTAAAGGGTGAGTCCCAGGACAGGCAGAATTCACAGCAAGCTGACATAAGAGAACTTGGGCCTTAAGGGAACATTGGCAGTATTCTGGCAGTACTCCTAATGGCCTGGGGTAGCCACGGATATGGGATGAGGTTCTTCTGCCTCTAGAAAGGAATAGCAACAGTGGAAAAAATGGCATCTCATGGTTTGAGTGCAAGATTAGATTAGCTGCAGTATAATAGAACGCCAGGTAAGCTTTTCTAAGATTTATGACTCTAGTCTCTGACTCCTGGAGGGCTCTATGGACCCACAGGGGACTTAGGAAATTCACCACTCTGAAGGGAAAAACACAAGTCTGGCTGGCTTTGCTACCTGCTGATGATGGAGCCCCAGAGCCTTGAGAAAACATAGGTAGTAGCCATGAAGTGTTTACAGAAGGCCTTGGGTGAGACCTAGAACTGTGCTAGCTTCAGGTCAAACCTAGCACAGTCATAGTGGCGGTGGCCACAAGGTTGCTTATGTCACTTCACTCCAAGCTTTATGCAGCTCACAACAAACAGAGGAATTCTGCTTGTTTAGAACAAAGTAAGAAAAGAGAACAAGAGTCTTCTTCTGGTAATCCAGAGAATTCTACTGGAGCTTGTCCAAAAACATCAAGGTGATACATCAACGAGTAAGAAAGAACCACAGCATTATTGAGCTTAGGTTTCCCATAAAGCATACACAGCTTAGATCAAAACACTGAAGTCCTCCCAAATATCTGGAAAGCCTTCCCTAGAAGAATGGCTACAAGTAATTCTAGACAGTGAAGACTAAAATGAATACCTAACTCTTAAATGTTAAGACACTGAAGAACATCTACTAGCATCAACAACATCCAGGAAAATATGACCTCACAAAATGAACTAAATATAGCACCAGGGAAAAATCCTAGGGAAACAGAGATGTATGATCTTTCAGACAGAGAATTCAAAATAGCTCTGTTGAGGAAATGAAAAGAGATTCAAGATAACCTAAAGAAGGAATTCAGAATCCTATCAGACAAAATTAACAAAGAGATAGAAATAATTTAAAAGAACCAAACAGAAATTCTGGAGCTGAAAAAATGTACTTGGCATGCTGAAGAATGTATCAAAGTCCTTTAACAGAAGAATGGATCAAGGAGAAGGAAGAATTAGTGAGCTTGAAGACAGGCTATTTGGAAATACACAATCAGAGGACACAAAAGAAAGAAGAATAAAAAGCAATGAAGCATGCTTACAGGATCTAAGAAAATAGCCTCAGAAGGGCAAGTCTAAGAGTTATTGGCCTTAAAGAGGAGGTAGAGAAAGAGAGGGGTACAAAATTTATTGAAAATGATAATAACAGAGAACTTACCAAACCCAGAGAAAGATATTAATATCCAAATACAAGAAGGTTACAGAACATCAGACTTAATGCAAAGAAGATTACCTCAAGGCATTTAATAATCAAACTCCCAAAGGTCAATGATAAAAAAAGCGTTCTAAAAGTAGCAAAAGAAAAGAAACAAATAACATACAAGGGAGCTCCAATACATCTGGCAACAGACTCATTGGAAACCTTACAGGCCAGGAGAGAGTGGCATGACATATTTAAACTGCTGAAAGAAAAAAGCTTTTACACTAGAATATTATATCTGGAAAAAATATCCTTCAGACATGAAGGAGAAATAAAGACTTTTTCAGACAAACAGAAGCTGAGGGATTTCATCAACACCAGGCCCGCCCTACAAGAAATGCTAAAGGGAGTACGTTAATCAGACAGAAAAGTACATTAATGAGCAATAAGTAGTCACCTGAGGGTACATAACTCACTGGTAATAGTAAGTACACAGAAAAACACAGAATATTATAACACTGTAACTGTGGTGTGTAAAATACTTTTGTCCTATGTAGAAAGATTACACAGTTAACCAATTAAAAATAATAATTACAACTGTTCCAGGGGGTCAATAAAGAAATTAAGAAGGAAATTGAAAAATTCTTGAAAGAAATGATACTGGAAACACAACATACTGTAACCTATCAGCTAGAACAAAAGCAGTACTTGGAGGGAAGTTTGTTGCTGTAAACGCCTACATCAATCAAGAAAAGAATTTCAAATAAACAATTTAATGATGCATCTTAAAGAAAAGCAAAAGCAAACCAAAAACAAAATTAGTAGAAGAAAAGAACTAATAAACATCAGGGCAGGAATAATTCAAATTAGAATAAAAAATAATGCAAAAGGTCAGTAAAACAAAAAGTTGGGTTAGGTTTTTTGAAAGGTAAAAGAATGGAGAAAACTGTAGCCAGAATAACAAAAAAAGGGAAGATATATGTAAAATCAGAGATAAAAAAGAAGACATTACAACTGATACTACAGAAATTCAAAGGATCATTAGTGGCTACTATGAGCAACTATATGCCAGTGAATTGGAAAATCTAGAAAAAATGGACAAATTCCTAGAAACATAAAACCTACAATGACTGAACCAGGAAAAAATGCAAAACCTGAACAGATTAATAACAAGTAATGAGTTTGAAGCTGTAATAAAAAGTCTTTTAGTAAAGAAAAGCCCAGGACCCACTGGCTTCACTGGTGAATTCTACCAAACATTAAAAGAGGAGCTAATACCAACCCTACTCAAACTTTTCCAAAAATTAAAAGTGGAGAGAGTACTTCCAAACTAATTCCACAAGGCCAGTATTACCCTGATACCAAAACAAGACAAAGAACATTGAAAAAAGAAAACTACAGACCAATATATCTGGTGATTATTGATGCAAAAGCAAATCTAATTCAACTGTATGTTATAAAGATCACTCATCATGACCAAGTGGGATTTATCCCTGATTTGCAAGGATGGTTCAACAAAAGCAAATCAATCAATCTGATACAATCCAGTGGCCCCTAACCTTTTTGGCACCAGGAACTTGTTTCTTGGAAGACAATTTTCCCATGGACCCGTGGAGGGGGATGGTTTCAGGATGATTCAAGCTCATTACATTTATTGTGCACTTTATTTCTATTATTATTACATTGTAATGTACAATGATATAATTGTACAACTCATCATAATGTAGAATCAGTGGGAGCCCTGAGCTTGTTTTCCTGAAACTAGATGGTGCCATCTGGGGGGGATGGGAGACAGTGATAGATCATAAGGCATTAGATTCTCATAAGCAGTGTGTAACCTACATCCCTCAAATGTGCAGTTCACAAAAGGGTTCGTGTTCCTGTGAGAATCTAACGGTGCTGCTGATCTGACATTAGGCGGAACCCAGGTGACAATGCAAGTGATAGGGGGTAGCTGTAAATACAGATGAAGCTTCACTTACTTACTCATCGCTCACGTCCTGCTGTACATCCCCGTTCCTAACAGGCTACGAACCATACCATGGCCTAGGAATTGGGTACCCCAGTGGTACATCATATCAAGGGAATGAAGAATAAAACTCATATAATCATTTCAGTTAATGCTGAAAATGTATTTGATAACATTGAACATCCTTTATCATGAAAACTCTCAAAAAACAGGATAGAAAGAACACACCTCAACATAATAAAGGCCATATATGATAGACCTACACTAGTATCATAATAAATAGGGAAAAACTGAAATCCTTTCCTCTACATCTGTAACAAGACAAAGATTCCCACTTTCATCACGTTTATTCAACGTAGTGCTGAAAGTTCTAGCTAGAGCAATCAGAAGAAAAAAACAAAACAAAGATATACAGGGCATCCAAACTGGAAAGGAAGAAGTCAAATTATCCTTGTTTGCAGATAATATAATCTTACATTTAGCAAAGACTTGGAACCAATCCAAATGTCCAACAATGATAGACTGGATTAAGAAAATGTGGCACATATACACCGTGGAATACTATGCAGCCATAAAAAATGATGAGTTCATGTCCTTTGTAGGGACATGGATGAAACTGGAAATCATCATTCTCAGTAAACTATCGCAAGAACTAAAAACCAAACACCGCATATTCTCACTCATAGGTGGGAATTGAACAATGAGATCACATGGACACAGGAAGAGGAATATCACACTCTGGGGACTGTTGTGGGGTGGGGGGAGGGGGGAGGGATAGCATCGGGAGATATACCTAATGCTAGATGACGAGTTAGTGGGTGCAGCGCACCAGCATGGCACATGTATACATATGTAACTAACCTGCACATTGTGCACATGTACCCTAAAACTTAAAGTATAATAATAAAAAAAAAAGAAAAGCCTAAAGATTCCAAAAGAAAACTGTTAGAACGGATAAACAATTTCAGTAAAATTGAAGAATACAAAATCAATATAAAAAATCAGAAGTGTTTCTGTATCCAAACAGAGAACAATCTGAAAAAGAAATTTAACAAGTAATTCAATTTATAATAGCCACACATAAAATTAAACACCTAGGAATTAACCAAGGAAGTAAAAGATCTCTATAATAAAGACTATAAAACACTGATGAGTGAAATTGTAGAGGACACAAAGAAATGGAAAAATATTCCATGTTCATGGATTTGAAGGATCAATATTGTTAACACGGTCCTACTATTCAAAGCAACCTACAGATTCAATGAAATTCCTATTAAAATACCAATGACATTATTCACAGAAATAAAAAAAATTATAAAATCTATGTGAAACCAAAGAAGACCCAAAATAGCCGAAGCTATCCTAAGCAAAAAGAACAAAATTGGAAGAATGATATTATCTGACTTCACATTATGCTACAGAACTATAGTAATCAAAACAGCATTGTACTGGCATAAAAACAGACAAAAAGACTAATGGAACAGAATAGAGAACCCAGAAACAAATTCACCCACCTACAGTGAGCTCATTTTTGACAAGGTGGCAGAAACATACACTGGGGAAAAGACAGCCTTTTCAATAAATGGTGCTGGGAAAACTGCACATCCATATGCAGAAGAATAAATCTAGACCAAATATCTCACGTTATACAAAAAAAAAAATCAAGTAAAAATGTATTAAACAAACATTTAAATCTAAGACCTCAAACTATGAAACTACTGCAAGAAAACATTGGGGAAAATCTCCAGGAGATTTGGTCTGGGCAAAAATGTCTTGAGCAATAATACTCCACAAACACAGGCAACAAAAGCAAGCAGGAGTAAATGGAATTACATCAACTTAAAAAGCTTCTGCACAGCAAAGGGTACAATCAACAAAATGAAGGGACAACCTACAAAATGGGAGAAAATATTTGCAAACTACCTATCTGAGAAGGGATTAATACCGATATTATATATAAGGAGCTCAAACAACTCTATAGGAAAGAAAAATCTGATTTTAAAAATGGGCAAAATATTTGAATAGACATTTCTCAAAATAAGTCATACAAATAGCAAAAACGCATATTAAAAGATGCTCAACATCATGAATCATCAGAGAAATGTAAATAAAAACTATAATGGAATATCATTTCACTCCAGTTAAAATGGCTTATATAAAAAAGAGGGGTTATAATGAATGTTGGTGAGGATGTGAAGAAAAGGGAATCCTCGTACACTGTTAGTGGAAAGGTAAATTAGGGTGGAGATATAAATACAACTACTATGGAGAAAATTTTCGGATTCCTCTAAAAACTAAAATTTGGACTACCACGTAATCCACCATTTCTACTGCTGGATATATACCTAAAAGAATGGAAATCAGTATATCAAAGAGATCTCTGCACTACTATGTTTACTGCAGCACTGTTTGTGATAGCTAAATTTGGAAGCAAAGTAAGAGTCCATCGACAGATGAATAAAGAAAGAAAACATGGTGCTTGTACACAATGGAGTACTATTCAGCATAGAAAATAATGGGATCCTATCATTTGCAACAACATGGGTGGAACTGGAGATTATTATGTTAAGTGAAATAAGCCAGGCACAGAAAGACAAACTTCACATGTTCTCACTTATTTGTAGAATCTAAAAATTAAAACAATTGAATTCATGGAGATACAGAGTAGAAGGATGGTAACCAGAGGCTGGGAATAGTAATGGGAAGTTGGGGAGTGGGCAGGAAGTTGGTGATATTTAATTGGTACAATAAATTGTTATTGAGAATAAATAAGATCTACTATTCAATAGTACAAGAGAGTGACTATACTCAATAATAAATTGTACATTTTAAAATAACTAATCACTTCTTGGCCTTTTGGCTAAGATCAAGTGTAAGATAACTAAAGTAATGTAATTGGATTTTTTGGTAACACAAAGGATAAATGCATAAATGGATAGCTATCTCATTCTCAATATTGTGATTATTTTACATTGCATGCCTGTATCAAAGCATCTCATAAATTCCATAACTATATACACCTATTATGTACCCACAAAAATTTAAAAATTTAAAAAAATACTTGAATTGGCTCTCACTCTGTTCTTAACATTTGCTACAAAAGTAAATCTTAAGTGTCCTCAATGCATAGACACACACACACATACAGACACACACAATGTGCAACTATATGTGGTGATGAATGTATTGATTAATTTGTGGTAATTATTACCCAATGAATACATATATCAAATCATAACATTGTACAACTCAAATATATACAATTTTTAATGTCAATTGTACCTCAGTAAAGTTGGACAAAATAAAATAAAATACTTTGGAACGTTTGAATTATTTCTAAAATAAAATAAGATATATATTCTCAGAGAATGAATCAAACAAGACTCAAACAAAAATAACATATATGGAAATTTCTTTCATCATTTTTGTGAAGATATTGAAAATTGTAAAGCACTAAAATGATTGACATACTATAATGAATATTTTTCACACATATATGACAACCTGATAGCAAAGTGCAAAAACAACAACTAGCACAAAACTATTCTGAAAACCAAGATATGATTATGAGTAACAAGGAGAGGAAACTAAGTTAGATTTTGGTATCTCAGTATAAACGTTATACTAAGTATTTCACCATTTATCTTTCAAAGGTATTGCTTCTGTCTGCTCTGCCACACAGTTTACTGTCCCTGAAGGTTGAGTCATTCAGAGCTCACATGAACTTGTACTCAATTCCAATGAAGTGAAGGTACATGTTTATTGGAGATGGAAAAAGACTACTTAACAAGTATTTCATCATTTTCTACAGTCTGACTTAGTTTTCATTGAAAATCTAATGAATATATTCAAGCTCCAGGGGAAACCACAGCCAGCCAAGCAAATAGTAGATTTGAGTAAGAATCAGAGTTATTGCCTGTCTCACCTCTCAGCATGGGATGAACAGTTCAGAGCATTTTCATTTTCCTGTTTCAAAAAGCCTATCTTCTAGTAAATGAAAAAAAAATATCTCACCTAACTGATTTTGCATTTGCCCTTTGTTTTTGCATTGGCCTCTATTTTACATTTTTATTTGACATTTATTAGACCAAATTTTCTTATATAACTATTCAAATGTATAAGACAGAATTGACTACAGAGTTTTGTGATTATGGCTTCAACTAGGCTTTGCTCGAGGATATAAAATTATCCTTGTTTTCTTTTTTGTTTTTTTTTTTGTTAATCCTACAGTGTTTCCTATGGTGTACAGAGGGTTCATGCACTGTGTAGTGAGCCAATTTGAATCACACCATGACTCTGTTTTCTAGAACTAGGCCAAAGATGGTCATGACATAGAACTGTATGTCCAAGCAGTCTCAAAATAAAGAATTGAAATCTAGACCTTAGGATTATCTTTATAGAGTGTCAGATATCCCGATGAAAATGGAAAATTGCAGTCAACTATGCATTCACTTGAAAAATTCCTGGATTTTTATCAAATGCTTTGTACATTTGAGACACTTAATATTATGTAGACTGGCAGGTAATTGTTGATCCAGTGCCATCTTGATTATTATTTTTATCTAAAACTGTTTTGGTATTAATACTTCTGTTCCTAGAATTATGTTTAAAATGTATCTTTGTAGCATAGCAGGTCAGTGGAGAAGGGGTAATTTTGATAAAAGTCCCACCTTTCCCCATTATAGTAAAAGCTCACATGCATTCTATGTAATTTTGACCTTGGTAAGATTCTTTAACTGTTTTCTTTCCAGTAATCCATATTCATAAATAAATGCATCTACTGCAGTGAAAATAATATTTCCAATTGTGGCAATAATAGAATGAAGTAGGCTGGACATATCAGGAAATTGTGTGCAGGCATGGAGTGAGGATGAGGTGAGGGATGAACAGAAAGGTGGAAATCCAGTTTGACTAGAAGAGTTTGACAGATTATAAGAAGCTTGGATCAGAAGATTCCAGAAGTTGGATGGAGTCATAGGTGAAGGATAAACTTGTGATCATAAGATTAATAAAGGCAATAAGAGAGAAGTCAGTCATCTCTTATTTCCCATAAACATATATTTCAGAGTGGAGTGTACAAAAAATGGGTTTTGAAAGTAGACCAGGTTAAGTTTATTACATGTATGACAGTAATACCTAGTCTGTGGTGCAGAAAGCAAGGATCCTAAGGGAATATGCAAAGACCTGATCTTTATTCTCAGCCACTGCTATATGGTATTTACCCAGGGAAGACTCTCAAACTCCCTTGTTTTGCTCAGTCTATAATAATAGATGTGGCAGCTCTGCCTTCCAGACTTAACTGGGTCGGCAAGGTCACTTCCATGAGACCCTGGGTTGCAGCCATGTCTCTGAACCACTGGCACATGGCAGTCTGCCTGATGGAACAGATAAGGGAGCCCTGTCCTCTGAAACTCTGGAAAAGACAGCTTCAACCACTGAGCTTGTGCCCTCTGGGCCTGTAGTGGAAGTAGCAGCCCTTCTAGTCTTCTAGCCACTTTTGAGGTCTTTCTTCTGCCTGGAAGGATAGCACATGCTTGCAACTGGATAGCTGTATCAGCCCATCCTGTAGAATCTCAGACGTCCTACAGTCTTTCTTTATGTTGTCCTTTCTTTGTTTCCCTTAGTCTCAGCTGGCCCTGTTTCTGCTGATATAACCACATTTTTATTCCTGCTTCTGCTAAAATGGCTAACACCATAATTTCTTTATTGAGTCGTTGTCCAGTCCCACCCTTAGTGTTCTCTCCAGAACATATTTTCTCAATTTTTTGCAATATGAGTAGGCTAAGAATTCATTTTCAAGTTCTGATGCCTTTTTGTTTAACAATTTCTCTCTCAATTTATCTCTCTGCTTTTGCATTTTGCTACAAGCAACAAGAATAAACTAGACTGTATTTTCAACACTTTGCTTAGAAATCTTAGGTAAAAGAATCAAGTTTGTCACTTACAGTTTCTACTTTCCACAAACACTAGAACACAATTCAGCCAAGTTATTTACCACTTCATAACAATGAGACTACCTTTCTTCTAGTTTCAATAGCAAGTTCTACATTTCTGTCTGAGACCTCAAGAGAATCACTATTCACAGTCTAAAACAATCTAGGTGTTTTATTAACACGCTTCTCAAAACTCTCCTGCTTCTATCCATTACCCTGTTTGAAAGCTAATTCCGCATTTTTAGAAATCTGTTAGAGGAGCACCCCACTTTTTAGTATCAAAGCCTGTATTATATGGGGTTCTTCATAGAAACAAAACCAACAGGAGATGCTCATTACAATAACATTGAAGAGGCTCTTCAAATAGAGATTTATTTTAAGGAATTGGCTTTTATGATTGGGAAGGTGTAAATCCAATATCTACAAGATAGGCCAGCAGGCTAGGGACTTAAGGAGGAGATGCAGTACAAGTTCAAAGGCAATCTTCTGGCAGAATTCTTTCTTGCTTGAGGAAAGTCAGTCATTCTTTTGTTAACTGACTGGATGAAGCTTACCTACATTATGGTGGGAAATCTGCTTTACTCAAAGTCTACTGATTTAAATGTTAATGTTAACCGTAAAATAACGTCACAGAAACATTCTGGCTACCTCTTGAGCAAATCTCTAGACACAGTGGCTCAGCCAAATTGACACATAAAACTGTCACAGTCCCCCCAAAGAAAACTCGTGTCCACCTAAAATTTCAGGATGTAAATTTATTTGTAAGTTGAGTCTTTGCACATGTAATTAGTGAAGTCAAAATAAGGCCCTACTAGAGTAGAGTAGGCCCTAAACTTATTATGACTGGTATCCTTGTTAGAAGAAGGGAGGACACACAGACACACAGGGGAAAAAAGTCACATGACAACAGAGGCAGAGGTGGGATTGATGCAGTTACAAACCAGTGAATACCAAAGATTGCCAGCAATCACCAGAAACTAGGCAGAGGCAAGGAAAGATCCCCCCTTAGATCATTCAGAGAAAGGCACTGCCAACATCTTGATTTTAGACTTCTAGCCTCCAGAACTGTGAAAGAACAAATATCTACTATTTTAAACCACTAAGTGTGTGGTAATTTATTACAGGAGCCCTGGGGAAGTAATGCACATACCTATGCTTTGTATTTTCTTGTCATTTTCTGGGGCTAGGGAAAATTATCTATATTGGCCCCCAAAGTGTCGTAGAGACAACGTAACACCAATTCCTGATTGTGGCTTATGTTTGGGAAATCATATTCCTAAAAACTGGGATCTTCTGTCACTTTTCACTTAAAATATAACAGGCAAGCCTATTATTAGGATTTATCAAAAGGTTAAAACCATGAGGTCATACTCTTTGGTGGCTGTCTGTGGAAACTGAGAAAGTGCCAATGTAAACTTGCATCTCTTCTCTCCAAGCTAAGAATAATAAAATAAAAGCTTTGTCTTGAGTTAAAAAATAAGGACATAGGCATGGGCAAGGACTTCATGTCTAAAACACCAAAAGCAATGGCAACAAAAGCCAAAATTGACAAATGGGATCTAATTAAACTAAAGAGCTTCTGCACAGCAAAAGAAACTACCATCAGAGTGAACAGGCAACCTACAAAATGGGAGAAAATTTTCACAACCTACTCATCTGACAAAGGGCTAATATCCAGAATCTACAGTGAACTCAAACAAATTTACAAGAAAAAACAAACAACCCCATCAAAAAGTGGGCAAAGGACATGAACAGACACTTCTCAAAAGAAGACATTTATGCAGCCATAAAACACATGAAAAAATGCTCACCATCACTGGCCATCAGAGAAATGCAAATCAAAACCACAATGAGATACCATCTCACACCAGTTAGAATGGCAATCATTAAAAAGTCAGGAAACAACAGGTGCTGGAGAGGATGTGGAGAAATAGGAACACTTTTACACTGTTGGTGGGACTGTAAACTAGTTCAACCATTGTGGAAGTCAGTGTGGCAATTCCTCAGGGATCTAGAACTAGAAATACCATTTGACCCAGCCATCCCATTACTGGGTATATACCCAAAGGATTATAAATCATGCTGCTATAAAGACACATGCACACGTATGTTTATTGCAGTACTATTAACAATAGCAAAGACTTGGAACCAACCCAAATGTCCAACAATGATAGACTGGATTAAGAAAATGTGGCACATATACACCATGGAATACTATGCAGCCATAAAAAATGATGAGGTCATGTCCTTTGTAGGGACATGGATGAAATTGGAAATCATCATTCTCAGTAAACTATCGCAAGGACAAAAAACCAAACGCCGCTTATTCTCACTCACAGGTAGGAATTGAACAATGAGAACACATTGACACAGGAAGGGGAACATCACACTCTGGGGACTGTTGTGTGGTGGGGGGAGGGAGGAGGGAGAGCATTAGGAGATATACCTAATGCTAAATGACAAGTTAATGGGTGCAGCGCACCAGCATGGCACATGTATACATATGTAACTAACCTGCACATTGTGCACATGTGCCCTAAAACTTAAAGTATAATAATAATAAAATAAAAAAATAGAGGTAGTGAATAAAAAAAATGTGGGGCATTAATTGCATTTAGAATTTCTGACTTCTTGAATTAAAAATGAAATGATATACCTTTCCAAAAGGTATAGATCAAGAGCAAAATGTAAAAAGAAAACTTAGCCTGAGGCATAGGCATGAGGTAGAATATTGGCAAATATTCGTTAATTTTCAGAAAAAAAATAATCATGTGAGCTTGGCCTTTGGGTTTGTGTGACTGTTATGAATATATCTGTGGGTGTGTGTAATAAGGATATCAAATAAAAGTTATATGATATCAGGGAAACAGTTAATGTTGACATGTATTATAAATACTGGCAAACAAGCAAACTGAGAAGAAAAAATGAAATTGTGATTTGGCTTGATTAAAAGTGTTGGTAATTATAGTCATTTATTTGAAGTGTTTACTATTTATGTCTAATTGTCATGCAGTTCAACAATGATTATGCATATAATTAAATATATGCCTTAGGATTAACTTTATAATATATTGTGGTTGGTTATGGCACCCAATTCCATAGTGTATATTCCAATCTTCATAGTTTATATCTCTGGTTATGTATTTACAAATTAGAAAAAGAAGAAAGGGAAAAACAGAGGATAGAAATATGGTTTTATGAGCCTGGCTGAATACTGATTGAAGAGATCTGGGAGATTCATATTTTCCGGCAGAGAAAGGCAGAGCACTGGAGGTGCCAATTTTATCAGAGGTAAAGGGCTAGGCTTTGCAAATACTTCTCAGACCTCAGTTTGGTAAGCTGACTCAGTAAATACCAAGAATGACAGCACCACAATGGAGTAGTGAGACACTAAATAAATACCTCAATTACTTGACTTTCTCTGTACTCCCAACCCAATTCTGCTATTAGTTGCAGGGCTAGTCCTATTAATATCCAGCAAACTCCTCATAGGTCAATCTCAAGACTGAAATGGATTAACTAGTTTGGTTGATCTCTGAAAAGAAATCTACTGACTCTAAGAAGTTCTAAATAAGTTTTCAAAGGAAAAAAATGCAGCTAAAGCTCTATCTAGTTTGCATTATTTGTTGTCAGTGGTGACAGGTAGTTGCTGAGTTCTCTCAGATGGTTTCATATGATAACCAAAAATGCTATCATCTAAAATTACAATGGATTTCACCAGTGACTGTCATCTTCCTTCAGGAATCATTGTCATTGCCCAGGTAATGGTTCAGAGAGATGTGAGCCTATGCATTAAATCATGGGTAACCTTTCTACTCATAAACATTCAACCCCAATAATGACAGGTAAGCACTCAGCTGTTTTCCATTCAGAAGACTATAACACCATCATACTTCACTTGATTAAATAGCTAAGCCTAGGTTCCCATTATACAGAATATCCTAGTTATTGTACCCCTTCAAGCAGTATCCATTTTGAATTACATTAAATTAAACAATAATAATTTTAGAATTTTGAAAATACCATTTTTATTTTTCCTCTTTTCTGACACCTTCTTGTACTCCAATTAATTTGTCTAGCCCCTAGGTTTATTTGAAACATCACTTCAAGGTACCAAATACATGCTGTTGATAGTCAATCTACAAAGAAAGACTGGCAGTGCGAGCCAGAATGTGTTAAAAATGTGGTAATGCAGGTAATTCTCTACATTATCCAGGTGATGTTGTAAACCTATTTATATAATTATAAAAATCTTAAAAGCAATGGGACTAATCTAAATTTTTAACGATGGAGAATTATTAAAGAACATTCTTCGACTCCACTCTTTGGAAATCCACTCACATACGGGCAGTACTATTAAGACCTTAGCTCTCTGGGTATAATTTAATTTTATCAAATTAAATCATGTAATAAGGAATAACTGAATTTAATAGCGATAAGTTCGCATCTGCAGTATTTCAGTTGAATATTAAACTATTTCTAAGTAGAGTCCCCTGTAATTTTTGTTTCAGGAATGATTCCAAAGAGCTCAGATTTTTCTGTGCAATGTCTATGCCAAAAGAAGAAAGAATAAAAAGCTTCTATTTGCCAAGAATATTCTGAAGATTTTCCCAGAACTGTAAAAGCAAGAATTAACAGTTCATTTGCAAATAGTGCTCTGAGATATCTCAACGACATAAATGTACTCTTTTGGTCTGTGTTCTCCAAGGAGTATAGCTTAAATTTTTTTCCTACAACACTTCCTACACCTGCCACACGCTGTTTCTTCAAATGAAAAATGTGCTAAAATCACAGGGCTTGCTTATTGGATCAGCCTGCAGCTTCCAAAGAAATTGACCAAGACTCCTGGATAATGAGAACTGTTAATTACCTGCAAAGATCTGGGATATGTGTTCATTACAGAAATTAATTTACTACATAACAAAGACTGACTGTTCATTCTAAGGAAGCCAAAAAGGGTTGTTTTAAACAGGTCTTACTGGGATATTTGATTCAGCAGTAAAGCTATAACTCTAGAAACATGAATGGGAAGAGATGGGAATAAACAACCCAAAATTAGTACAATTCAAGAAAAGATGACTGTTGAGACATTAACATTAGTAGGAAAAGGCAACTGATTCATAGATTCATTGACCCAACTTGACTATGAAAGCATTGTTGCACTTGGTCTTTTTCACCATCTATTGAACAAATATATGCCATATAGTTTAGTGCGCACTGGAAGTATCATAAATATTTCTGGACTTCTGTTGATTACTTTTTACTATATTGAGCTAGCTTCCAAGGAGAGTAGAGAGTTGCAGGTGCTAATTGGATATTAATTAGGCAATGGTAATTTGCTCTACAGGTATTAAAATTTGTAATTTAATGTTATTTGTAACAAAAAGTGAAGTGCACTGGCTTAAATTTGGGGAGGGAAAAGGGAATAAGAATATGTTTTACCTATGATGTATTCTGAATTCAGTGTGTTAACTGCCTCATCACTTGCTTAAGTGATGTTATGGTTAATAAACTTGGACAGGTGTGTGACATTAAAATCAAGATTAACATAACATCAAACTCCATAGTAGCATAAAATGACTAGTGTCTACTATAGATAAATGTTTTAATGAAAGAAGCTGGAAATATTCCAGGTCATAATGCAGTTGCATTCAAAATACAGATCAAATGTCACCTCCTCTGTGAACAAAGGCTTTCTTGCAGTCTTCCTTCAAAATGGGTGAATAACAGTAGGTAACATTTATACTTTGTTCATACACATATGTTTAGACTTAGTACACTGTAATTAAAATATCCTTTTGCCTCTGCTTCTTTCCAATTAGGTTCCATTTTACTCAACTTTATATCCTAATACCAAGCACAATACCTGGCCTATAGTACAAACTCAATACAAATTTGGTGAATCTCAGCTAGGAATTTCTGGGTCATATGATGGTACTATGTTTACATTTTTGAGAAACCGCCAAACCATTTTCCACAGTGGCTGCAACATTTTACATTCCTTATAGCAATGTACAAGGGTATCAATTTGTCTACATCCTTGCCAATAATTTTTATTTCTGTTTTTTTCAGATAATGGTTACAAAGTGGTATCTATCTCATTCTGGTTTTGATTTATTATTCTCTGATAAACAGTGATGACAAACATATTTCCATGGACTAATTGACCATTTCTATGTCATCTTTGAAAAATATCTATTCAAATCCTTTGTCCATATTTGAATTGGGTTGGTTGCTGCTGTTGTTCTTCAGTTGTAGGAACTCCTAATATATTATGGATATTAATTTTGTATCAGAAATATGAATTACACACATTTTCCCTTTCTGTGTGTTGTCTTTTCACCCTGTCCCTGTGTCCTTGGATACAAAAAAAATTTAATGTTGATAAAATCGAACTTATTTACTTTTTCTTTTGTTGCCTGTACTTTTGAGGTCATATCCAATAAATTATGGTCAAATTCAGTGTCCTAAAGCTTTCCCCCTATCTTTTAGGTACATTCACATTATTGTGCGGCCATCATTATAATCCATTTCAAGAACTTTTTCAGCTTTCTAAACAGAAATTCTACGCCCAGTAAACAGTAACCACATTCCTCTCTTCCCACAGATGTTGAAGCCACTTTTCTACTATTCAGAGTTATTTGAGATTCCATATGAGTTTTAGAATGAGTTTTTGTATTTTGTCAAGAAGAAGAAAACATATAATTGGGATTTTAAGAGAGATTTCATTGAATCTCTATATCTCTTTGGGTAGTATTGCCATCTTAAGAACATTGAGTCTTACAATCTATGAATGCAGAGCATCACTTAATTTATTTTTGTCTTCTTTAATTCATGTGTCTTGTGACTGAGTTTAATTCACTTAAATTTAAAGTAATTATTCATAAAGAAGGGTATACTTTTGATACTGTTGTTTTTTTGTATGTCTCATACATTTCTAGTTCCTCATTTCCCCCATTACTACCTACTTTTAATCTTTTTTCTGTAGTTACACATTTTGATTCCCTTCTCACTCCCTTTTGTGTATATGTGATGGATATTTTCATTGGGTAAAAGTGAAAATACATGCAACATTGTAAATTTAAAAAAATTATAATCTGAATTGATACCAACTTCAATTGCATACCAAAATTATCCTATACAGCTCTGTTACCTCTCCCCACGTTATGTCATTGATGTCAATAACTAAATCTCTCTATATTGTTTACCCACTAACCTAGAATAATTAATTCATGTGTTTTTATTTTATATACTGTAGAACATAAAAAATGCAGTTATAAAACAAAATTATAAAGATACTGGCTTTAATATGCTCATTTATTCTTTACTATAGACCCTTATATATTATCCAGCTTCAAGTTATTGTCCAGTATGCTTTTATTTCAACCTGTAAGGACTTCCTTTAGAATTTCTGTGAGGGCACATCTAATGTACTCCTTCAGCTTTTGTTGATCTGGGGATGTCTTAATTTCTTCCTTATATTTGAAGAATAAATTTGTTGGATATAGAATTCTCAGTTGAAAGTTTTCTGTGTTTTTGTGTGTTTGTTGCGGTTGTTTTGCTTTTAGCATCTTAAATATATCTTCTTACTGCTTTCTTGCCTCCAAGGTTTCTGCTGAGTAATTGGATGATAAACTTATTGAAGATTTCTTATATATTCTACATTATGAGTTTTCTCTCTGTTACTGCTTTTAAGAATCTCCTTGTCTCTGGCTTCTGACAGTTTGACTATCCTATTTCTCAGTATATAACTCCTTTTGTAATTTTTACTTTTAAAGTTTGTGGTTACATAGTAGGTGTATATATTTATAGTATACACGAGGTATTTGGATACAGTCATGAAATGTGTAATAACCACATCATCAAAATCGGTTATTCATTCCCTCAAGCATTTACCCTTTGTGTTACAAAAAATCCAGTTATAATCATTGGTTATTCTTTTAGGTATAAATAAATTATTTTGACTATAGTCACCCTGCCATGCTATCAAATACCAGGTCTTATTCATTATTTCTATTTTGTACCAATTATCCTTCCCTACTACCCAACTCCACCCCTGATTACCCTTCCCAGCCCCTGGTAACCATCCTTCTACTCTCTGTCTCCATGAGTTAAATTATTTTGATTTTTAAATTCCACAAATAACTGAGAACATGTGAAGTTTGTCTTTCTATGCCTGACTTATTTCATCTAACATAATGACCTCCAGTTCCATCCATCTTGTTCCAAATGACTGAATCTCATTCTTTTTTATGGCTGAATAGCACTCCATTGTGTATAAGTACTACTTTTTTTTTTTTTTTTGAGAGAGAGAGAGAGTCTTGCTCTGTCACCGAGGCTGGAATGTAGTGGCAAAATCTTGGCTCACTGCAACCTCTGCCTCCCAGGTTCAAATGATTCGCCTGCCTCAGCCTCCTGAGTAGTTGGGATTACAGGCATGCACCCCCATGCCAAACTAATTTTTTTACTTTTAGTAGAGATACGGTTCCACCATGGTGGCCAGGCTGGTCTTGAACTCCTGGCCTCACATGATCTGCCTGCTTCAGCCTCCTAAAGTGCTGGAATTACAAACCTGAGCTACCATGCCCAGCCAGTACCACATTTTCTTTATCCATTTATCTGTAGGTAGACACTTAGGCTGCTTCCAAACCTTGACTATTGTGACTAGCACTTCAACAAACACGAGAGTGACATGAGAATGCAGATTTCCCTTCTTTTGCATATATACTCAGCATTGGGATTGATGAATTGTCTAATAGATCTATTTTCTGTTTTTTGAAGAATCTCTAAACTATCCTATATAGTGGTTGTACTAGTTTACATTGCCACTCTATAGTCTATTTTCACACTGCTATAAAGAACTAACTGAGACTGGGTAATTTATAAAGAAAAGAGATTTAATTGACTCACCATTCTGCATGACTGGGGAGGCCTCAGGAAACTTACAATCATGGCAGAAGGTGAAGGGGAAGGAAGGCACGCCTTACATGGTAGCAGAAGAAAGAAAGAGAGAAGGAAGACGTTCCACACTTTTAAACCATCAGATCTGGTGAGAATTCCCTCACTATCAGGAGAACAGCAAGGGGAAAGTCTGCCCTCAGGATTCAATCACCTCCATCCAGGCCCCTCCACCAACATGTGGGGATAACAATTTGAGATGAGATTTGGATGGGGACACAGAGTCAAACGATAACATTCTGCCCCAGCTCCCCCCAAATCTCATGTCCTTCTGACATTTCAAAACACAATCATGCCTTCCTAATAGTCCACAAGGTCTTAACTCATTTAAGCATCAACCCAAAAGTCCAAGTCCAAAATGTTATCTGAGATGAGGCAAATCCCCTCTGCCTATGAGCCTGTAAAATCAAAAACAAGTTAGTAACTTCCAAAATACAATGAGGTTACAGATATTGGGTAAATACATCCATTTCAAGTGGAAGAAATTGTGCAAAACAAAGGGGCTACAAGCCCCATGCAAGTCCAAAACCCAGCTGGGCAGTCATCAAATCTTATAGTTCCAAAATAATCTCATTTGACTCCATGTCTTAAATCCAGACCACACTGATGCAAGGGGTCAGCTCTCAAAGGCATGGGCAGCTCCACCCCTGTGGCTCTGTAGGGCACATCCCCTTTGACTACTTTCACAGGTTGGTATTGTGTGCCTGTGGCTTTTCCAGGTGCATCGTGCAAGCTGTTGGTGGATCTACAATTCTGGGGTCTAGAGGACAGTGACCCTCTTTTCACAGCTCCACTGGGCAGTGCCCAGAGGGAACTCTGTGTGAAACTCTGTAGGAAACCCTACATTTTCCCTCCATACTGCCCTAGTAGAGTTTTCCATAAGGGCTCTGTCCCTGGAGCTGACTTCTGCCTGGACATACATGTGTCTCTATACATCCTCTGAAATCTAGGTGGAGGTTCCCAAACTTTTGCCTTCTGCAAACCCACAGGCTGAACACCATGTTGAAGTCACCAAAGTTTGGGTCTTGCACCCTCTGAAGCAATGGTCTGAGCTGTATCTTGCCATGTATTAGCCATGGCTGGAGCTGGAGCAGCTGGGACACAGGACTCCATGTCCTGAGCCTGCACAGAGCAGTGGAGCACTGGGCCTGGCCCATGAAACCATTTTTCTCTCCCAGGCCTCCAGGCATGTGATGGGAGGGTCTGGTACAAAGGTCTCTGACATGCTCTGAAGATATTTTTCCCATTTTCTTGTCTATTAACTTTTGGTTTCTTTTTACCTATGCAAATCTCTGAAGTTGGCTTGAGTTTCTCCCCAGAAAATGGGTTTTTCCTTTCTACTACATGGTCAGGCTGCAAGTTTTCCAAACTTTTATGCTATGCTTCCCTTGTAAACATAAGTTCCAATTTTAGACCATCTCTCTTTGCTAAAGCATAACAGGAGTGACATTTACTCCAGTTTCTATTAAGTCCCTCATCTCCATCTAAGAGTACCTCAGCCTGGACTTCATTGTCCATATCACTATCAGCATTTTGGTCAAAACCATACAACAAATCTCTAAGAAATTCCAAACTTTCCCACATCTGTCTGCCTTCTTTTGAGCCTTTCAAACCATTCCAAACTCTGCTTAATACCCAATTCCAAAGTCACTTCCACATTTTCAGGTATCTTTATACTAGTACCCCACTCTAGGTACCAATTTTTTGTGTTAGTCCATTTTCACACTGCTATGAAGAACTACTTAACACTGAGTCATTTATTTTTAAAAAGAGGTTTAATTGGCTTACAGTTCTGCATGGCTTGGGAAGCCTCAGGAAACTTAAAATCAAGGCAGAAGGTGAAGGAGAAGCAAGCACATTCTTCATAGGGTGGCAGAAGAGTGAAAGCATGAAGGAGGAAGTACTATACTTTTAAACTATCAAATCTCGTGAGAACTCACTCATTATCATGATAAAAGCAAGGGGTAAGTCAAACCCAAGAATTCAGTCATGTCCCATGGGCCCCACCACCAACACATAGGGGTTACAATTCAAGGTAAGATTTGGGTGTGATACAGAACCATTCCCGCTTTCCCACCTCACACACCCATTAACCCTCCTAGCCTCTGGTAGCCATTCTTCTACTCTGTTTCCATGAGTTCAATTGTTTTGATTGTTAAATCTCACAAATAAATGAAAACATGTGAAATTTGCCTTTCTATGCCTGGCTTATTTCACTTAACATAAAGATGTCTAGTTCCAAACATGTTGTTGCAAATGACTGAATCTCATTCTTTTTATGGCTAAATAGTACTCCATTGTGTATAAGTACCACATTTTCATTATCCATTCATCTGCTGACAGACACTTAGGTTGCTTCCAAACCTTGGCTATTGTGAACAGTGCTGCAACAAACATGGGAGTACAGATATCTCTTTGATATATGAATTTATTTTATTTTAAATATATAATCAACAATGAAGGAATCACACTACCTGACTTCTACGTATATTACAAGGCTACAGTAACCAAAACAGCATGGCACTGGTACCAAAACAGACATATCGACCAATGGAACAGAACAGAGACCTCAGAAATAACACCACACATCTACAACCAACTGATCTTCAACAAGCTGGACAAAAACATGCAATGGGGAAATGATTTCGTAGTTAATAAATGGTGCTGGGAAAACTGGCTAGCCATATACAGAAAACTGAAACTGGACCCCTTCCTTACACCTTATACAAAAATTAACTCAAGATGGATTAAAGGCTTAAATGTAAAACCAAAAACCATAAAATGTCTTGAGGAAAACCGAGGCAATACCATTCAGGACATAGGCATAGACAAAGACTTCATGATGAAAACACCAAAATCAATTGCAACAAAAGCCAAAATTGACAGGGGATCTAATTAAACTAAAGAGCTTCTGCACAGTAAAAAAAAAAAAAAAAAAAAAAAAAAAAAAAAGACTATCATCAGAATGAACAGGCAACCTACAGAATGGGAGAAAATTTTTGCAGTCTACCCATCTGACAAAGGTCTAATATCTAGAATCTACGAGGACCTTAAACAAATTTACAAGAAAAAAAATCAAACAACCCCATCAAAAAGTGGGCAAAGGATATGAACAGACACTTGTCAAAAGAAAACATTTATGTGGCCAACAAACATATGAAAAAAGCTCCACATAACTGATCATTAGAGAAATGCGAATCAAAACCACAATGAGATACAATCTCATGCCAGTCAGAATGGTGATTATTAAAAAGTCAAGAAAAAAATAGAAGCTAGCAAGGTGGTGGAGAAATAGCATTTACACTGTAAATGCTGTCCCCTCAGCATTTTACACTGTAAATGCTGTCCCCTCAGCATTTTACACTGTAAATGCTGTCCCCTCAGCATTTACACTGTTGATGGGAATACAATTTGGTTCAACCACTGTGAAAGACAGTTGGCGATTTCTCAAAGATCTAGAACCAGAAATACCATTTGACCCAGCAATCGCAATACTGGGTATATGCCCAAAGGAATACAAGTTATTATCCAATAAAGACAAATGTACACGTATGTTTATTACAACACTATTTACAATAGCAAAGACATAGAACCAACCCAAATGCCGATCAATGATAGACTGGATATAAAAAAATGTGGTACATATACACCATGGAATACTATGCAGCCATAGAAAGGAATGAGATCATGTTCTTTGCAGGGACATGGATGAAGCTGGAAGCCATCATCCTCAGCAAACTAACACAGGAACAGAAAACAAACACTGCATGGTCTCACTCATAAGTGGGAGTTGAACAATGAGAATACATGGTCACAGGAAGGGAAACAACACACACTGGGGCCAGTCGTGGGGTGGGAGGTGAGGGGAGGGAGAGCACTAGGACAAACAGCTAATGCATGCAGCGCTTAAAACCTAGATGACAGGCTGATAGGTTCAGCAAACCACCATGGCACCTGTATACCTATGTGATAAACCTACACATTTTGCACTTGTAGCCCAGAACTTAAAGTAAAATTTGTATATAAATATATATGCAGCAGTAAGATTGCTGGATTGTATAACAGATCTATTTTCAGTTTTTTTAAGGAACTTCCAAACTGTTCTCCATAGTGACTGTACTAATTTACATTCCCACCAACAGTGTACAAGGGTTCTCTTTTTTCCACATCCTCACTGCCATCTGTTCTTGTCTGTCTTTTGAATATAAGCCATTTTAACTGGCCTAAAATGATATCTCATTGTAGTTATGATTTTCATTTCTCTAATGACCCTCGATGTTGAGCATTTTTTTTATATCCTGTTCGCCATTTGTATGTCTTCCTTTGAGAAATGTCTATTCAAACCTTTTACTCAAGTTTTTTCTTCGATTATTTGCTTTTCTCCTATAGAGTTGTTTGAGTTCCTCATACTTTATAGTTATTCATGCCTTGTCAGATGGGTAGTTTGCAAATATTTTCTCACATTTTGTGCGTTGTCTCTACTTTGATGACTGTTTCCTTTGCTGTGCAGAAGCTTTTTAACTTGATGTAATCCCATTCGTCCCTTTTTGCTTTGGTTGCTTGTGCTTGTAGGGTATTTTTCAATAAATTTTTGCCTGCACCAATGTGCTGGAGAGTTTTGCCAATGTTTTGTTATAGTAGTTTTGTAGTTTGTTGTATTAGATTTATGTCTTTAATTCATTTTGATTTGATTTTTATATGGTGAGAGCTAAAGATCAAATTTAATTCCTCTGCATGTGGCTATCCAGTTTTCTCAGCACCATTTATTGAAGCAACTGTCTTATCGTGTGTATATTCTTGACAACTTGGTAAAAAAAATGAGTTCACTTTAGATTTATGGATTTCTCCCTGGGTTCTCTACACTCTTCCATTGGCTTATGTGTCTGTTTTTAAGCCGGTACCGTGCTCTTTTGGTTACTATAGCTCTGTGGTATAATTTGAAGTCGGGTAATGTGATTCCTCCACTTCTCTTCTTTTGCTTGATATAGCTTTGGGTATTCTGGTTCTTTTGGGGTTTCATATAAATTTTAGGATTGTTTGTCTATTTCTATAAAAAATGTCTTTTGTACTCTGACAGGGGCTGCATTGAATCTGCAGTTGGATTTCGGTAGTATAGACACTTTAACAATATTGAATATTCCAATTCTTTAACATGGATTATTTTTCCATTATTTGTGTCATCTTCAATTTCTTTTCTCAGTGTTTTATAGTTTTCATTGTAGAGATTTTTGACTTATTTCATTAAGTTAATTTCTAGGTATTTAATTTTATGTGTAGCTATTGTAAATGCGATTACTTTTTTATTTCTTTTTCAGACTGCTCACTGTTGGCATATAGAAATGCTACTAATTTTTTATGTTGATTTTGTATCCTGCAAATTTACTGAATTTATCAGTTCTGATAGTCTTATAGTGGAGTCTTTAGGTTTTCCTAAATATAAGATTATATCATCTGCAAAAAAGGATAACTTGACTTCTTCCTTTTCAACTTGGATGCCCTTTGTTTTTTTCCTTTTGTCTAATTGCTCTGGCTAGGACTTAATTATTGTCTGCTTTCAAAATGTTAGATGAAACAGCTATTCTTAGCATGGCACAGGGATCACAATAGTTACACTGCTGACGTAGATTAATGGCACAATTATTAGCCAATAGTGCTTGGCAATTAGCGTGGAGCATGGGATGCCTAATCTGCCAATGGAGTCATAGAACAGCCTATCAGGGGATTTGTGAAGACAAAACAGAGACTTTCAATAAAGTCCAGAAACTAAGTGCGCATTTTCTTCTCTTACCTCACCTTTCAATGATTCTCCTATATTCAACCAATATAAAAACTAAGAATGGAGCGTACTTGATTGTGTTATAGGATCATCAAGGGCTGATATTTTTTAATGGTTGAATTTGAAAAAACCTTAAAGACAATGTTTTTAGCAGTATAATTTTTACCTATTCTATAAATATTTGTTGAATAAATGAATATTTTTCCTATCTATCAACTGCCACTATGCTAAATATAAAGCAGGTTTATTTTCAAAATAATTAGAAAGTTGAGAGAAGACTCATACCTTCTTTATCTGATTTCTTGTGTCTTGACTTCCAAGAAAACTTCAGTTCAACTGAAATATATTTATACAGATGTATGTACATATAATGTGTATGTATATATGCAATATGTTTTGAAATATGTGTACATTTAATTTTTAAAGAAGAATCCATGTGATTTATATGAATTTTGAATTTGATGGCATTTCTTTAGACATTGGCTATTATATGTCTCTATAATTGCGGAAAACAACAGCAGCTACTCTGATATGGTGGTGGTGTTTTTTTCGTTTGTTTGTTTCTTATTTTTAAACTTCCATATTCCTTTTCTGGTATGTTACAGTGTTATAATTAGGACCCTGTTGCCCATTCTATCTCTCCCCTAGATTAGTTGCAGATTGAAAACCATATATAAGCCTGAAACTATATTTCATCAAAGAATGTCAACAAACAAAGTTAGCATTGATGGTAGTAATACCATGATGACCTCAGACATATGGCTGATATTACTCTGTCTCTAAACATATTTTCACTTGCTCCTTTACATACTAATTTCTTATTCTCTTTAGCGTGATCTGGTTGGTCTATCTCTACTTATGACCTTAATTTTCATGTCTTTTTCATTACGTTGTAATTTTACTTACCCAATTTCCTCAAAGATTCAACTTCTCTGTTAATGGCCAAACAAATGATGGTGAAAACTTCTCTAATTTTAGGAGCATTCCTTAACAACTTAGAGTAGTTTTATAGGAACATTGAAAAAAGGGATTATACCTGACAGAGCATCCATGCCCATAATTTAAAACTGCTCCAAGCGAAAATGTAGTTTAAACAAATATTAAGTGGCAAAACCAACCAGGCAAACAAAACTCTATTCTACCAAGCATTTTTGACATAGAAGTTACAGGCCAACATGCAAAATGTGATGAGCTATTGAATTCAAAATTAAATAGTTGTGTTTTCAGTACAGTGTGCAGCCAAAATAAGAAATTAAGTTTTATGGAAGCTAGCAAACCTTCTAAAATAAAACCACATAATTTTGCACTCAAGGATACTGAAATAAGAAAATTCATGGGAAAGTAAGAAAGAGTTCAGGGAGAAATGATGAAACAAGCACAAAAAAACATAGACACTTAAAATTACTTATAAATTGGTGAAATCCAACAGCCAGCAGAGCAGCTTGAAAACTTAGGCAAATAAAATCTTTGATGCCATTTTAAGCACTGATTAACCAGCCAGCTACAGAAAGCCTTTAATGCAATAAGACAAAACAATTTCCCAAAGCAATCAATCAAACATTTTATAAGAAGCACATTTTTCTAAGTTGTTAAGATCCCTGGCTGGAACCCATATATATGGTTTTTGTTATTTTCAAAAGGTTTCCATAGTTGAAGGTCAACAAAATTTATAAAATTTTAAAGAAAACAACAACAAAACAGATTTTGGTATTTTTTAAATTAACTTTTATTTTAAGGTCAGGGGTATATGTGCAAGTATGTTACATAGGTAAACTTGTGTCACTGGGGTTTGTTGTACAGATTATCCTTTCACCCAGGTATTAAGCCTAGTATCCATTAGTTATTTTTCCTTATCCTCTCCCTCCTACTGCCCTTCACCCTCTGATAGGACTTAGTGTTTGTTGTTCCCCTCTATATGTCCATGTGCTCTCATCATTTACTTCCCACTTATAAGTGAGAACATGTGGTACTTGGTTTTCTGTTCCTGCATTAGTTTGCTGAGGATAATGGCCCCCAGATCCATCTATGCTCCTGCAAAGGACATGATCTCATTCTTTTTATGGCTTCATAGTATTCCATGGTGTATATGTATGATATTTTATTTATCCATTCTACTACTGATGGGCATTAAGGCTGATTCCATGTCTTTGCTATTGCGAATAGTGCTGCAACAAACATACAAATACATGTGTCTTTATGATAGAACAATTTATATTCCTTTGGGTATATACCCACTAATGGGATTGGTAGGTCAAATTGTAATTCTGTTTTTAGCTCTTTCATCGAAACGTTTTATGTTTCTTCTCCTGAAGGGGCTATTTCTAAATATTTTTATTCCACACACATAACCGGATGCTTTTTCCCATAGGAAGACTTTTTTTCATACAAACACTTAATTTTCAACAAGTCCTGAATTACTGGTTTCCCTTAGTCAATTGCTTCAAGAAGAAACAGCCACGTCCTCCTAAAGAACATCAATGTTTGAGATACTGAAGAGGATCTGGAAGAGATGGAAGCAAAAGCACAAAATAAAAAGAAAGCAAAACTAATAGAATAAACTGGAAAATGTAGAATAGGTCCCAAAGTAGTCTTTTGTCTGTTCAGACATCATTTAATGAATCATTAAAAATAAACTGTATTTTAATTTTCTGAATATATAAGACTGTATCCTCGAGGGTGTCAATAAACTAAATAAATAGGTACAACTGATGTTTTTCGCGATACATAATCTTGAATTGGAAAGGGTAGAACTAGGCCATCATAGAGGAGTCAGGGGATCTTTGCAGCTTAAATTGAGTTTTAATCAAAAACTTCCCTTGGAAAGCTGAGATAATGAGCTTCAGAGAGTTATATAGTACAGAGAGAAAAACTACCAACCTACCATGAAAAGAATTTCCAAAGTACCCGTTTGAATTTTGTTTTTAATCTGGTTTGAAGCAGCACCTTCTCATCTTTTAACCAGGACCCCTTCTACTCTCGCATCTATTTGATTTCCTATCATACCACCAATTGCAACACACAACACACAGCCATAAAAACCCACAGGAAGCCAGGCACGGGAGCGTGAGCCTGTAGTACTAGCTACTAGGACTACTGTAGAGGAGGAGGCAGAAGGATCACTTGAGCCCAGGAGTTCAAGGTTGTAGTACATGATGAGCACATCTGTTAATAGTCACTGTACTCTCAGCCTGGGCAACATAGTGAGACCCTGTCTCAACAACAACAACAACAACAACAACAACAACAACAACAAATACCTACAGGTACACATATACACAATTATATAATTTATTGTCACTTGGCAATAAATAAAAGGAAGAAGAGAAAAATTATAGGTGGGTACATGACTGTCTACAGTGCTGAGTATCTTGATGAATTTGAAATGTTCAGTTAATTAAAACATTTCAAAACAGCTAGATATTGGATGTCACTGAGATACAATATTCAGAGATTTCTGTCACAGCCACAACAAGAGGCATAACATTTTCTTTAAATGAATTCACAGGCTAAGAATCATTTCTTCAAATGAACACTGAGCAAGGCCACACTTCATAAAATTGGAAAGACAAGATAGCTCTAATAGATATTCTTTGACAAGCATAGGTTTACTTTGATTCTTTGAATTCCCTTTTAGATATTTCCCACATCATCGCTACTTGGATGGTGAGGAAAACAATAACAAAGATAGACTATTTGTGCTCAGAATTCCATATGCCTAACTTGAGTTGAAAGAAGTTTTATATTTAAAGAAATAATCTGAGCCCATTAAAATTTCATTAGGTAATATTGTGACTATCAGTATTACATTCCCAAAGTTTACTCTGCCAGACTTTTTTGAAGGTAAACACAACTCGGAAAAAAAAAAAAAAAAAAAAAAGCCATGAGCGAATTGGGTAACGGAAATATTGTAATCGATCACCACTCCCTTAACAGCATTATCTGTAGGTCCACTGTTTCTAATTTCAGGTTAAAGGGGAGAATTTCAAAATAGACTTTCCAGACCTTGTTATTTGGGTTAACATCATCTCTATTTAGTATTCTTTTTTTTTTCCTTCAAATGACCACATTGGAATGAACAAAAATATAGGCCGAGTATGGTGGCTCATACCTATTATTCTAGCACATTTGGAGGCCAAGGCAGGAGCATTGTTTGAGCCCAGGATTTCAAGACGAGCCTGAGCAATATAACAAGACCCTGTCTCTACTACAAATTTTTTAAAAATTGGGCAGACATGATGACACGTGCCTGTAATCGCAGCTACTCAGGAGGCTGAGGCAGGAGGATCTGAGCCCAGGATTTCCAGGTTGCAATGAGCTATGATGCACTCCAGCCTGGGTGACAGAGTGAGATCTTCTTTAAAATAAATAAATAAATAAATAAATAAATAAAGTAATACAGCTTAAGAGTTTTGGGGAGAGGCTATCCCAATTTTTTGTCTTTAGTTTGGATGCTGATTACACTATACATAAACTTTGTAAAAATTCATTTTTATATGCTTATGATTTCTACACAATTGAATATATATGTGACTGATCAAACATTTACAATGTACTTGCAGCTCTTAAAAGGTAAGGTAATATATATAAGGGACTTAATAATGTATGGTCAAAGAAGAGATGTTCATCAAATAGTCAGCTATTATTCCGCAGAGCTACCAATATATAGATATTTTGTGTACTTTAAGAAGAGTATGAATTTGAGGACTATCTATTTCTCCCTCCTAGTTGTATGGTATGGATAAACCCAGATCCATAGCGGGGAATTATTTGTTAAAAATAGCACAATTGTTAGAAAAATCAGGTTATTCAATTTTTAGCCCACTGGTTGTTCTGCTACATGATACTTCTAGTCTAAATGATTATCAATTTAACACAACGGCAATATGTGGATATGACTAAACTGATTATAAAGTGTGTATTGTAGGAATAAGGCATTAGAGAGCTCTTAGCAAAGTGCTTTCAGATGTATTTTACAAATAAGGAAACTGAAGGTCAGAGAAACAAAGCAATTTGCTCAACATCATGAAGTATTAACTAGTGGAGTTAGGTGGGATTCAATTCCAGGTCTTTAAGACTTCAAAGCCTGAACACTCCTCTGCAACATACCTCTTGAGCATGGTATAGTTTTGTCAATTAACACTTGAGCTATGTTGATAGAAACACTAAAACAACTCATTAAATTTTAATCAATTCAATTAGGTGGTTGCCAATCACCTTGCTTGACCAATGTTGGACTGACACTTGACACGCGAATGCTTTACCCATAAAAATATTTTTCCTACTCTCCTTGCTTCTCCTTGCATTTTCAAAAATAGGGTTCTATTTACATTTCAATCTGTCCCTTGTTGAGAGTAATATTAAAATTCTGTTAGAATTTTTGCTTCTATATGAGATTCCTTTCACTGCAATTTCCATACTTCTGTTAAACATTTGTAGTATTTTGTACCTTATATTGCCACAAAGATGATACTACTGCATGTGTTCTTCTTTGATACTTTCAATCCACATTCACTGACATCAAGTTTTAATGGCTGCATCAAAATTTCATTATTTGATAAGGTAGAGTGTAGTTTATATATATAACAAAGCATGTGACACTAAAATGGATGACACTTAGAGTGATAATATTCTGGTTTCACTCTAAACCTTCTATTTTTTGCTCAATTAATATATGCATTAGTTGGAAGTCTCAGAGCCTATTTTTCAATAGCACTAAAAACAAAGCATTCCTGACATCTTCCATGGGCCTACTATGTAAAAGTGCAACACAGAGGATCAAACATCTATGAAACCATTTAAACTTTCATCTTCCTTATTTATGTTTTCTATTTATTTAAAAGGTTTATTAAACTGGAATGTCACACAAGTTATCCAGCTAAAATACATTGTGTTAAAGGTCAAGAAAGGCAATTTATTTTCCATACATTAATTGCTTTAAAATTATTTAAGATGTCGGAACATTTCAATTTTCCTCACTAGGAGCAGTGTGAAATGTATTAGATCTCTGAGAAGTCTAACAATATGAGAGTATTATACATATAATGTGAAAATAAGTTACTTATTGTTTATTTTCTGATTTCCAAGACAGGACCAACATCCATGATCAGGAGGACATAGAGCCTTCTGCAGTGTAACTGTTCTAACATATAGTACAGAATGAATTAGCAATTTTTTAATCTAAAACATCGTATTACTAATGCACCAATTATTATTCCTTAAAATTATATGATGTTTTCACTTTTCTCCAGGTTACTTTGTTGTCCCGTATTTTATCTGCTACTTACACATCCCACTGGGGTAAAAAGATTATTACATTTATTTTGTACGCTGAAAAGCTAAGACAGTAAGATAACAAACGAATTGACTGAATCTAAGTGAAATTTAGATTAGACACTATTTTTTTGCAGCACCAAATTATTTTTGCTATTTGCTTTTCCTACCAAGAAATAAGTGATCAATGGATGTAGGCTTTGTCTACAGGGAAAAGTGGGGATTGCAGTAATTTGGACTCCTGTAATTAGCTTCACAGATTCAAAGAGCACCTACACCTTACTAAATCAAATACAAAAAGAGGAGAAGCTATCTTTTCTTTTGATGCTTTTTTCACCTTAATTTTATTTTTTCACTGCATAATTGAACCAGAAAATACACCATGATCTCCCAGTTATTTTTCCCATGGAGAATATCTGAGTTGAGATAGGAGGAAATTTTAAGAACACAGTAGGAAAGTTTAATTCCTTACTTGAATGCAATATACTAATCTATATAAAACAATAATCTTTTGGGGGAAAATAAGGCACCTTTATTATTACAGTAAATTAGCAACTTTGAAAGTTCGCTTTAAAGGTCTCTTTTCTTAGAATTGTGTGCAGCCGACACATGCAAAAGGGCCTAAGGCTGAAAAAGCATGAGTAATGTCCAGTCCAGGAATTAAGAAAGTTGTTGAGTTTCTTGTCAACATTTATTTCTTGGACTATACATGGACACACTTATTATTATAATAAAGCTGTATTTTAAAAAACATATTAATTCAAATTGTATGAGTGTTAAAGTACGGTATTCAAAAACTTTACTGTTCAAAAATTAGAAATATGTGGTGTACAATAGAACATTTATACTTATAAAATCCTGTTAAGTATGGTGGTTAATTATTTTGGAGTTTTTTATGATTAGTCTACCTAACTTTATTTTAATATTGTGGACTAGGGCTAAAAGTAGTAAACTGAACTTATCAGTGATCAATAATCCCAATTTCACATTTATTTTAACATATGGCCCAGAACTAAGACTCTATGTTTCTTAGCAACTCTTCTCCTTGGCCAAAAATGATACTTTATATGTTTTAACATCTTAGATGTATAAATAGTTGTAGTTATACATATGTATCTAAAGGTACATAAAATTATAAATAAAAAATCACTTCTTTCTCATGCAATTTGAAAATCAGTTATTAATCAACTAGTATAATTTCCTTTTACACATAGAAAAGGATTAAGTCCAGAGTCTATTATAATTTTCCTCTATTATATATTATAATAAAATTATATATAGTATATTATTATTTTATTCCATTATCTTATATCTTATTTTTATTTATTTATACTATATTATTATTATTCTTTAATGACCACAGAAAATTATTTTAGAAATTAATTTCTTTACCTTATCAACTTTCTTCTACTTCCAGGGAAATCATCCACTTAGTGGTATTGATCTTTTCCCCTCTAACTAAACACAAGTCCTTTTCATAATCTCCCTATCTCAATGGCCTCTTAAAAAGTATTATTTGGGAGTTATTGATAATATTAGCAACAGACTCTAGAATATTGGACTTTGCACTTGTAAATGAATATAAAACTTCCGTGAAATTGAAAATCTCTATTCCATTCTCAGCCTTTCAGACTTTTTAGGAAAGTCGACAAAATTCATGATTCTTTCAAGAGTAGGAAATCTATATAAAAAATACATAACTTAAATTAGACATTTTCGAGATTTTAAATACCATCAGTGGACTCCACAGATTTCAATTTTGATGCTCAAAAATTTTAAAAAGTAAAGGAATTCGCTTGTTTTAAAGAATTTTGTAACATTTAAATCTGTATGTGCTGTTATGTAGCAAATATTTGCTATCTAAACAGCAGAAAAAATAAAGACTTATTTGTTTATTTTGCTCAGTGATGAAAGGCAGTCAAGAAGTATCAGGTGGTTAAAAGAAACCATAAATGCATAATAACACAGAAATTAACATAACCATATTCTGTACACGCCATTCTGTTTAATTTACTTAAAAAAGAAGGTTTTTTTTTTTTTTTTTTTTAGAAATACTAGGGTTGCTGACAGAAAAGTTAAGGTTATAATATTGAGGTGGTTTTATAGAAAATATGCAAATCTAATTTGTAAATGTTTATGTATAGCCTGATTCCTAATTTTCAGGAAACAGTTGCAAACTATTTTTAATAACATGTACCTGTCTCCATCTCCTTCAAGAAATTGACTATAACTTGATCACTTTCCTTACATTATATAGAAAATTGAATTGATTTTGAATACCCAAATGTAAGTCTATAATATGGATGTATTTATGAACAAAATAAAGAATTAAAACTGACTTTTTTTAAATTAGCTTTCATTTTTAATACAGTAACTATAATGTAGAAACTGAGTATATTAACCTTATAGCAAGCCTATGTTGCTTAATAAGTATTGTGAGCAAAAGAGCAGACATATACAGTTCAAAGAAAAATGCTGTTGACAATGTTGTTTCTTGAAGGATTCTTGAGAAAAATACCAATTGTGTAAATGCACAAACAGGTATCCTTGTGCAGATTGAGATTAGAGAACTGTACATTTGGATTGAGACATAGATGTTTATATTGTTAAGGTTTATTGCATGAAAATGTTAGCTCTATTCAGATCTATACATCAAAGCAAAAGTCTGACTGACTGAAAATAAACCTGCATTCATCACAGTCATTTCGTTATAATTCTCTAGCTTACTCAATAGAATTTCTATGTTTCTATGAAACTCTGACTCAGACCTACCTGCTCCAAAAATTTGGGGAAATTATGTTCTTCCATTTAGACCATGTCATGGAAGATAAAATCTTTGGGGCCATAATGTGTCTTGTGAGAAACTTAGTGTAAATATATCATAGCAAGGATTATTTTAGGTCAGGGAAAATCTAAGAGTCTCACTTTTCAGCTCCACAAAATTTATTGAGCATTTCCATTATCTGTGTGATTTCTAGCCTATTAAAAGCCTTACTCTAAACAATATATTAGTTTCTGTTTCGTCTCTATGTAAATAAGAATATTTTCATTGTAAGGACAATTTGCAAAGCCTGCATTTTATCCATTTTATTGAGGTATTATTAACAGAAAATAGATGGTACAAGTTGTGATATATATATGTGTGTGTATGTGTGTATATATATATGCACACACAGGTGTATATATATACACACACACACACCTGTGAAATCATCACCACCTCTAGGTTATTCCAGGTATTGGACACATACGAACGAGTTTAAATTTGTTAATGGTGACTATGTCCAAAAAGGAGAGAAGAATAAGGGATGGTCAGAAAGAATATTTGGAGAATTAATGGCCAAAACCTTCTCAAATTTGATGAAAGATGTCACACTTAAGTCAATATTTTCTTAGAAGAGTCATGGACATGTCATTCTGACCAGGGTTTTGGCTGTTTTTCTCTCTTATTTTGAGTTTTCTGTTATCCTGTAGTTTATTTGCCTAGTTCTTTTTTTTTTCAATTTATTTTTTTATTATTATTAGGCAAGGCAAACCAAAATAATAAGAGAGATAAGAGAGAAATAAATAAGAGAGAACGTTTGGGTTAGTAACCACGGGTCCCTGAAATGCCCTCCTTTTCCAGAATATCTAATGATTATTTCACCCCCTAATTTGAGAAAACGCCCATAAAATAGGAATGCTGGATGGTTACAGGAGAAGCAGGAAAATATCAAGCAACAATATCACCAACAGCAAGAAAGGAGGTGTTAAAATTAGCTACAAGGACAAAGATAAGCCTGGGCTGATAAGTACCTTGCTAACAGGATGGGGGCTAAGCTGACTAAAACCAGCTAAGTCCGACATGACATTGGATTTGACCCATGTCCTACCCCAGACATAATTATACACTCATTACTCTCCTAAGTCACTCACCCACTAGTGCCATGACAGATCCGATCATGCCCATATTTAGTAGAAAAATGGGTGGCACTCCAATTCTAAGAGATCTCCACCTTTTTCCTAGAAGCCCTCATCATTCCATCTTTTAATTAGAAGAGCTCATTAAATTAGAAACCCATACTCCACTGTGTGCAACTCACTCTCCCAAGTTCACTCACACTCCTACTCGAGTAATTTGGAATAAAAGCTTCTTGCCTTTCCCTTTAAAAAAAAAAAAAGAAGTTCAATATTTTCAATGAAGAATAAATGCAAGTATTTCCACACCAAGATACATTATAATCAAACCGTTGAAACTCAATGATAGTGACTCTGAAAAGAATCAGGAGAAAATTGACTTGTACAAAGAGATATACCTAATGTGAATGACGAGTTAATGGGTGCAGCACACCAACATGGCACATGTGTACATATGTAACAAACCTGCACGTTGTGCACATGTACCCTAGAACTTAAAGTATAATAAAAAAATAAACTTTGCATCTAATTTCTCAGCAGAAACCATAGAGGAAAAGAGGCAGTTAAATGATATTTTTGAAGTCCTGAAAGAAAAATATCTGTCAACCAATAATTCTACATTAAGCAAAAACTGTTTTTCACATTTCTCTAGTAGACCTGCCCTTCAAGAAATGCTAAAGGGATGCCATCAGGCTGAAATGAAAGCTAACTAGACAGTAACTCAAAAGACAATAATTATAAGTCTACATTAATGGACACACAATGTATAAAGTGTAATTTTTGACAAGAAAAGCATAAAAAGGGAATAGATCTGCATAGAACCAGAGACTTTGTATAATATTGAAGCTACGTTGGTATTTTTTCAAACTAGATTGTTAAAAATTTAATGTACTCCATGAAAATAGCAAACAAAGAAAGCTGGCATGACCAAATTATATCAAATTAAATAGACTTTAAAACAAAAGATGTTACTATGAATAAATGTTGACATTTTGTAATGATAAATGGTCAATCTATCAAGAAGATACAACAATCATAAACATATATACACCTAATTATGGTGCACCAAAATACAGGGAACAAACACTGACAGAAGTGAAGATCAAAATAGACCATTTACTGAAAATAGTTGGAGAACTTAATAGCCTACTTTCAAGAATGGATGGAAAACTAGGCAAATATTAATAAGAAATTGGAAGACTGGAACAATTATAGAAACCAATAGATCTAACAGACATCTGGAGAACACTCCACCCAACAACAGAATATACATTCTTTTAAAGTGGACATGAAAATTTCTAGAAGATAGACTATATGATAAAACAGACTATATGCTATAAAACAAACCTCAATAAATTTAAAAGTATAAAAATTATACAAAGTATGCTCTCCAACACAATGAAATGAAACTAGAAATCAGTAGCAGAAAGAAATTTGCAAAACTCATAAATTAAACAAAATATTTCTAAATTACTAATGAAGAAATCAGAAGGGAAATTATAAAATAATCTGAGAAGGAAAATGAAAACACAATATATAACTTATAAAATGCAGCTAAAGCAGTGATTAGAGAGAAATTTATAGCTTTAAATGTCTGTATTAAGAAAGAAGAAAATATGTTAAGTCAATAATCTAAACTCTTATCTAAAGAAAGTTCAAAAAAGAAGAGAAAACTATACCTAAAAGAATTGTTGCTTCAATACATGAGATACTGGATCTGGCAGAAGAGCTTTGTAAACTATAAAGTACAATAGAAATATTAGTTACTGTTAAATAAATAAAGGATTATCTGTGTCACTCAGTAACCATACACTGATGCTTTCTGGTCCTATCTGTCCTTTGCTTCTAGCACCTACCTCTGGAGAGACCTCTTCAAGAAGCTACAAAATGTATCCTGCCCCCAGGGCCAGCTTCATGGGCATATGACCTGTGCAATCTCATAGGTTCCCATGCTCAGACGCCCAGGGCTTAGTTTAATGCTCTATCTGTCCTCTTAATATTCTTAATAATTTTTGAAGAAGGGGCTTGTGTTTTCATTTTGGACTGGGCCTTACAGATTACGGAACCAGTGATGGCTGCCATTTCTTTCTAACTTAGAATAAAATCCCTGATTTTAAATTCCTTGAAATTTGCTTCATTCCTAATCTTTTGCTTTGAGGATCTCCTTGGAGCAAATAGTTATAAATTAATATTTCTGGTTAAAATACTTTATATATATGAACTATTTTAAAGTATATAATATATAATAGTTTCTAGGTAAAGCAGAATGCAAAATAGTGACTTGGTGATTGGGATTACTACTATTTTCCCTCTAAATGATCTTGATTCTGAATTTCTGAAGGAAATATTTCTTTATATCGGTAACACAAGTGCCAAGCACACTGTGAATAGTCAAGAGAAGACAGTGGAATGTGTGAACTACATCATGTACACAATAGACATCAATCTATTGTGAGAGACGTTCTCTTTGGATGATAAAAACAATCTTATAGGGTGATGGTTTTATTTCATGTATTGGTTTTATTTCATTTATTGTGGCTTAAACTAAGGGTATTTGAATTTCAAAACACCAGTTGGTGCAGCTTTCTTCAAATTCTTTTACAGCAACCCATTGAAACCTTAGACTGTCTAGGAAAACAAATATACTTTATGTTTTGTTTCCAATCATAATATAGACAAACCTGATATTCTTGTTAAGGGAAGTTAGGTTGTTTGACTTTGTTGGGTGTATTGTTTGGCAATAAAATGGTGCTCAAATACTTTAAAAAAAAAGGAAGCATAACGAAGAAAAGAGTAAATAGTAAGGCAAAGATAAATGAAAAAGATAATAGAAAAACAATATAAATAATTCATTAAACCAAAAGTTGTTTCTTTGGAAATATCAACAGAATTGACAATCCTTTAAGTAGATTGACTAAAGAAGAAAAAAAGAGAAGAGACTTGAATTATTAAAATCAGAACTTGAAGTGGAAATATTACTACCGATTTTACAGATATAAAAAGGATCATGTGAGAACTGTTAAGCTATTGTAGACCCACAAATGGAATACTGTAGAGTAGACAAATTCCTTGAAACACAATTTAACAATAATTAATCACGCGGAAACAGAAACTCTGAACAGACCTATAACAAATAAAGAGACTGAACCAGTAATCAAAAACCTCCAAAGGAAAGCCCAGGAATGTATGATTTTACTGGCGAATTTTACCAAAACTTTAAAGGAGAGTTAGTTCCCATCCCATCCTTCTAAAACTTTTTCAAACAATAGGAGAGGAGGAAACATCCATTTTATGAGGCCAGAATTACATTGATACTGTGCTATCCAAAGACACCACAGGAAAATAAAAATATAGACTGTTATCCCTTATGGATACAGATGAGAAATTCCTCAACAATATATTTGAAAATTAAGCCTAGCAGCATATGAAAAGGATGGTACACTATGACCAAGTAGGATGTATCCCTACTTGGAGGAATGCGAGTGAGTTTCAACATACAAAGGTCAATCAACACAGTTTAGGAGAACTTATGTTAAACCACATTATTGCCAACTTGTCATGTGAGACTTTTTAATTTTAGTCATTCTAATAGGTGTGTAGTGATATTGCATAGTATTTTAATTTGCATATCTGTAATAACTAATGCTTTTGAACATCTTTTTATAGGTTATATTTTCTTTGATAAAGAATCCATTCAAATCTTTTTTAGTTTTTCATTGTTTTTCCCCATTATCATCAATCGAGTCCTTAAAGTTCATTGTATATTCTAGGACTAAGACACTTTATCTAATATATACTTTGTGGCTTGCCTTTCATTCCTTTGAAGGCATCTTTCAGAGAGAAGTTCTTAATATTTTTAAGTCCAATATTTTGCTTTTTAATAGATCATGACTTGGGTGTCATATCTAAAAAAATTTGCATAATCCAAGGACACAAAGATTTCTGCTGTGAATTTTCTGTGAGTTTTATAGTTTTAGGTTTCAAATTTTAATCTGTGATCCATTTTGAGCCTATTTTGGCCTATGGTTTGAGTTACAAATTGATGTTCACTTACTTTGCATATAGATACTAAATTGTTCCAGCCCTATTTATTGAAACAGTCACTATTTATTCAGTAAATTGTCTTTTCGCCTTTGTCTAAAATCAGTTTTTAAGGTATATGCAGGTCTATTATGTTTTCCACTAACACACTTTTTGCTTTATTACAACAATACCACGCAGGCTTGATTAATGTAATAAATCCTTAAAACAGATATTATTATTATTCCTTCAAATTTGTTCTTTCTTTTTGAAGTTCTTTGACTATTCCAGTTCTTGTGTATTTTCATGTAAATTCAAAATTAGGTTATCAAATTGACACACACATAAATGAGGCTTTATTTCATCTTCATTTTACATAAGGTATTGTATGTAGGTAAATAATTCTAGGTTGACAGTATTACTTCATATTTCAGTAATTAAAGAGTTTGTTTTACTTTATTTGACTATAATTTCTCTTGGTGTGGTTGTCTTCAAGTTTCTTATTTGGTTTGTTGAACTTTTGGAATATGTATTAAAAATTTCCATGACAATTTCTACCACTATTTTTAATGACTCCCCCTCTCTTCCAAGTCGTTTGAGGATTTCAATTCTATGCATGTTATGCTGATTGAAGTTGTACCGCAGTTTACTGATGCTGTATTTATTTTATTTTATTTTTATTTTTCTGCATGTTTCATTTTTTTCATGGTTTTTATTGTTAGGTGCTAGACTTTACTAATATTTTCTTCTGCTCTGTCTAATATAACATTAGTACAATTCAGTGCCTTGCTTATATCAGACATTGTTATTTTCCTTTCTAAAGTTCTGTTTGGATATTTTACTTATCTTTCATTTCTCTACTTAACATTTGAACATATGCAATACCGTTATAACTGTATTAATAACCTTGTTTGCTAATCAGTTCTGTGTCAGTTCTGGGAGACTTTCAATTTATTGAATATTCTCTTCATTATGGGTACTAATTTTCTGCTTCTTTACGTTACTAGTACTCATTGATTGGATGCACTACATTGTGAATGTTATCTTGTTGAATGCTAGATATATCTGCATTTCTAAATATATTATTGAGCTTGGTTCTAAGATGGAATTAAATTACTTGGAAACAGTTTAATCTTTTTAGATACTGTTTTTAGCATTTGGTAGGCTGAACCAGAGCAGCATTTAGGCTATCGATAATCATTGCCTACTGCACTGAGACAATATGCTTCTGGGTACTCTAATCAATGCCATATGTATTATGAGATTTTTCAGTCAGGCTTGTGGGAACAGGCACTACTTCTGGACCTGTGCAAATTCTCTGTACTTTCTTTATGATAATTTCATATTAATCTTTACCCAGACTCACCTGATGCCCTCACATACCCGTTGTGATAAGTTTTGTGCTGAATGCCCAAGGAAGGCCTTTCATAGTGTTCTCTTTCTGTCAAAATAACTCCTTCTCTGGTACTCTGTCCTGTGAGTTTTAGCCACCTTGGCCTCCCCAAGCTCTCAGATATACGTTTTTATTTACACAAAGATTCTAGTAGGCTCCACCTGAGATCCAACCTCCCTCTGATGTATCCCAGAAACAATCTCATAGCAGTAAACTGAGGCAATTATAGTGCTCACTAAATTTATTTTCTGTCTCTCATGGATCACTGCCCTTGACTGCCTGATAACCAGTGTCTTGAAAAACATTGTAACACACATACATACACACACACACACAGACATGCATGCAAACTAACATATATGCATACATTTGCATCCGTGTGTGTATGTGTGTTACAATTACATATATATATAAAGTGTGTGTGTGTATGTTTGTGTATGTATGTATGTTTGGTGAGAATAAATATAGTTCCTGTTAACTCAATTTTTGCTGGAACCATAACCTTTAATGCTGCATCATAAGAACTTTGTTCTAAACCAGACACAAAATGAACTAAAATAATTTTTATTCTCCATAAGCATCCTTGCACATTGACACATGGAGATGACATAGTCATTGGATATTTGATATGATTTGGTTGTGCCCCCACCCAAAATCTCATCTTGAATTGTAATCCCCATAATCTCTGCCTGTCAAGAGTGAGACCAGGTAGAGGTGATTGAATCATTGGGGTGGTTTCCCCCATCCTTTTCTCATGATAGTGAGTGAGTTCTCATGATATCTGATGGTTTTATAGGTGCTTGGCAGTTCCTCCTGCATTCATTCTCCTTCCTGCTGACTTGTGAAGAAGGTTCATTACTTCCCCTTCACCTTCCACCATGATTGTAAATTTCCGGAATCCTCCCCAGCCATGATGAACCATGAGTCAATTAAACCTGTTTCCTTTATAAATTGCCCACTCTAGGGCAGTTCTCTATTTCAGTGGAAAAATGGACTAATACCATATTTCAATGCCCTTCAATCAAAGATCACCAAGAACACACATATAGTAGAATAATTTGGGTTTATTACTCATTGCAGCAAGGGTGAAAACACACCCTCTGGAACCACGAAGTGTCTCATAGGTTTGCTTGGTTTAGCAAATAAAAATACAGAATACCCATTTAAATTTGAATTTCATATAAATTATGAAATTTTTATTTAAAATGTGTTCCATGCAATATTTGTAACTAATTATACTAAAAACATATTTTTTTATCTGATATGCACATTTCAGTAAACATCTTGTATTTTATTTAACAATTCTAGTCTCAGTAGGAAGGTGTCAGAAAAGACTTGCTAAAAGATTTAGGGTCCTATTAGGTGTTATGAGGTTGAGTCAGGTGATTAAGGAAGTGGGACTATGCTCTGCATTAGATGTTCTCAGTAACTAAAGATCATTCTATGATCGAGTATTTTTTAATAAATCAAATTTATAGAGAGGAGAGACAAGAAGAAAGATAAAACTGTCATTAGTATATGTATTAGGGTTCTCTAGAGGGACAGAACTAGTGGAATATATATATACATATATATATATATATATATATAAAGTATTAACTCACACAATCTTAAGGTTCCACAATAGGCCATATGCAGGCTGAGGAACAAGGAGAGCCAGTCTGAGTTCCAAAACTGAAGAACTTGGAGTCCCATGTTCAAGCGCAGAAAGCATCCAGCACGGGACAAAGATGTAGGCTGGGAGGCTAGGCCAGTATCTCTTTTCACATTTTTCTGCCTGCTTATATTCTAGCCGTGCTGGCAGCTGATTAGATTGTGCCCACCCAGATTAAGGGTGGGTCTGCTTTTCCCAGCCCACTGACTCAAATGTTAATCTCCTTTGGCTACACCCTCACAGACACACCCAAGATCAATACTTTGTATCCTTCAATCCAATCAAGTTGACAGTCAGTATTAACCATCTCAGTATAGGACCAGCAGTCAGTCATGTTAGCCAGGCGTGGTATGCAGAATGGTCCCCTAAAGTTGTCCACTCCTACGTTTGATCCCTGGATCCATCTAACATGTACCTTGTATGGCAAAAAAGACTTTGCAGATGTAATTAAGGTCATGGATCTTATGAAGATCCATAGCATGTAGTGATTTGTAATTTTTCTGAACCACTAATTTAATTACTAATTGAATTAATAATTTAGTAGGGAATTTATCCTACATTATCCAGGTGAGTCTAGTCTAGTCACTCATAGTCTTTTTTAAAAAGCAGAGAAGGCAGGAGTGATGTGGCAGAGGGGAAGTCAGAGAGATTTGAAGTCTGACTACTCACCATTGCTAAGCGGAGGATCACATGAAAATCATAAGAAACAGTGCAAGCAACCTCTAGGTGAAAAGAGCCCCTAGCTAACAGCCAGAAAAGAAAGCAGCTTCTCATTTTCATAAATGGCAGAAACTGAGTTCTGCAAAAACCTGAATGAGCTTGGAAGCAGATTCTTCCCCCAGAGCCACCAGAAGTGAATACAGCCCTGCCAATACCTCAATTTCCGTGTTGTGTTAGAGCAAAAAAAGCATATAAGCTCTACTGTACCTGGACTTCTGATCTACAGAATTGTGCAATAATAAAGCTGATAAATTTGTGGTAATCTGTTGTGGCAAAAATAGAAAACTGATAGCCCAAGAGAAGTGTTTTGATATTTTATGGTTTGGGCATTTGTTTTTGTCTGGGCATTGACATGGTTATTGAGTGGTCTTGTTTTTATCTTGCTTCATCATGGCCAGAGAGTGACATCGTCTAACGTTGATGCACTGTGAAGTTGTTTATGTTCAACAGGAGAACATCAAGACTTTGTTGCAAATGGCAGGAAAACTTGTAACCACACCAAAGCCTAAATGGTAGTACCAGGGCAGTTTCTGGATATTAGGAGCTGATATTTTTTGTTGTTGTTGTTGTTGCTTAGATATGTAAGTACTAAGCTAACTGCTAGAATTATGTATTCATGTCAACTTCAAAACGCATATGATTCAAATTAGTGATTCAGAAAAATTACAAATCACTACATGCTATGGCTTTGCAAGCTACTCAAAACCATAAAAGTTAAATCTACTAGTATCAAAGTATGCTGTTAACAAAACTGGATATATTTCAGGGAATGAAGGTTATTTTTCAATACTAAGTGTGGTTAGAATATAAAGTCCAACAGGGAAATTGCTGGTACTAAAATGAATCCAATCTAAAGATCAGGCTCTTAAAACCATTGATTCATATTTAAAAATAAATTTATTTATTCTTCACACATAGTTAAAATTAGTTATTCTCATTTAGATCAAATACAGGTGAGTAAATGGGGGAAAATGTTATGCTTTAAATAGGTATGTCATGGCCAGTACCATTTCTTTAAGACACTAGAGGAAAATATGGTACTGAAGTACAGAAAGGCATGAAAATCTATTAGAATTATTGTCTCAGCTGTTTATTCATTATTACATGTGGTAAATTGGTACTGAGTGATAGGGTGCTATAGGATTCATAGATTCACCATAAAGGCAAAACTTCTGCCCACATTATAACAATTAACAAAGGAAATCCAAATATTCCAGGTGCAGGTGATAACTTACTGGGGCCTTTAGATCAGCTCCAGAATCATCATGCAATCTCTAAAGCTAGAGTGAGTTTTCTAAAATTCTGTTAGATTTAACTCAGTATTTCTGCCTAATCTCTGTGGAGTCAACCATAACCTCCAAAAACATTCTCATATTTGAGTGAAAGACAAATTCTTTATGCCAGATGCTTAGCTAATCTGGCACCAAGTGTCTGGTTAACTGGCAGAACCACTACTATAGATGCTATATATTCAGGCCAAGAAAGAGCAGATGAATTTGTTTTCGATGACATTTATGTTATTGTGACATATACTTAGAATAAATTGAAATACTCTAGATTCACTAAATAGTAATAATTATGAAATGTAATTAATTTTGTTTTTCACATCCAAACTAGTTCTGACTGGAAACCTAAGAAAGTTATACACTTAGAATAAAACAAAACTAAATTGATAAGAAAGTAAAGCATCTGACATTTATTTTTGCAGTACATATTTTTTCAATGAGATGCTAAATCCATTCAGGATAGCAAGTAGATCTAGAGGAAGTATTAATGAGTTATTAATGTTATATGACAATATGTTTAGTCCTCAAATGACAGTATAGTCAATGAACAGACATTAATATTGGTAATAATTTTCCTATCTTTCCAAGAAATTTTATTATCATGAAATATATAATAAAAAGAGAACCTACTTATTAAGTTGTGAGTGCATATTATGAAGATTTTGACCAATACCCATTTGGTCAAAATGGGTATTTTTGGTCCCATTTGGTCAAAATGGGATAGAAACTAACAAAAAATGCTTATATTTTTGTCTGACTATCCAGAAGATGAAGTTAAAAATGAAAAAAACAATGATGATCAAGATGAAACCTTGGAAACTTACACACTTCCTGAAATCCTATCTGCCTTCCTTACTTAAGTGTTTAAAGTTGTAAGATAGACTTTCATAAGAAGAATTACCTTATCACTTAAGATTTTATAGCCGAGTGTGTAATTTAAACTAATTTTATTAACTTCATAAAATATAGATGTTCACATGCTTTCTTAGTCCATTTAGGATATAACAAAATACCATAAACTGGGTAGCTTATTGTTGATCTAGACAACAAGAGAAGTGTATTTCTCACAGCTCTGGAGGCTGGAAAGTCCAAGATCAAGGTGGCAACAGATTCTATGTCTGATGAGGGCCTGTTTACTCGTTCAAAGACAGTGCCTTCTGTGTCCATACATGGTAGAAAGGTTTAGCTAGCTCTCTGGGCCCTTGTATAAGAGCACTAATTCCATTCATTAGGGCTTGGTCCTCATGACCTAATTATCATCCAAAGTACACAACTCCTAATACTATGATCTCAGGGATTAGGATTTCAACAAATGAATTTAGGGGAGAGGGACACAGATATTCAGACCATAGCACATACTGAATAAAATATTAAATTATTTTTTTCTACTTTGTTAATGCCTTCTTATTCTAAAATGCTTCTACTTGCTGGCTGATCAACTTCATTAAAAAAAATAGTCATTCTGAAGAAGAGGTACAACCTTCCTTTTAGTGGAAAGTTTACAGAGGACATAAACCAAAAAAAGCTTTTAAAAGCCTCCCTCCCAACTCTTGCTTATTGAGATTTTCATACTTTACTCCATATCGTATCCTCTTACTTAGTTCTTGCCACAAAATTGAGAGATTTCATAACCCATTTAGGATGCCTATCCAATAGCCCAAACTTTAAATGTCTGGGTCTTCACAACGCCAGTAAACTTCTCCTCTTTTCTACTTCAGGAACATCTCTCCCAAGACCAATACCTGAAAATTCCATTTAGCCAAAACCACTCTTAATAATCAACTCACCGATCATAATTTCTTAACCTTCCATATCTCCCATGCATTTATTCATCTACACATGAGTTTTGTCCTTATTCTCCCTTAATCTGTTTTTTTTTCCTAGTTTTCACTGCATTTATTCAGGGCTCACTCTGTGGCAAACACTGTGCTAAATGCTTTATATAAATTTTCTTGTTTAATACTCATAGAAACCCTACCCATTACTATTATTATCTAAGTTTGCAGGTGAAGGTATTGAGTCACAGAGAGGTCACACGGCCAGTAAGTGGCAAATGCTGGGTTTCAATATTAACTTTCTAACCATAAATTATGAATGTTTAATTATGATTGAAACTATTTTACCAATCTAAGTTTTCCTTCCTTTACTCTTTCACTTTTGCTCATTTCTTTCAGAGAAAATTTTAAAAATACAATATTCTCTTTAAGACAATTCAACTTCTATGTCTGACTCTAAGAACAGAAGGCTTATTTTCATTTCAAAACAATGACATGTGAAGTCATTATTTCCTCAAATTCTTGTCTTTTTATCTACAGATTTACCCATATTAACCATCCCAATTAATATACATCTCCTCAAGACTTGGAGATTTCTCTACTTCTGTCCAAGGTCTACACATCTACCACTAAAAATTGCCTCGATGAGTGTCAAAGGATTGACAGACATCTGTTGATTCTTCATGCCCTCTTGGTTCACTACCCAAACTTGATTGCTTTTTGCAACCAAACATTTTGAAATAATAATTTGCACATAATGACTACAAGTCCTTATACTTTCCTGGGTTCCCAGTCTGCTGTAAATCTCTGTTGGTTTTCACAATTCTATTAAAACCTGGTTCAGGTAAACTCGCCAATAGCGCCTTAATTGCCAAATCTAATGGACATTTTTAAGTATTTATCCTCATGGTCCTCTCTCCTGCAGTTGACACTGTTGATATCTTTATTAATTATTGTTCTTCCTTGATTTCTCTGACCCCCCCCACCAACTCATCTGATTTTTCTCATACTTCTTTGACCACTAGTTTTCTTCTTCTATTTTTAAAAATAAGCTCCTCTTCTTCTAGTCCTTAAAGGTTAGTTCACAGATATACATATATATACATATATATATATATATATATATATATATATATATGCCATATTATGTTACTCTAGATGATGGGCCTCTAACTCAAGGGATTTCACAATGTTTCATTATTCTCTGTTTAACTGAATGCCTCTTTCATAAGCCTATGAGATCCTTCTGTGGATGTCTGTGTGTGACTCCTGCATAGTATCTAGCAAACAGTAAGGCATTAAAAATGCTTATTAAGAGAACTCATTACTTATTTTCAAAACTTTACAAAAATTAGAGTGTGTCATTTCTATAAGTTTGTATTTCAATTAGCATTTACCATTTTCATAGTTTTAAACTATATTATTCGTCCTTTCACTTATTTTAACACATTTGATTTTTATAAAAACTCTGTGAGTTAGGCAAGAAAGATCTACCCTTTGTTGTCTTATAAAGAAAGATTCAGGAAGGATAAATAATTTGTCAATGATTACATAGTATTGAATACTTGATTCGGATCTAAAACTTAGATGACTTACTTTGCATGTTTTTCTAATCCTCATTTGTTACTTCTGGCATCACTACATTACTCGTTGTTATTATTAAAATTGTCATACTCACAAGAGCAAAGCATTTGGCCCATTTTCCATATTCAAAGTCACTAGGAAAGATAAATAAGGGCAAGGAGTGAAAAAAACAGACTAACTCTATATTAAATGCTATATATTTTGGAAAAAAAAGTAGAGCACATGTTTTTGACTGTGTTTTAAAAAAACACCTAAAATATGAGAAAATAAGTGCAGAATGTACAAAACTTTAGCATTAATTCCAAACCAAATATTTCAAAAAGCACAATCAAAAATAGTAAAGAAACGATACCGATATGTTACTGTTAAATATATGTCTTTGTAAAATATTCTAGTTTTAAAAATGTCTTAAGCACAATTTAGAATATCAAATGCTAAGCACATAAGCTGAAATAATTGCATATTAAAGATCACAAAAGAGCTACTAAACCGTGCATTAACTTTAAGAGGTATCATATAAATGAACTTTATTTAGATATTTCAATTAAAGCCCCAGGGAGTTGCTATATAGAACCTAAACAAAGTATCTTATCATTTCTAATTCCCTAGTGATTTAAGTTTATAATTCACCAAAAGGAAAACATTTTTAGACATAGCGATATTTTATTGAAACTTTGAGGAAAGAATTTTCTTGTATCTAGAAAATGTCCATTATTAAATGACTTTAGTATGAGTACAGAACATCGACCATGATCTATACAAAGTTAAAATTGTATAGGGACATAAGAAGAGGGAAATAAGAGGCCTGAGATATAAACATTACAAAAAACAGAGTTGAATTGCTTAATAAAGCCTTTTAAATACTGATGAACCATGTTTATATATCTCTGACCAGGTACTTATATCATCAATTTTATTTTTCAGGCAATGACAGTAGGGCAAAAGAAGTTTACTTTACTTATTCAGCTGCAAATTCATTCCCCAAGGTTTTTTTACTCAGTGTGTACCATATGCCAGATATTTTTCCAGTCCTTTAAGGACATAATGCTGCCCTCAACTATAGATAGACAGATAGAGAGACAGATAGATAGATAGATAGATAGATAGATAGATAGATAGATAGATATAGAGATAGATAGATAAAGATAGATAGGTAGATAGACAGATGATAGATGACAGGTAGATAGATAGATATAGAGATAGATAGATAGATAAAGATAGATAGGTAGATAGACAGATGATAGATGATAGGTAGATAGATAATAGATAGATAGATAGATAGATAGATAGATAGATAGATAGATGTGTGTTTCTGTGGTTGGACCTATGTCAGGTGATGATATGTGCAATGAAAATATAGAGAAGGGCAAGAGGACAAAGATTGGGGGCTATTTTCCACAAAGGATCTCAGGAATGACATCTCTAGGGAAGTAGCACTTTAGCAGAAATGGGAACAAAGTGAAGCAGCAATAATAGCTGAGAGTAGTGTTTCAGGTTCAGAGAACAGCAAACACAAAAGCTCAGGAGCATGATCAATATACACTTTAAAAAGCAAATAAGCAAGGGGTTGAGTGGTTCAGATTATGATGCAGAAGCTGGAATGGAATAGATCAAATTTGACATTGTAGACTAATGTGTAGATTTTGGGTTATATTATAAATACAATTAAAAAACTATTGAAGAACTTTGAATTTGAAAGTGACTATTCGATTACTCAAAACAGTCAGATTTTACTTTAAAAGCCAACCAAAATATATATCCATAGATTTGTATAAATATAAGTAACTAACAATTTGTATGAAATATTATACAGCATATGAATTATTTCCAAAAAACTATTAGAACTAATACATGAATTCAGTAAAGTTATAACATACAAAGTTAACATACAAAAATCAATTGCATTTCTAATGCAAATTAAAGCCACAATAGTATACCACCTCACAGCAGTCAGAAGAGCTATTATTAAAATATCAAAAAATAACAGAAGCTGGCAAGGTTGTGTAAAAAAAAAAAAGAATGCTTATACACTGTTGGTGGGAGTGTAAATTAGTTCAACCATTGTTGAAGACAGTGTGTCAATTCCTCACAGACTTAAAACAGAAATTTGACCCAGCAATCCCATTACTGGGTATATACCCAGAGGAATATAAATCATTCTACCATAAAGACACATGCATGCAAATGTTCATTGCAGTAGAATTCACAATAGCAAAGACATGGAATCAACCTAAATGCCCATCAGTGATAGACTGGATTTAAAAAAATGTGGTACATATACACAATGGAATACTATGCAGCCATAGAAAAAGAACAAGATCATGCACTTTGCAGGAACCAAAAAAAAAAAAAACCATGTGTTCTCACTTATAAGTGGGAGCTAAATGATGAGAACACATGTACACATAGAGGGGGACAACACACAATGGAGTGTATTGGAGAGTGGAGGGTGGAAGGAGGGAGAGGATCAGGAAAAATAACTAATGTGTACTAGGCTTAATACCTGGGTAATGAAATAATCTTTACAACAAACCCTCATAACACAAGTTTACCTGTATCACAAACCTGCACATGGGCCCCAGAACTTAAAAGTTTTTAAACAGTAAATTGAATTTCTATATACTAACAACAAACTACCTGAAAAAGAAGTTAAAAGAACAATTCAATTTACCCTGGCATCACAAAGAATATGCTACTGGGAAATAAATGTAATCAAGAAGGTAAAACATCTGTACACGGAGAACTATAAATAAAATATTGCTGAAGAAAATGAAGACAGAAATAAATGGAAAGATATCCCATGCTCACTTATTAGAATAATTAATGTTGAAATATTCATACTACTGAAAGTTATCTACAGATTCAATGCAGTCACTATCAAAATTCCAATGTCATTTTTCACAGAAATAGAAAAAAAATCTTAAAATGCATAGGGAACCACAAAAGATCCTAAATAACTGAAGAAATTTTGAACAAGAACAAAGTTGGAGGCACCACATTTCCTGATTTCAAAATATGTTGCAAACTTACAGTAATCCAAACAATATGACACTGGCATAAAACAGGCATATAGACCTTTGGAACAGAAAAGAGAGCCTAGAAATAAATCATGCATTTACAATAAGTTGATCATCAAGAAGCATTCCAAGAACACATAATGGGGAAAGGATAATTTCTTCAATAAATGATGTTGTGAAAACTGGATATCCACTTGCATAAAAATGAAATTAAGTGCTTATTTCATACCACATACAAAATCATCAACTCAAAATGGGTTAAAGACTTAAATGTAAGATCTGAAACTAAAGCTACCAGAGAAAAAACACCGGGAAGCATTTTTTGACTTTGGTCTGGGGAATAATTTTTTGGTATGACCCTAAAAATCACAGGCAACAAATACGTAACTATACAAGTGGTATTGTATCAAAATGAAAAGCTTCTGCACAGCAGTGAAAACAACCACCAAAGTCAAATGGCAACCTACAGAATGGGAGAAAATATTTACAATCCATGTATCTGAGAAGAGGAGCTTAACACAATAGCAAAAATTCAAATAACCTGATTTTAAAATGGACCTGAATAGATATTTCTCCAAAGAAGACCTACAAATGGCTAACAGATATGTGAAAAAGTGGTCAGCATCACCAATCATCAGAGAAATGTAAATCAAGATCACAATGACGTGTGACTTCATACGTATTAAAATGGCTATTATCAGAAGGAGGAAAGATAACAAGTGTTGGTGAGGATGTGAAGAAAAGGGAACTCTTGTACATTGTTCTTGGAAATGCAAATTGGTACAACTATTATGGAAAATGTATGGAAGTTCCACAGAAAATTGAAACTAGAACTACCATATGATCCAGGGATCCCACTTCTGAGTGTATAGTAATTAATAACTTAATGATAGGGACATGCTCTGAGAAATATGTCATTAGGCGATTTCGTCTGAGAACATCGTAAAGTGTACTTTCACAAACCTAGATGGTACAGCCTACTACACACCTAGGCTATATGGTACATCCAAATGTTCCTAGGCTACAAACCTGTAGCATGTTACTGTTATGTATTAAATACTGTAGGAAATTGTAACATAATGGTAAGTATTCATGTATCAACATATCTAAGCATAGAAAAAGTAGAGCAAAAATAGGATGTAAAAGATTAAAAAATGATACACTTGTGACGGGCACTTACCATGAATGGAACTTGCAGGACTGAAAGTTGCTTTAGGTAAGTCAATGGGTACTGAGTGTGAAGCTCTTGGACATTACTGTTGATAGATTTTATCAACACTGTATACTTTGGCTAGACTAAATTTATTTATTTTTTATTTTTTTTTATCTTTTTGAGATGAAGTCTCACTCTTGTCCCCCAGTCTGGAGTGCCAGTGGCGTGATCTTGGCTCGCTGCAACCTCCGCCTCCCGGGTTCAAGTGATTTTCCTGCCTCAGCTTCCCGAGTAGCTGGGATTACAGGTGCGTACAACCACACCCAGCTAACTTTTTGTATTTTAAGTAGAGACGGGGTTTCACAATGTTGGCCAGGCTGGTCTCGAACTCCTGACCTCAGGTGATCCTCCCAGCTCGAGCCTCCCAAAGTGCTGGGATTACAGGCGTGAGCTACCGTGCCCAGACTCGCTAAATTTATTTTTTAAATATCTGTCTTTAATAATAAACTTAGCGTACTGTAACATTTTACTTCATAAACTTCTAAATCTTTTTAATTTTCTGACCTTTTCGTAATAACACTTCACTTAAAACCTTTTGTATAGCTTTACCAAAATATTTTCTCTTTATATTCTTATACTATAAGCTTTTTTCCATTTTTGAAGTTATCTTTACCTTTTGTTTTTAAAATTTTGTTAAAACTTAATACACATACATATTAGGCTAAGCCCACACGGGTTCAGGATCGTCAAGATATCACTAGGCTATAGGCATTTTTCACCTCCGTTATAATCTTATGGGACCACCATCTTACATGTGGTCCATCATTGACCAGAAGGTCATCATGGGTACATGAAAGTATATCGAAATCAATAAGTTAAGAAAAAGAACTGCCAAGGCACTTTAATTTCTCCCATCTTAAAATTTTAAGACATTAGGATTTTCCTAATAGTTTTGGGGGATTTGTTTGTTTGTTTGTTTTTACTCTCTCATGCTATTTATTTGGATCTTAAGTCATTAGTCTCCTCTAACTCTCTATCTAAACATGCTGAAGATGCTTAGAGGATGGCATAATTTTAGGAAATGTTATCTTTCAACTCTGCTTTTCTCTTTCCCCATTCAGAGCAGAAGAGTTTGAAAGTATTAAGCAGTTTTATTTATTTTATTTATTTTGAAATGAATATCAACTATTCTCAGGACTGATGTACTAAAATAAAACACCTTTCTTTATGATACATATAGTGTACATTGCAAAAGTAAACTTTTACAAAAAATGGTATATTAATCTAGGCACATTTATTTCATGGCTATAACATATCAGGTACTCTGCTAAGTGCTCTACATGCTTTATCTTATTTCATTTCATTTCTTATAAACCCTATTAAGTGGCTACTATTAAGAACAACCTACTTGAGGATAAGACTGTTGTCTCATTTATTACAGAATTTTGGTGTCAATTAAGAGTGCCTGGAACATAATAGGTGCTCATAAACATCTGTTAAAAGAATCATTTAATGTATGAATGAATTTCTACTATACAAATGAAAAAGCTGAAGCACAGAAATTTTAAGACACTGGCTCAAGTTTATGTAGCTGGTACGTAGCACAACCAGGACTCAGCCAAGTTCCGCCTGACTCAAAAGTCCTTTCTCATAGGAACTATTTATTTTGCCTCTGCAAAATCAGCCATTCTCACCTTGTGATATTTCCTCCAATATGGATAAACCTACAATACTAATCTCATTCCTGACTTCAATTTTCCAGGCACTTTGCTTACCTGACTGTGAATTCCCAATGCTCTGGGGTGGTAAAATCTTTAGGTTAATAGGTTAACGAAGCCAATCTTTTCTTTTTTTCCTTGCCTGAGGTCTTTAAGCAATTTTACAGATTATATTTGTACCAGAAAATACGTATTAAAATTTGAAACACTGATCAGCCACAGAATCATTTTACAACAAATTTCTAGAACATGAGCCAAGAGTCCAAAGTATGGAGACATATCTGAGCTCAACATAAAATGCTGCCTGAAAACAATGAGTGACACATTTAGAGAAAATACATGAAATTACTTTTCAAAAATGTAATATGATGTAATAAGTCTCTTAAGTGATTTAGTCAAAATTTGGTGATTTTTAGCAGTTTAAAAAACAAAATATTTATGATTTTGAAAACATAGAAAGACCAGAATAAAAATTATAGACATTTTACTTTGAACAGATTTTTGGAAAAAAAAATTCTTATGAAATTTTAAATAATTTTCAAGAAGTGAACATCACTTCCAGGAGGGAACTTCATTGTAAATTGGTCACCAAATGTGATTCTAATGATGATACTACAAATATTTTATAACACAGTCATCTCAGTCTAAATCTGAAATGGATTTCTTTTAAAGAGCAATAAAATATCACCATTAACATATTTTCAGAAACTTTTGCATTCTTTTTTTTTTAAGTTCTCAAGATTGTGTTTATATTTTGGCCCATTTTATAGCTACCTCTGTCATGAAATTTCACAGGTAATGGGCATTTCTTGCTAACCAATATGTATGCCCATCCACCACTGGCTGTTTTCTAATATCATATCTTATTGTTTTATTAATCATCCTTAGAGATTTGATCTCTGTTGACAGTGAAAATATCCATGTATTTCTCTCCATTTTGAGTGCTACCATTCTAGTTGGAGGATCCCAAATCCTCTTACTGTGAATTACAATAACATCCTCACAGGAGTCCTTGCTTCTGCTGTTGCTTTGAATCTTCACATAGGAGAAAATATAATCTTTTCAAATGGTAAGCTGATATTACTTCCATGAAAATCTTTTATAAATATTATAATAAAATTCAAGCTATTTATTAACAAGGCTTAGCATGATCTAGCCCCTATCTCTCCAACTTCATTTTCTATAATCTTCCATGCTACTTACTTTCTCTAATCTACCATAGTAGCCTTCTCATAAGCCTTAAATATACCAAATGAATTCCAGAATCTTATCTTTTCATTGTCTATTCTATTTTCTGTGATATTCTTCTCAGAATTTCATTTGATTAGCTCTTTATCATTTCAGCTTCAAGTAACAAGCGCTCCTTGGCCAGCCTAGCTAAAGTTGACATCCACCTCTAGTCACTTTTCCAATTTGCGTTGCTTTATTTGCTTTACAACACTTTTTGCTATCTGGATTGTTTTATGTGTATAATTTTATTTATGTCACACACACATGCACACATACTGGAATGTAAGATTTAGTATATTAGGGATTTTCTCTATTTGCTCAATGTTGCAGTCCTAGTACATAGAAGACTGTCACAAAGTAGGTATCCTCAAATATTAAATACATGTTGAATGAAGGAATTTTAATATTTATCAGTCAGTTGCATCTCAGTGAGGCTCTGTTGATCTAATTCCTTCTTGGCAAAAAAATTAATGCAACATAAATGATAATGGATAGCTGAAATTAAGGTATGGGGAAGGATAGAGATAGGGATTTCCTAGCCTTAAAATAGGGAAAGGATATATAAATTTGGCTGCTGTTGATATTTCACTTGCTTTACTCTTTTGAACAAGATTGGCCCTGTACATCTCAGAAATGAAAGTGAAGACATAGTCATCTTATGACAACATAGGTATGTACAAAACCAGTTTCACTAATTTATATCACAAAGTGAGGCTTGTAGGCTAAATGCTTACATTTAATTTTATTCATGGTTGTTTATTCACCTGCTTTTGAAGGTAATCTTCATCAGAATAATCTGACTGGAGAGATATTGAATTTTAGCAGATGATGATGATGTGGTGTGCCATCAAGAGCCTCCCATCAAGACTGACATACTCATTTCTCCATCTCTTCTTCTGACCATCACACCAATTATTAAGATTGTCATAACATAATTTTGCCAGTGAAGTGCTATGTCTCTAGGGGAAAACAGAGCTTATACCCTAAAGGAGCGGCAATGCCCAGATGGCATATACAGGCAGTGACCAGGACAGTATTTATGGCACTGTATTCTCAAAATGTTGGATCAAGGAGGATGGAACATAAATTTGGATAAGACAGAGTATATCAATATGAGAGAATTATTCCAGGATATAGTCTATATCAAAAGTTAGCAAACTATAGCCCATGCATGTTTTTATAAATTATGTTTTTTCTAATCAGTGATTCTATGTCCTGAAGAGCCTAAAATCCTATCTTACCCCTTATATAAAAATGTTTGCTGACTCGTGGTCTGTAAAAGTTAGCAACAATAGATGGTATTACCTGGTTATTAGAATGGGTCTTAGAAATGTGGAGAAAGAAAGTAACCTCACTAGGTGAAGTAGAAATGGCAGAACAGCCATGGAAGATCATGAAATAATGAACCAGAAGGCTTATATAATTAAGTATATTAGAATATATATATATATATATATATATATATATACACACACACACACACAGTGTATATATATATATATACACACAGTATATATATATACTGTATATACACACACAGTATATACATATATACACACAGTATATATATACACACAGTATATATATATATACACACAGTATATATATATACACACACACTATATATATACACACACTATATATATATACGCACACTATATATACACACACAGTATATATATATATATACACACACAGTATATATATATATATATACACACACATAGTATACATATATATATATACACACACACACACAGTACGTATATATATACACACACACACAGTATACACACACACACACACACACACACAGTATATATATGTAATGTAAGGCCGGAAAACCTACTAGATGATTATGTTCCATTGGAGGGCCTGGAAGAGACATAATTTATCTAACAATAAAGAATTTTCTGGTGAGAAGGGTGCTAGCATCACCAAGAAGCTCAGTGGTGGCAGTGGGAGATACCATTAGAGAGTTAACTCAGTTTTACCATCATAGGCAAGGCAAGTCTAATTATTATGAGCAAAAAGGTCAGAGCAGCATAGAAGGGAGTCACGACCCATGAAGAGCAATGGACATGGTTAATAGAATACTGAGCCCTGGGAGACAGATATACGGGCAGCCAACAAGGATACTGTTCAAACTACAAAGCTGAAAGAAATTGAGGTTGGATGATGGCAGTTACCTCAATAAAAGTGTTATAATCATTTGTCCACTTTCTAGAGCTGCGCCTGCAACCCATTATCTGAAGAAGAGGTCAGGTCCCCATGAAGAAGGAACTTGCAATGCAATGAGAAGTATATATAGTAATGATTCTGCCAATCTGTCCTCAAGGAGGCCTATGGCTATTTTCTTGCATAAGAGTATACTATGCAAAAAAAGACAAACTTCACATGTTTTCAGTTATTTGTGGGAGCTAAAAATTAAAACAATTGAACTCATGGAGATAGAGAGTAGAATGATATTTACCAGAGGCTGAGGAAGGCAGTCAGAGTGTTGGGAGAATGTGGATAATTAATGGGTAAAAAAATAAAGTTAGATAAAACGAATAAGATCCAATATTTGATAGCACAACAGAGTGACTACAGGCAGCAATAACTTATTGTGCATTTTAAAATAACTAAAATAGTATAATCGAATTCTTCGTAACACAAAGGATAAATGCTTGAGGTTATGGATACCCTATTTACCCTGATGTTATTATTACACACTATATATGCCTGCATCAAAATATTTCATGTACCCCATAAATATATACACTTATTACGTACCCCAAAAAATAAAAAAAATAAAATTATAATTAAAAGAGTATAGTACTGATAGGTAAACTCCAAACATTTTGAGGACTGTTGGACACAAGGTCTGAATTGATGTTGATACTCAGGGGAAAAAATGTCATTTGTAGCTCCCCAAATGAAATGAGGGTGTATGGAAGTGTTAGTCTGTTCTTACATTGCTATAAAGAAATAACTGAGACTGAGTTATTTATAAAGAGAAGAGATTTAATTGACTCACAGTTCGGCAGGCTGTACAGGAAGCATGAGCTGGCATCTTCTCAGCTTCTGGGGAGGCCTTAGGAAATGTACAATCATGATGGAAGGCAAAGAAGGAGTAGGCATGTCACATTACCAGAGCAGGAACAAAAGAGAGAGGGAGGGGGTGCTAGACACTTTTAAACAACCAGATCTCATGAGAACTCAGTCATGATTATGAGGACAGTACTAAGTTAGATAGTGCTAAACCACTCATGAGAAATTCACCACCATGATCAAACCATCTCACACCAGGCTCCACCTCCAACACTGGAGATTACATTGCAACATGAGATTTGGGCAGGGACACATATCCAGACTATATCTGGGAGCCGGGTAATAAATGGCGGAGTCCAGGACTAGGTCTGATTTGCAATGAATCCACTGGGTCCACGTCCAACTAGCAGCCATTTCCATGACCCATGAATGTAAAATTGAAATGCATATAATAGGTAGTTGGCAGAACCCCCATATTGGTTTCTTGGGTTGGAGCTTTTGTAGCAGAAAAGACCAATTAGAATTCTCTGAGATTGTCCACTTTGTCCAAGACCAGATAGTGAAACAAATATTGTCTCCTGAGCAGTAATACAAATCAGTGCCAACTATATAGACCTAAGGTATACAAGCATGGTTTTCACCATTATATCTCTGTTTAATTTACCAGTCTGAGTTTGGTTCCTACAATAGCCAGTTGGATCCTCAAATGTGACAGTTGATTATGACAAATTAAATTACCACTAGCCCTATTTCCAGTTACTGTGCCAAATGTGATATTGCAACTACAGCAGAATAACATGGCCTCAGATACCTGGTATATGTCCATAAATCTGGTGAATGTCTTTTCAATCCTAACCAAAATAGGATAGAAACAGATCTCATTTATTTTGGATCGACCACATGTGCATTTGTAGTTTTTCCCTATGGCTATGTTAACTCTCCTGCTACCTATTTTAAAATAGTTTAAAGACATGTGGGCAATCTGAACATGCTACGAAACATCATATTGGTCCAATATATCATTATATTATGTTAGTCAAACTGGATGAACAAGAAATGGCAAGTACATTGGAGGCCTTGGTAGGACACGTGCACTCCAGAGTATGGGAGATAAAACCTACAAGCGCCTGCCAGATGAGTAAAATTTGGGCGGGGGAGGGGAGTACACAGTGATCTGGAAAATGATAGGACTTCCTCTCTAATGTAAGGGACAACCCCCATTTCTAACCACTAAGAGGGAAGCACAAATCCTGCCAGGCCTCTTCAGGTTCTATAGAGCACATATTACATACTTGGGAATACTGTTCTGAACCATATGTCAGGTGATGTAAAATCATCAGTTTGGGATGAACTTCATAGCAGGAACTCGCTTTGTAGCAGGACAAGGCTATAGTGTGTAACCTGTCATGCCACTTGGACCACTATGATTCCTAAGACCCTATTGTATTATAAATATGTGCAGTGGTAAAGTTACCAAGTAGAGGTTATGTCAAATTCTAATAGAAGAATCAGTCACAACGTAGACTCCTACACGGCCTAGACCCTCCACCCCACTCAGGTCATCTACCAATATAACACTTACCCTCTTCTTCAGTTCAAACTTAATGACTACATGGTGGAGGTGAGTCACATTTAATCAATACGTGAATGAGAAGGACTGCTTTTAGTTCACAGATCAGCTTGGCATGTGGGTGAATGCAGAAAATGGACTGTGGCTATACTACAATCTTGCTGGTGGCTTGAAAGACAACCATGAAGAGAAGGTCAGCTTAATGTCCAGAGTGTCAGCCAATAATACAATGAGTTATCCACTTGTGTGGAAATAGATGTAGCCTGAGATTAGAATTTATACAGATTCATAGACAGTGGCTTATAGTGTGGCTAGTTGGTCAGGAGCCTGAAAGAAGAAAGATTGGAAGATCAAGGATAAGGTGACTTGAGAGAGAATCATATAGTTGGTCTCATGGGAATGGTAACGAACTATATACATGTTTATATCTCATGGTGTTGTCCTTTGGAATGCATCCATCACAAAAGTGACACTAAAAAGCCAAGTAGACAGAACATCTCAGCCAGTTGACAGCAACAACTATCTGTAATAATCCACATGGTAATGCTTCCACAAGCAGATAAACAGAGTGCTCATGGGGGCAGACAGCACGGGCTGGCATACACCAAATAAAATATTAAAACTCCTGTTCCCAAATATCTGATATTTGATTGAAACTATTGCTGAGTCACTGATATGGCCCTATCCCTTGAGATTAGCCACTTAGTGGTAACATGAATACATTGAATACTGATTCACCTTGACTGGAAATGACATACATTCTGGGTAACTGTTTGCCTTTTTTTATCTATGGGGTGTGAAACAAAGGCTTATCAAGTGTTTTATTCACTGATCCTGAACATTACCTAATGTTCCTTTACACAGATAAATTGGCCCACATTAGAACAAAGGAGGTACAACAGTGAATACCAGGTTCTAATTATATATGATACTACACAGAATCTGCCAATCTGATAGAACAATGTAATAACCTATTAAAGGCATGACTGAGGCACCAGCTTGCAGATGGTACCTTATGAAAATAGGGTGGTATGATCTTCCAGGACACAGTGAAATTAATGACCAATATGGTTTGGTGCCCCCAGATAGGTAGAATAGATATATGATAGATATATGATAGATAGATAGATAATTGATAGATAGATAGGTACATAGATAGATAGATAGATCCAGGAATGAAATGAGAAACAGACACTCCAACTGACCAATTTGTAGAATCTGTGTCTCCCCAAATTACAGCTTTAAGCTCTGCAGCTTTAGGAGTCTTGGCTCCCAGATGCAAATACTTCTACTAGGAGACAGAGCAAAATTCCCATTTAAATTTCAAGCTATGATTATTACCCATTTACTTTGGGCTTTTTCTGCCAAGAGATCATCAGGTAAAGAAAGGAGTCACCATCATAGCAGTGTAATTGATCCTGGTCATTGAGAAAGGAATAGGAATGCTATTACTCAATGAGAATGGAGAATAATATGTTTTCACTCATGTGGCCCCATTGGTTATCTTTTGAAATTATTTTGCCCAATTTTAGAGGTAAATGATCAAATTGAGCAGAGTCTCAGAGAGACATGGTGAGTACAAGGTCAGACTCCTCATAAATGGAAGTTTAGGTTATCCCATTAGGAAGTAATCTACAGCAGCAGAAGCACTAGTTTAGAGAGAGCTAAACTGCATAGTAAAGTAGGATCAGCTGCTGTGGTAAAGGCTGTAGTTTGCCTAGTTAACCTTCATCTTGTAATTTTCTCAAAGAAAAGAAGGCCCCAGAATCCAAAATGAGCTGCTTCCACATCTTAAATGAAGCAAATAGATTCAGGTGGCACAAAGAGTAGACTGTAGTGGGAAGTGTTGCAGTGCTCAGATTATGACCATCACCACCCCTATTTGAGACTGATGCACTCATTCTCTGAAAACAGTGATAGCTGAAAGATCACTGCTGAGTTGTCCCTGCTAGCATGTACCCTTAGCTTAAAAGTCCCTCTCATAAAGAGCATTTATCTCATGAATAAATCCTTCTGGAGTGCAGGCTACATCCAATGATTGATTAATGCAGGTTTATATAGGTCTGGTCTCCTTGTCCCAATTCAGGAAAAATCTGAAGTGCCATCTCAGCTGCAGAGCTTCTCATGGCATTAGCTGAAACCTTTGTTGTGACTTCTTAATAGCTTATTATAGCTTCTTTATAGCTTATCTTTTTTCTCTTTCTGCACCGTCTTCAGTTATTCAGTCACAAGTGTTGACTCAGAAAGCACAAGCCAAAAAACTTAATGCAAATCATTGTCCATTTCAAAGTTTGGTTCTCCAGAAGACACATATGTGATATATGTCTACAGCACCAGAGTTTTAGTTATTCCTTTATAAAATATATATATAAATTAGATAAACACTGTATATTAAAGAAATTGCAACAACTACGTAGAAAAGTATGTAATATAATAGACCACACAGACATCAATATTGTATTCATACACTCACTCAATTCATTTTATTAAGCACCTATATAAAAAATTATTCTAGGCACTAAGTATACGGCGCTGCACCAGAGAAACACAAGACGACCTCCTAAGGAAGTATATTGTCTTGCAGGTAAGGGGGGCATTAGGCAAATAGATACACTTCAATTATTTAATTACAATGGTGACAAGTGCAACAAAGGAGAAATAGACTATAATGAGTGCATGTGACAAAAGATACTTACTCTGGGGATCCAGAGAAGAGCTTCATTGATAAACATTTAGATAAACAGTAGGAGTTAGCTAACATGACAAAAGGGAGCAGGAGGTCAATTATAATTTTATCCCAAAATTAATTTTCAATTTCATAGTTACAATCTATACAAATACAGTAAGATTCTTGATATGTGTTTGTCAATATCTTACAATATTGATTAGAACACACAGTTGAAAATTGATGCATGCTCTTCATTCATTCAATAAACAATTGTGTAGGTGTTATATTCAAGGAATTTGGTTAGGTATTACAGGACATTCACCAAGAAATATGGTACCTTTTCTTTCTGTAAGTATATTATACAATGATAAAGACACAAAGCCAAATGAGAAGTTGTGACATGATAAGTTCCACAAGACAAACTTGATGCAAATCGAAAATGTGAGTAAATTTATAAATTGGATCATGTTTATAATATGAAGTATATATTACATAGAATAAATTAATACGGTTACACAAGTTACTTCCTACTACTATCGTGAAGGGCTATTGAGATGTTATTATATAATAGCATAAATAATGGCCATAGCTAGCTAGATAGATACAGATATATGGAATGGAATTTAAACTAGTTAATCCTATCCTATGTTAATAGGATAATAATTCCCACAGGGACAAAGGAAAACATTTACAACTAAAAATGATCATCCTTGTTATGCAAGTATTAAAGGGGCTCAAGTTAATAGCTGTTATTTATGATAAATAATATCTACCCAAATATAGATTTTTCCTCCTCTGTAACTAATACTGGCAATAATAATAACAACAGTAACAATTATCATTTTTATACTGATTTAGGGAGAAAAGTGAGATATCATTATTTTCGTTTATGAATAAGGGAACTAAGTGTTAATGAGATCAATTAACTTGCCTGGACATACAGTAAGTAAAGATAGAGCCAGTACTATATTCCATGTCTTCTGAATTTTGATTCCATGCTCTTTCTATTCTATCACAATGCTTCATGCTAGATTATCCTTGCCTATTTTTCATTAATGTGCTTGTCTGTATTACAAATAATAACAATAGATAATACTTAATCAGTACTGCATATATAGAATATACATTCTTCTAAGCACTTTTGTTGTAGAGATGTATGATCATCATGAGAAGTGTGCGAAGAAGGTACTATGATTATTGCCAGATTGCAGATCAAGAAAATGAGGTACAGAGACATTAAGTAAATTGCCTAAGAGCACACAGACAGTAAACGATTAAGTTTACTTGCTAACTTGCTTATTTTACTTGCTAACTTTACTTATTAACTTGCTGGTTTTCAAACTCAGAGATTCTGGCTTCAGTTCCTAACACCATGCTGTCATGAACTCACTCAACAGAGTAGGAAGACATGAACTCTCTACTCTTTTGGAAACACATTTTATTAAAATATAGACAAAATATTTATGCTCCAGCCATAATCAATCACTTTTGGTTCCCAATTCTGGCATCTGGCTCTACTGCCTCAATCCCAGAGTCATATTCACCAGTCCCTTTCTCATCTTCATCTACCTATCTACTACTTGGCACATTTAGTTTTTATGACCCCTTCTCTAAGAAGCCTTCCCTCAGCTTCCAAGATTGGAGCAGGTGGTCCTCCTATGTGTCCCTGGAGGGCACCGTGCTTACACCTATCAGAGCACTCATCACACCCATTTGTAATTGCAAGTTACTTATATGTCTTCCAGATTAGAGCATAAAGTTCTTAATACTAGGAACTGAATCATATTTAACTTTGAATTCCCCACAGTCTAACATACTTCTCTGTTTATGGGGTAATGCACTAAATGTTTGTTGATTTCTTAGAACCTCACACTTGTTTTAGCACTTATAAATGTAGTTAAACAGCATTGTGTTCAGATTTGTACTAGGTGTACTTCTATGATAGAATATTAGCTCTATGAAGGGGAGAACAATGTGTTGTTTTCATCCACAAGCACAGTACCTGACCCATAGCCAGCATTCTATCAATAGTTTTTAAGTGTACAGAACCAAGTACAAAAGTAAGAAACAATTCATAAAAGCATAAGACTCAATAATCTTGGAAGATAGCCAGCACAGATCAATGTACACTTAGTACTTTGTATCTGAAAACTGAAAAGGAAATGCATGCCAATAGAAATATACAGGGAACGTACAAAAAGTTTGTGATCAGTGCAGATTTCTACATAAAATATCTAAAAATACTTCTGCATAAAGTGAAAAAAGTAAATGGAATATACAACAGCAGATAGCACAAGTCAAAAAATTCTTCATACAGCACACAAATATGTCTTAATATAGTTACCTTAATATGTTCAATAACAATGTTGCTATATGTTTAAGGGAGATGACAGAAAGCTATCTGAAAAGAAAATATTCAAATTATATTTTTCCTTATGCTAATTTATCCAAACACTCAATAGTAGAGCAAACAGGCAGAACCTAAGGAACAAAACTAAAACCAGGCCTAGAAATTTGATAGATAATATTATTAATATAGGCTCATACCTGGTTCATTCAGGTTTTAAGCAGTAAGGTGTTTTATCTCAATTATGTTGAAAAATAAATAAAACTTTGCCCTTCAACAGAATAATACATGAATAATATGACAAATACCATGTAAAATATTTGAATCAACTGATTATGTGTTTCTATTTGCTATTAAACATTCATTTCAACAATTTTACAAACAACACAGTGAAAACATATATTTATGGCATTTAAAGTTTGTTTTCTTTTACCAATATATAGCCTATGCCTTTATCTATGTCCTTTCTAGCACTGTCCTTATGACTCCACTAAGATCAAGGTTCAATATGGTAAATACATTGATCACCTAACATTTTCTTATACACAAACATAAAGAACTGTGGTAAAAAGACCATGACAATTTGAATAAAGCTACATCAGAAATAGTTAAAATTTACAACTGCTCTGATAAGACTACATAAGAAAAACAGAATTTTTTTTTGTGAACAGTGCTTCACACATGTCTAGCCACATAGTTGTTTAAGAAATACTTTAAATTGATCTGAATGACTGCCTAGGGACAAATAGATATATGTCTGATTGATGTTTTAAGTAAAAGAGCATATTTTTGTTAGTTCCAAAAAGCATTGATTTTTATGCATGTGTACTCCTAAGTGCCTCTAGAATTTTTCTCACATTTCTCATCACTGTTGTTAACTTTCTGTCCCACATTCAATGGAAGCCTCTTGTTCTGTACGTTCCATTTTCCTTTCTCCCTCAGGTTCCTGAGTACTCTTAAGTGGATTGTTTTTTTCTTTGCCAGCTAATAGATTTGTGTTCTTTTATTACTCATATAAATCAATGTACTGAGATGTCTTCAGCTGCACTACACAAGTTGCCACTCCTGTGATTTGACTGAGTACACATGAAGGCCATTATCTCTCTGTTGAAGATCTGGAGGTAAATATTCTGCTCCCAGGCTTCTTCAGGTTCAAGTGGCAGCCTTCTTCTAATTACTGGAACGAAAAGCCATTTGGCTCACCAGAGAAGGTCAGCTACAGGTTTATTTGGATCAAAATAATAGGAAGCCTTTTCCAAGAAGACCAGAATAAGCCAAAGAATTTTTGGGTTCATCATTTGCTGGAGGAGAGTCACAGGCCTCAACAAAGTAATGCTCCTCAGGAACCCAGAATTCCTTAATCTCACTTTAGCGCGCATGGAAAAGCAACCCGAATACTCAGCTGTTTCCCCTTGAGTCTCCAAAACACCAAAGCATCAAGAAAAATAAGAAACTAAATCTGCTTTCTCTGTCACATGTGTTTGCTCTCTCTCACACGCTTGCGCTCTCTCTCTCTCTCATCTCAGTAAAAGAAAAATGATATAAAATACTCAGAAGAAGGATACAGGATACAAAGCACATAAATAATAAAATTTCCCCTCCAAAAAAAGGAATAAATGGAGGAAAAATAATGATTAAACAACAAAAAAGAAAATTATTCTAAAGAAAGACATGAGTATTGATATGGTTTGTCTGTGTCCCTACCAAATATCAGCTTGAATTGTATCTCCCAGAATTCCCACGTGTTGTGGGAGGGACCCAGGGGGAGGTAATTGAATCATGGGGGCCGGTCTTTCTTGTGCTATTCTCGTGACAGTGAATAAGTCTCACGAGATCTGATGGGTTTGTCAGGGGGTTCTGCCATCATTCTTCCTCATTTTTTTCTCTTGCCGCATCCATGTAAGAAGCGCTTTTTGCCTCCCGCCATGATTCTGAGGCCTCCCCAGCCACGTGGAACTGTAAGTCCAATTAAACCTTTTTTTCTTCCCAGTCTTGGGTATGTCTTTATCAGCAGCGTGAAACTGGACTAATACAGTAAATTGATACCGGTAGAGTGGAGCGTTGCTGAAAAGATAACCGAAAATGTGGAAGTGATTTTGGAACTGGGTAAACAGGCAGAGGTTGAGACAGTTTGGAGGGCTCAGAAGACAGGGAAATGTGGGAAAATTTGGAATCTCCAAGAGGCTTGTTGGATGGCTTTGACAACGCTGATAGTGATATGAACAATAAGGTTCAGACTGAGGTGGTCTCAGATGGAGATGAGGAACTTGTTGGGAACTGGAGCAAAGGTGACTCTTGTTATGTTTTAGCAAAGAGACTGGAGGCATTTTGACTCTGCCCTAGAAATATGTGAAACTTTGAACTTGAGAGAGATGATTTAGGGTATCTGACAGAAGAAATTTCTAAGTAGCTAAGCATTCAAAAGGTGACTTCGGTGTTGTTAAAAGCATTCCATTTTCAAAGGGAAGCCGAGCATAAAAGTTCAGAAAATTTGCGACCTGACGATGCAGTAGAAAAAAAATATCATTTTTTGAGGAGAAATTCAAGCCAGCTGCAGAAATTTGCATAAGTAGCAAGTAGCCTAATGTTAATCTCGAAGATCATGGGAAAAATGTCTCCAGGCCATGTCAGAGACCTTCCCAGCAGCCCCTCCTATCACCCGGCCTGGAGGCCCAGGAGGAAAATAATAGTTTTGTGGGCTGAGCCCAGGGTCCCCAGGCTGTGTGCAGCCTAGGTACTTGGTGCCCCGTGCCCCAGCTGCTTCAGCCACGGCTGAAAGGGGCCAATGTAAAGCTCAGGCTGTGGCTTCAGAGGGTGAAAGCTTCAAGCCTTGGCAGCTTCCACATGGTGTTGAGCCTGTGGGTGCACAGATGTCAAGAATTGAGGTTTGGGAACCTCCGCTTAGATATCAGAAGATGTATGGAAATGCCTGGATGCCAAGGCAAAAGTTTGCTGCACAGGTGGGGCCCTCGTGGAGAACCTCTGCTAGGGCAATGCAGAAGGGAAATGTGGGGTGGGAGCCCCACACAGAGTCCCTACTGGGGCACTGCCTAGTCAAGCTGTGAGAAGAGGGCCACCATCTTCCAAACCCCAGAATGGTAGATCCGCTGGCAGCTTGTACCGTGCACCTGGAAAAGCTGCAGACACCTAATGCCAGCCAGTGAAAGCAGCCAGGAGGGAGGCTATACCCTGCAAAGCCACAGGGGCGGAGCTGCCCAAGACCATAGGAACCCACCTTTTGCATCAGCATCAAGTGGATGTGAGACCTGGAGTCAAAGGAGGTGATTTTGGAGCTTTAGAATTTGACTTCCCTGCTGGATTTCAGACTTCCATGGGCCCTGTAGCCCCTTTGTTTTGGCCAATTTCTCCCATTTGGAATGGCTGTATTTACCCAATACCTTTACTCTCATTGTATCCAGGAAGTAACTAGCTTGCTTTTGATTTTACAGGCTCATAGGTGGAAGGGACTTGCCTTGTCTCAGATGAGGCTTCGGACTGTGGACTTTTGGGTTAATGCTGAAATGAGTTAACACTTTGGGGGACTGTTGGGAAGGCGTGGTTGGCTTTTGAATGTGAGGACATGAGATTTGGAGGGCCAGGGGCAGAATCATATGGTTTGGCTGTGTCCTCAGCCAAATCTCAACTTGAATTGTATCTCCCAGAATTCCCTCATGCTGTGGAAGGGACCCATGTGGAGGTAATTGAATCATGAGGGCTGATCTTTCCCGTGTTATTCTCATTATAGTGAATAAATCTCACAAGATCTAATGGGTTTATCGGGGGTTTCCGCTATTGTTCTTCCTCATTTTTTCTGTTGCTGCATCCATGTAAAAACTGCCTTTTGCCTCCCACCATGATTCTAAGGCCTTGCCAATCACGTGGAACTCTAAGTCCAATTAAACCTCTTCTTCTTCCGAGTCTCGGATATGTGTTTATCAGCAGCGTGAAAACGAACTAATACAAGTATAAACTGAAAATTTTCATTGACTAAGCAGTAGGATTCATGAAGAAAGAAAAGACGTAGATCCATCTTGATAAAATTTTTGAATTAAAAAATGAAGAGAAAATATTACCAGCTTCTCAAAAGAAAGAATAGCCTATGTACAATAGAAATAAAATCAGGCCAGTATAGTACTTTTTTCTTCAAGTTGAGACTAGAAACTAGAGGACAGAAGAATGATCCACATACCATTGAGAGAAAAAGGTTTTATAATTAAAGACGACTACATTATGCCAAATTATATTCATTTGCAAAGGAAGGAGAAAAAGATTTTGGCACACATGAGAGTTCATAGATTATCAGAACACTATATCCTAATGAAAGAAAATATGTAAGAAAGAGTTCTGACCAAAAGCACATTTAGTCAGAACAGAGAAATCAAGAGAGGAGAAAAGAACGATGTAAAAGTTAGTTATAAATGTATTTTGAAGTTATTTGTAATTTAGGCAAATGTTTCTAGCATGATTGAAAATTTATAATATACAAGTTAAATGGAATTATGGAAACAGAAAAGAAAAATAGAATGGAAATGACAATATTAGCCTAACACTAATTTTTTAAAACTATCTTAGAAATAACCTGAGGTTGAATGAAGGTTAGTAAAATGTCTCAACTGAGAAGCGAATATTTCTAAACATTTTAAGATTCATTTGGGGAAGGGAAATAGATATGTAAAGCATCTTAGTGGAATGCTGATTTATCATTTTACTTTGATGTGAGTGTAGTGTGTGTGTGTGTGTGTTTGTGTGTTTGATAATCAGTTTTAAGGACGGAAAGTTAACCACCTGCAGAATTAAAGACATGCCAAATTTAGCCAAATGAAAAAAAAAATGAACATAATCCTGATAAATTCACCCAAAATAAGAACATAGAGGGAAAAAAATAGCTAATATAGAATAAGATTACAGGAAGAAAACCAAACATACCAGCTATTGTATTAAATGTAAAAATGCCCAAACTACAAATTTTAAAATTAAAAAGTAAGATGACGTTAAAAACAATAACAACACATGATGTTTTCAAGAACCATATCTAAAGCAACATGAAAAAATATTGAAAATAAAGGAATGGATTATTATACTACATGCAAATTTCAAATCAAAAGACAGCAGGAGTGTTACCATTATTATCAGAAAAAGTGGATCCCATGGCCAAACAGCATTAAACATGAAAAAGATGATCAATAACTTTAATGCAAACTATAAGCTTCCTTCTTTTCATATGTATATGAATCCATATGGAGCAAAAATTGCAGCTAGCTCTTCATCAGGAGGAAATGAAAGATTGGCACACAGCACTGAAGACAGAAATTAACAGTAGCAGAAAAAGTAAATATATAGGTAAATCTAAATAAATATTCACTTTTAAAATGATACTAATTGTATTTAAAGTTTAAAGTGTGTTTAGATTGATAATACGTGGCATGTGGCAACAACAGAACAGCTGTGTTAAAGGTAAAATTTAGTAAGTCAAAGGTGTATTTGCAATCTTTCAAGTAATCGCTAAAAAAAATTAAAAATGTATGAGTAACACTCTAACAAAAGGGAAAACTACTATACACTACCTAATTAAACCAAAGGAAGGCAAGAGAAAATTTATCAAAGTCAACATGAGAAAAAAATTGTAAGAATGTAGGTTTAAACCCCAAACATATCAGAAATTACACTAGTACTAATGAACAAAAGAGTCCAACTAAGGATAAAACATAATTTTTATTGCAAACCTAAACTCTGTATTGTTTGTGGTCTGGCTTCTCTTGTTCAACTCATGGTTTTAAAGTCCATCCACATTATCCTATGTATATGTGGTTTATTTACTCTTACTGCAGTGTAGTATTCCATTTTGTGAATATACCACATTTTATTTATCTATTTTCCTGCTGCTGAGCAGTTTAGGTTTTAGAAATATTTTGAATAGCACGTCTATGAAAATTTTCTTCATGTCTTTTGATGCAGATATTTACAAATTTATGTTAAGTATATTACTAGGAAGAAAACTTTTGGGGCATAGGATATGAATATAATCAACCGAGTAAATAATCCTGAAGATTCTACTAAACCAATTGTACCAATTTATAATCCCACTAACTGAATGAGGGTTCCAGTAGCTGATCTTACTCATTGAGATAATCTATTTAATTCTCTTAAATGTCAGGAGGTAATTACCTTTGGAATAGCAGTGACTGAAAAGGATGCAGAAAAATAGGGATTCTGAGTTATTGGTCATGTTCTTTTCCTTCATCTACTTGCAGGCTACAATAGTTTGTTTAGTTTGTAAAAACTTAAAAATTATACACTCATAGTTTTTGTGCTTTTCTGTATGTATATTTTACTGCAATAAAAATTAAAATGAATAAATACATTTTTAAAAAGAAAAATACTTTGTTTGGATTTATAAAAGCTTATGTAAGTCACTCATAAGAGACATGCCTTAAAAACACAAGATTGAAGGATTTTAAAAAATAAAACTTATGAAGTTATTCTAATATAAACAAAACAGTTTATGATAAAGAGAATTGCTACAGATAAAGAGGAACATTTTACAATGCTAAAATGCTCATTCAACATAAATATCTAATTATCCTACATTTATATACAATAAAAATTAAGGCCCAAAGTATTTAAAAGAAAAGCAAAACTTTGAAGAGAAATTTAAAAAAAAGCCCCACATGATAGTTGGTTATTTTAACGTATTTCGCTCAATACCATCAGTTATTGAGAACAGGCAGGAACAAACTAGTAGGTATAAAAACAATTTAAAGAACATATATAGCAATTTTGACACAATTAATGTATATAGAACACTCCATCTAGCAATAAGAGATTCCACATTATTTTCTAGTGCATTTAGAATATTTACCATAATTGACTATATGTTTGGCAATAAGCAAGTCTCCACAAGTTTAAAAAGACTGAAATCTTCCCCTTCCTGTGTCCAAGTGTTTTCATTGTTCAATTCCCACCTATGAGTGAGAACATGCAGTGTTTGGTTTTTTGTCCCTGCGATAGTTTGCTGAGAATGATGGTTTCCAGCTTCATCCATGTCCCTACAAAGGACATGAACTCATCCTTTTTTATGGCTGCATAGTATTCCATGGTGTATGTGTGCCACATTTTCTTAATCCAGTCTATCATTGATGGACATTTGGGTTGGTTCCAAGTCTTTGCTATTGTGAATAGTGCTGCAATAAACATACGTGTGCATGTGTCTTTATAGCAGCATGATTTATAGTCCTTTGGGTATATACCCAGTAATGGGATGGCTGGGTCAAATGGTATTTCTAGTTCTAGGTCCTTGAGGAATCGCCACACTGACTTCCACAATGGTTGAACCAGTTTACAGTCCCACCATGTAAAAGTGTTCCTATTTCTCCACATCCTCTCCAGCACCTGTTGTTTCCTGATTTTTTAATGATCACCATTCTAACTGGTGTGAGATGGTATCTCATTGTGGTTTTGATTTGCATTTCTCTGATGGCCAGTGATGATGAGCATTTTTTCATGTGTCTGTTGGCTGCATAAATGTCTTCTTTTGAGAAATGTCTGTTCATATCCTTCACCCACTTTTTGATGGGGTTGTTTTTTTCTTGTAAATTTGTTTGAGTTCTTTGTAGATTCTGGATATTAGCCCTTTGTCAGAGGGATACATTGCAAAAATTTTCTCCCATTCTGTAGGCTGCCTGTTCACTCTGATGGTAGGGGCCTGTGGTGGGGTGAGGGGTGGGGGGAGGGATAGCATTAGGAGATATACCTAATGTAAACGATGAGTTAATGTGTGCAGCACACCAACATGGCACATGTATACATATGTAACAAACCTGCACGTTGTGCACACGTACCATAGAACTTAAAGTATAATAAAAATTAAATAAATAAATAAATAAATAAGACTGAAATCTGGCAGCGGTGCTAGGAGTCTCCTGGACGCAGTGCCAGGAAGTGGCTGCGGCACAGCGCGTAGCGTGCCTTAGCAGCAGCAGCAGTATTGGAGGCACACCCTCGCCATCACAGCCCCTGCGATGGTGCAGCCACCCTCGCTCCTTCTCCTCTTCCTCCCTTCGCTGGCACCATGTCTGATCAGCTGACCGAAGAACAGATTGCTGAATTCAGGGAAGCTTTCTCTATTGGATAAAGATGGCGATGGCACCATCACAACAAAGGAACCTGGAACTGTCATGAGGTCACTGGGTCAGAAGCCGAATTACGGGATATGATCAACGAAGTGGATGCCAATGGTAACGACACCATTGACTTCCCCGAATTTTTGGCTATGATAGCTAGAAAAATGAAAGATACAGATAGTAAAGAAGAAATCCATGAGGCATTCTGAGTCTTTGACAAGGGTGGCAATGGTTACATCAGTGCAGCAGAACTATGTCACGTCATGACAAACAGGAGAAAAACTAACAGATGAAGAAGTAGATGAAATGATCAGAGAAGCAGATATTGATAGAGGCTAACAAGTCAACTATGAAGAATTCATACAGATGACTGCAAAATGAAGACCTATTTTCAACTCCTTTTTCTCCCTTCTAGAAAAATCAAATTGAATCTTTTACTTACCTCTTATAAAAAAAATAGAAAAAAGAAAAAAGTTCATTTATTTATTTCTACATAGCAAAACTGAATGTCAGAAGTACCTTCTGACCACACAAAAAGTCTGTATGTATTGGTTGATGGTCCTGCCCCCTGAAGATCAAGCTACACATCAGTTTTACAATATAAATACTTGTACTACCTTAATGAAAAGGACTCCTTAAAGTGCCATTTGCTAATGATTAATACACTGTTCGGGGTGGCCAGTTTTTTATGTATGCAAATTGACGATTGAGCACAGTCAGGCATTTGTATTAAAAACGAAAAATGGAAAAACAAATTCAAAACCTATTCAAATGTGTTCTAGTTCAATTTGTTCAGTATAAATTGTCATAGCTGGTTTACTGAAAACAAACACATTTAAAATTCGTTTACCTCAGGATGACATGCAGAAAAATGGGTGAAGGATAAACCATGAGACATGGCCTCACTAGTAGGATTGGCCTCTTTTACTTCATGTACTCTGACCCATGGTGACAATGACACACCCTGGTGGCATGCCCATGTATGTTTGTTTAGCATTGTCTGCATTGTTCTAGAGTGAAACAGGTGTCAGGTTGTCACTGTCCACACAAAATTTTAATAGGAAACCTTTACCAATGGAGCATTTTTGGACTCTCTCTTTTTAAAACCTTCTGAACCATAACTTGGAGCCTGCAGAATAGGCTGTGGCTGTAGACTTCAGCACAACCGTCAACATTGCTGTTCAAGAAATTACAATTTACATCCATTCCAAGTTGTAAATGATAGTATTTTTTTCCAATTAAAAACACCCTTAAGTTAAAAGTAAAGACTGAAATCATACAGTGTCTTCTTTCTGATGATAGTAAAATTAAGCTAGATACTAATAATGCAAAATTTAAAAACTCATATTTTTGAAAATTAAAAGCATTTACTTTTATTAATCCTCAAATCAAAAATCCCATGATATATTTTAGAAAATTTTTGAAACAAAAGAATATAAAATGTAATGTTTGAATATATGCAGGATGCAGTAAAAACTCTGCTGAGAAAAGACGCAAGATTAAAAGGAAACATTAAATATGAATGACGTAGGACATAAATATGAGACCGATGGACACTGTGGACTACCGAAGGGAGAAGAGAGTTGAGTGGGTTAAAAAAGCTACCTGTTGGATTTTCTGCTCGTTACCAGGGTGACGGGATCCATAAGCCAAACCACAGCATCATGCAATGGTCCCATGGCATAACCCTACACATGTACCCCCTGTACATAAAATAGAAGTTGAAGTTTTAAAAAATGATGTAAGCTTCCACCTCATGCAGTTAAAAAATAACAGCAAATTAACTCCCCCAAAAAAGTAGAAAGAGGAATTAATAAAATTATGTATCAGTTAGGGTTCCCTAGAGGGACAGAACTAATAGGATATATATACATATATATATATATGTGTGAGTTTATTTCATGATCACATGGTCCCACAATAGGCTGTGTGCAAGCTGAGGAGCAAGGAGAGCCAGTCCGCATCTCAAAGCTGAGAAACTTGGAGTCTGATGTTTGAGGGCAGGAAGCATCCAGCACAGGAGAAAGATGTAGGCTGGGAGGCTAGGCCAGTCTCATCTTTTCACGTTTTTCTGCCTGCTTTATACTCGCTGGCAGCTGATTAGATTGTGCCCACCAGATTAAGGGTGGGTCTGCCTTCTTCAGCTCAGTGACTCAAGTGTTAATCTCTTTGGCAACACCCTCACAGACACACGCAGGATCAGTAATTTGCATCCTTCAATCCAATCGAGTTGACACTCAGTATTAACCATCACGAAATGTAATCAAAATCGATGAAATAGTAAATAAAATAGAGAAAATCAATAAAGACATAATTTAGTTCATTGAAAATATGAATAAAATTGATAAACTCCTAACAAGCCAAATCAAGGTGAAAAAAGGGAAAGAGATGTTATAATGTATTGAATCATGAAATAAAAAGAGGCAGCATTACCAATCACAGAAACATTAAAAGATAATAAAAGAGAATTATGAAAAATATTTTGCAAATAAAATTGAGTGATATAGAAAAAAATCATCGAAAAACATACCTTGTTAAAGCTGACATAAGAAAATAGGACATGTAAATAGTCATATCTATTAAATTAAATTCTTAATTAAAATCTTCCCACAAAGAAAACTCAAGCCTCAGATGGCTTCACTGGAAACTTTTTCCATATTTTAATGAAGAAATTACTCCTATATTACGTACAATTCCAATAAAAAGAAAAAGAAAAGAAAAGGAAACACTCTCCACTGATTTTATGAGCCAGATAATGTCTATTTAAATCTGATAAGGACGTTTGAAAAGAGGGGAGAAATACAAGTCAATGTATCTCATAAACTTAGATGCAAAATTCATAAAAAGATATTATTAAATAAAATTTAGAAATATATAAATAGGTTAATATTAATACCCAAATATCTAAATGTGAAGTATTTGAGGAATACAATATTTGTCTTTTTATGTTGTATTTTATTTATAACTAAATCATCGTACATGTTTATGGGATACACTGTGATGTTTCAATACAGGTATACATAGTGTAACGATCAAATCAGAGTAATTAGCTCATTGATCACTTTAAACATTTTTCAAATTTGGAATAACACTCGAAATCCTCTCTTCTAGTTATCTTGAAATATACAATTAATTATTAGCTATAGTCACCCTTTTGTATAATAGAGCACCAGAATTTAGTCTTCCTTCCCTGAGATAAACGTTTTCAGATTCCACATATAAGTAAGATCACATGGTATTTGTCTTTCTGTGTCTGGCTTATTTCACTTGGCATAATGTCCTCTAGTTTCATCCACATTGCTTCAAATTACAGGATTTTATTATATTCTATGGCTAAATCATATTTGATTGTTATATATATTATGTACACATATAAACAATGGTATATGAAACAATGTTATATATAAGCAATGTTACACATATAAAACAATATATGTGTATATATACATATGTGTGTGTGTATATATGTATATATCATCTTTTTTATTCATTTATTTGTAGATAGGCACTTAAGTTGATTTCATTTCTTGGCTATTGTGAATAGTGTTGCAATAAACATGAGAATGCAGGTATCTCTTTAACATGCTGATTTCATTACTTTTAGATATATACCAAATATTAGGACTGCTGCATAATATGGCAGTTCTACTTTTTGCTTTCTGAGAAGTCTCCAAACTGTTTTTTTAAATGGCTATACTAATTTACAGTTGCATATAGATCTTATTCCAGATCTTAGAATAAAAGCTTTTAACTTTTCATGATTCAGTAAAATATTAGCTGTGAGTTTGCCATATATGGCTTTTATTTTGTTGAGATATATTCCTTCTATACCCAATTTGTTGGTAGTTTTTATCATAAAAGAATGCCAAATTTTAACAGATGCCTTTCAGCAGTTATTGAAATAATCGTATGGCTCTTGTCCTTGATTCTGTTAATGTGATGTACCATGTTTATTGATTTGTGTATGTTGAAGCATCCTTGCATCCCTGGGGTGAATCCCACTTGATCATGGTAAACGGTCTTTTAAAAGTGTTGTTGAATTTGGTTTGCTAGTATTTTGTTGAGTATTTTTGCATCTATGTTCATTAGATAGATTACCCTGTAGGTTTCTATTTTTTTATTGTGTCCTTATCTGGTATTGGTACCAAGGTAATGCTGTCTTTGTAAAATAAGTTTGGAAGTATTTCCTCCTCTTTAATTTTTTTGGAATAGTTCGAGTATAATTGGTATTAGTCCTTCTTTAAATGTTTGGTAGAATTCAGTAGTGAAAATGTTAGCCCTCGAGCTTTCTTTTGATAGAATATATTTTATTACTGCTTCAATTGTGTTACTTATTATTGGTCTGTTCAGGTTTTCTATTTTTTCCTGACTCAATCTTGACTGGTTGGATGTACCCAGGAATGTTTTAAATTCATTTTTAATGTTTAAATTGATTTGTTGGTTGTTCATGCATGTGTTAATTTTCATGTATTTGTACAGTTTCTGAAGTTCTTCCTGTTATTTATTTCTTGTTTTATTCCATTGTGGTCAAAAAAGATACTAAAGAAAATTTTGATTTTTTAAAATGTGTTAAAACTTGTTTTCTGGTCTAACATATGATCTATCCTGGACAGTGTTCCATGTGTTGTTGAGAAAAAATGTATATTCTACAGCTGTTGGATGGAATATTCTCTAAATGTCTGTTAGGTCTATTTCATTTAGAGTGCAGTTTAACTCTGATATATTTTCTTTCTATTTTTCATCTGGATGATATGTCCATTGCTGAAAGTGGAGTGCTGATGTTCCTTACTATTATTGTACTGCCATTAACTCCCTTTAACTCTATTAATGTTTGCTTTATAAATTTAGGTGCGCCAGTGTTGGATGCATACATATTTTTAATTGTCATATCCTCTTGCTGTATTGACCACTTAATCATTACATAATGACCTTATTTGTCTTTCTTACCATGATTGATTTAATGTCTATTTTATTGATACTAGTCTAGATACTCTTGCTCTTTTTATGCTCATTTGCATAAAGTATCTTTTTCCATTTTTTTTTTTACTTTTAGTTCATGTGTGTCTTTATAGGTCAAGTGAGTTTCTTGTAGGCAGCATATAATTGGGTTTTATTCATTATTATTCAACCACTATATGTCTTTTAATTGGAGAATTAACCTATTTACATTTAATGTTACTATTGATAGGTAAAGTCTTACTACTGCTATTTTGTTATTTGTTTTCTGGTTGTTTTGTACATCTCTTTTTTCTTTCTTCCTCTCTTACTGCCTTCCTTTGTGGTTAATTGCTTTCCTCTAGTAGTATTTTTTGGTTCCTTGCTTTGTATTTTCAGCATATCTATTATAGACTTTTGCTTTATGGCTACCATGATGCCTAATAAAAATATAGTTACAACAAGTTGTTCTAAAATGCTAACAACTTAACTTTGATCACAAATAAAAGATGCAAACAAAAAACTGTACATTTTACCTTTAATACTTTCACATTTTGATGTTAGATATTTCTATTTACATCTTTTTTAATTGTCTTCTTTAACAAATTGTTGCAAGCATTAATCTTTTTAATAGTTTTGTCTTTTAGTCTTTTTGTAAAAATTTTGTAAACACCTAGGCTCAATCAATCCATTCATCTCATCCTCCGAAAGTGCTGGGATTACTTCATTCTTTATTTTTCTTTTATCTCTTCTGACAGTATTTTCAAATGGCCTGTCTTTGAGATTACTGATTATTCTGCTTGGTCAATTCCTTTGTAGAGACCCTTTCATGCATTTTTTTATTTTATTTTTTTTTACTGTATTTTTCAGCTTTAGGATTTCAGTTTCATTTTTTTTATTTCAATCTCTCTTTTAAAGTTATCTGATATGTTCTGTATTATTTCTCTGTGTTTTCTTGAAGTTTGTTATTTCAAAATGCATATTTTAAATTCCCTATCTAAGATACCTAAGAGATCACATACCTCCATCTCTCTAGATTTGGTCACTTGTGCCTAATTTATTCTGTTTAGTGAGGTTATATTTCTGTGAATATTCTGGATGCTTCTTGACACATATTGATACTTGGGCATTGAATAATAATTAGGTGTTTACTACAGTCTTCTCAGTCTGACCATGTTTATACTTGTCCTTTTTCAGAGGGCCTTTTAGGAATTCATAGGGAACTAATTGTGTTCCCTAAGCCTGTGGTCACTGCAGCCATTTCAGCACTAGAGGACACCCTATGCCTAAGTTTGCCATTCTGGCACTAAAATTCATTTGCACTGAGCCACTTAAATCAGCTGGTGATGATGTGGGCAGGGACTCAAGTCCATTCTGCTTGGGTGACAGATTCCCTTCTGACATTGAGGCAGGTCTAGAAGCTCTTTTCATGATCACCACTCTGAAATCAGGGATGATGGGGTTTCTACCCAGTGCTGTGTTTTACTGTGGCATACCTGGCACTGGCTTCCAAGGCACAGTCTCAGGCACACTTCCTTCTCCCTCCTCCAATTGGATGGTGTTTCTTTTCATTATGCCTGGTGTTCAGGGAGCATTGATGCAGGCAATGCAAGATTGTCCTTCCTACACTCTTCAATGCATCTTTTTTGTTATTATGCTAAAATCAGGTACTGTGATCTTTCACCTGTTTTTCTTAGCTGTTGGGAAGGTATTGTCTTGCATTAAAAGCCATTCAAATTGATGTTTCTTCAGGGGGTCAATCACTGGAGGATCCTATTGCACCATCGAGCTCTGCTTCACTTCTACAATGTTTAAAAGAAAATCAATCAATGTAATTCCCCGTATTGATAAAATAAAGATGAAAATAATTACAAACAATACAATAAAAATATTGAATTTAATCCTTGTTCGTAATTTTTAGTCTGATAAAGGGCATCTATATAAAACCTATGGCAAGGATCATACTTAAAAGTGAAATATTGAAAATGCTCTTCTTGAAATTAGGTATGAGGCAAAAATATCTGTTATCATCATATCTAGACAACATTATACTGGAGATTCTAGCCAGTATATAAATTAGAAAGGCTGATACAGGTTGAGTATACCTTATCAAAAATGCTTGAAACCAGTGTTTCAAATTTCAGATTTTTTTAAATTTTAGAATATTTGCATTATACTTACTGATTGAACATCCCTAATCTGAAAATTTGAAAACTGAGATACTCCAATGAATATCTCCTTTGAGTGTCACATCGACACTAAAAAATTTTTCAGGTTTTACCATGGTTATGGATTAGGATGCTCAATATTTAAAATATACTAGCTGTTCTTTAATTAATCTAATATTCAATGAAATTTGATTCAAAATTCCAGCACCTAGTTTTATGTTAAATGATCAGCTGATTCTAATATTTATATGGTAATACAAATGGCCAAGAACAGCTAAGATCCTCTTGAAAAAGAATACATCTGGGTTGCTTAAACCACCAAATAGACTGAAATGGGAGATTTGGGTGGCATACCACACGACCTATTACAAATATTATACTAAATGGTGAAACGCTAAAATCATTTTCATTAAAACCAAGAACAAGACAGAGTTTGTGTTGTCAACATTATTGAAGATTTGAGTATTTTAAGAGTATTTAAAAAATTCTAGCTAATATATTAGGTTGCCATTACTTTCAATGGTAAAGACCACGATTACTTTTGCACCAACCCAATAGGATTAAAAACCTCTTGATAAATAATAGAATATAAGAAAACATCGTTACTGGTAAATTATATGGTTACACACTTTTAAAAAAGTGTAACTCAAGGAAAAGAGTTATTGGAATTAAGATAATTTGATAGATTAATGGATAAAAAGAAACATAAAAACAAGAACTTTTCTCCATGCTGTCAATAATCAACTAAAATGATGTTAGTATTATGCTGCCTACAAGCATGATTAAGGTTATAAAATACATACAAATATATTTCATAGGAAAAAATACATTTACAATCCATTTAAAAGTTGAAAGAAATACAAAATAAGACGTAAAATATGGGGAGGTATATGTTCATATGTGGAACTATTTATTAGCACAAAATGTCAATCTTTTCAAAATTTATGTATTTAATTCTATTCAAATTGAAATCCCAATAGTTGTTTTTAATTTTATTTATAGATGCCAAATTGAGGTTCCTATAAAAGAATAAATTTCCTATAAAAGAATAAATTGGAATAATCAAGAAAAGTATGTATAAATATTTATATATTAATCTGTAAGTATATGTGATACATATGTGTATTCAATGTAAATGTAAATATAGTATATATTTTATATGTATATAGCTATGCATTTATATCACATGTACATACACATACGAAACCTTCATAATTGAAGAAGTATACTGGTGACATAGGACTAGACACATGAGATTTGTCTTTCCTTGCCTGGCTTATTTCACTTAACATAATGACTTCCAGTCCCATCCACGTTGCTGCAAATGACAGTATTTTATTCTTTGTATGGCTGAATAATTTTCCATTGTGTGTATATAACACATTTTCTTTAACCATTCATGCAATGATGAACACTTAGGTTGAATTAGTATGATTTACCAAACATTTTGAATAAAAAAAAAGACTCTTCTGTAATATAATTAAAAAATAAATTCCAGAAAAATGTCATGTGTGTGGATGTGTGTTTATAAAACATAAAATTTAAGTCGACGTTTTTATAATCTTAGGGTTGAGAAGTTCTTCCTAAATAAGACAGAAATACCAGAAGACATAAAAAAAGAAAAGATACACACACCTAAATGCGTGTAGTGCATATAATGCACAATGGTTTAATTTCCCTAATATATAAATTTCCTATATATTATTAAGAAAAATAAAGACCAAATATAAAAAGGGCTAAGCCTATGCATTGATAGAAAAAACATAACTGTCTTATATATAACAATATATAACTGGTGTGTGTGTGTGTGTGTGTGTGTGCGTGAATACAGAGTAACTCACTAATAGCCAGGTAAGTACAAATGAAAACAACTGTAAGAATCATATTTTATTCATCACATTAGTAAATTCAGGAAATCAATGTCATTTATTCTGGCATGGAAATTGGGAAATAATTACACTTAACATATTGCTTTCAGAAGATATAAATTACTTTAATTTTTTTTAAGATCCTGGCAATATCTCCCAAAGCTTATATACCATTTACCCCTAATAAATAAAAGCATATAATTATATGTGTACAAACATGTTTACTTTAACAGTGTATATAATGCCAAAAAAAGGAAATCAATATGTGTTCATTAGCCAAAGAGTCATTCAACTGTGGAATGTCCATATTATTAAAATAAATGTTTGGGCGGGCGTGGTGGCTCACGCCTGTAATCCCCACACTTTGGGAGGCCAAGGCAGGTGGATCACGAGGTCAGGAGATCGAGACCAATCCTGGCTAATATAGTGAAACCCTGTCTCTACAAAAATACAAAAAATTAGCCGGGCGTGGTGGCGGGTGCCTGTAATCCCAGCTACTCGGGAGGCTGAGGCAGGAGAATGGCGTGAACCTGGGAGGTGGAGCTTGCATTGAGCCGAAATTGCGCCACTGCACTCCAGCCTGGGTGACAGAGCGAGACTCCATCTCAAAAAATAAAATAAAATAAATGTCTTAGACCTAATCTAGTGTTCTGGGGAAATATTGATAATGTATTGTACAGTGAGAAAAGCAAATTACAGAATAATGTATTTGTTATGATTATGTTTTTTAAAATATAGAAGCACAAAATCTCATGCAGGTATAATTGCATATTGCTTGTATGAACATGAAGAACTGCTTGGAGAGAAGATGAGAAAGACTGTTGACATACATTTCCTGTATTATTGCATTGTTTTGCAAGTTTCAATGAGCACATATTACTGTTGTGCTTAATATAAATTAATAAAGGGAGTAAAACCTAAAAGTCATTGCCCTATGTGAAAGACTGCACTGCTAGTTTTGAGTTCCTGCTGCTTTAAGATTCATTCAGTGATGCAGCAGTCTGTCTAAAATGTCTACATTCTAAAATAACATTGCAGCACTTTACCTCCACAGTTACTGTGAGAGTTGATACTTCGTTAGACACTACCACAAGCAACTTGTGAAACTGAAAATACATAAAGTTCTGGGTTATGGAAATTCAACAAATGTGCAATTTCAAGAAGAAATTTTCTATTTTTTTCTTACCAATATAATTATTTAGTTTCAACGCCTTTAAAAATTGCAAGGAGTTTTTTAAATACTTAGAATTTCAAAAAAAATTCATTTACCTCTTATCATTAAATACCTGTTTTCTCATTTTGAAATAGAATCTTAGTAATTCATGTGTCTTAAAAATAAGATCCCCTATACAAATTATGCATAATATAATCAAATAACTTTTATATTGAGTAATATAAATATGATAATTCTGTTTCTTTAGTATTAGAAATATAGATATTGCTTTAAATAAGATGGTTGCTTCAATATTTACTGCAGATCAGAAAATTAATAAGCATGTAGAATAGCTGTATTGGTGTTAAATACTTTCATGAACTCGAGTCAACACTTCAAAAATTTCAATAATCTCATAGGAACTAAGTTTTTTGAGTATATGATATAAATATGCATAACAATCTAGATAAAAAGATAAAATATAATGTACACCAAAATCAAACGTGAGTTTGTGTCAATAACTCACATTACGAAGCTGACAATTAGGTTTTGACAGAGTACTTAAGCGTTCAAATTAAGAAGCATGATCAATTCATGATGATTCATCACTTCTGGAAGAGATATTTAAGATTTTAAAAGGCTTATTTTAAAGGACCACCCTGTTTCAGAAGATAAATTTAAAACTTTCTTGGATTTTATTATTATAATGACAGAAACACTTTAATAGATTTCATTAATCAATATAATTTTATGGTTGATTATATAGTTTTGAAAATCAAGGCTAATTTTATTTGTAATTAGATCCAAAAAACTCTACTTTTTTCTCTACATTCATTCAAATAAGATCATTATCAAGCTTCATGATTATCACTCAGCTTTAAAAGAAAGGTGCACAGCTCCTGATTTCTCAAAAGTCATTGGACAATTTCATCCATTCAACAAATATTTATTGAGCTTCAAATATGCACTGGGTGGTATATGAGAATTGCTAGAAATAAGAAACATTTATTTTCTTTAAAAGTATAGTATTTATTCTGAAGATGAAGAGGCTCCCCACAGAAATCTGCCAGAGTTGCAAAGCTAGTAAACATCTAAATGTACACAAACCTAATAAAGCAGTTGATATAAACCATGAGAAATCTTTATCTTGGCTTATTTGAATAGCATCCCAGTAATTCCAAAGTGACCTAACCATCCAACTCTTTAATCCAACCACATAGATTCAAAAACTCACATGGCTTCCTAGGAAGAATTTCTACTCCCTACTATCTAAAGGATTTAAAGACCTGATTGGGCTCTGGCTACACTACAACACAGTCAGACTGACTAACTGGATCAAAAAGAGACCCTAAAGCCAGAAGGGGTGTAACCAAAGGCCTGCAACATGATCCCACACATTGGAGTGTGCTTTACAAGAAGCGATTTTTTTCAAAGCCTTTATATATCAAGGGATCTGCTCATCCTAGTAAATAAGCTCAGATATCAGCCTATCATTTGTTGCCTGTCTTAATAATTCAGTGTCAGTGTTGATACATAGCATGCCAGAGTATAACAGACTGTTATCTATGTCTGATAAAATTTTCTTCAAACCATAAAGATTGTACAAGATGCAAGATTCATGTACAATTGAATCTGTACACTGGCAAACTGAAGAGCATGAAATGATCCCTCTCCACCTCAGCTTTCTTCTAAATAGAGGTCACTAAGTTTACTCAATTGTAAACTCTAACAGCATTGTAATGGGGGTATGAAAGAATGCCTTCAATTGCTGCAGGATGTCAAGTGTGCCATTTTAACTGTTACAATTATCTAGTGTGCATTCAAACAGAAATCCATGTAAAGAGAAAGAAAGATTTACATATTTAGGAGGGCTCAAAAGGAGATTCAAATTATAAGGCTGATTGCAACTGGTCTCGTTGATTATGGATAAGGATGGATTTAAATAAAACACCGTCTATGCTAACTCCTGTCCTGAGATCTTTATCAAGGCATGGATGAGCAATTTTTCAGGCAAAGCTCATTATTTAAAAACCAGTATGTGGTCACTTGCTATATAACAAAGGCATGAGAACAATGATAAATCCTTGCAGGTTTGACATTCATTTCTAAATGAGCACTCTGACACATGAACTTGATCTAAATGAGTAATGGATACATGATCACTGTATTATAATGAGGCTCATATTTTACAATTCTATGTACTTTACCAGTGGTGAGTTTCTAAATTGGCTGAGTTCCATTATTGGAGAGTGTTGTTGAGCACCAACTGGATTTATAGAAAATAGAAACAATTTCCAAAACAAGTTGCACCTACATCTGTTATGCCTGCAGCAATATAAGTACAATGGACTTGAGTTTGGCATCAATGACCACTACTGGGTGCCAAGCCTAGCCATGCACACCTGCATCTCAGCACTTACAGGCACTGTCTTTGTCAAATATTTGGCCCAATAAATCTCTGAAAAGCAAAAATGGAAACTGTTTGGGGTAATATACAACATCTGAATTGAGAACACAGGGAGGTTCAAAACAAAGTTGAAAATGAGAAAGGTTTAATGATTCAAATGAAAAGCTCAATTACTTTTCAATGCACAGACCTTGCTTTTCAAGATGAAATTTTGGCATTTTTTTTTTTGTATTTGAAGTAACATGTCTGGTTTTTTTTACTGATGAAAGCTTAAATCACATCAAGATGAGAGAGAATGAGAAAGTGCTGTCTTTTAAGTTCAAACTTTATGTTGCTTTCCCAGAGAGGACTAAATTTGGTTCAGAATGGTGATATTAGATAATTCTTTTAAAATTTTCATTCCTTGTCAAAAGGGGGCCTCTCCTACTTCCATGTAAGCAACCAAATCATAAATTATGATTTGAAAACCGAGAACACCAAATAAAGCCCACTGGAAAATCGCACAATGGTACAATGTAATATGAATATGTATGGGGTTTGAAGTGTAGTTTGCCATTCCAACTACACTATGCTCTATGAACATTTTGTGTTATTATGTGTGCCCTTAGACATCCTGAATTGCAATCAAAATGGTAACCAAATAAAGTTTTCTGTTTGGTGCTTTCCAGTTGAAAAAAATTACAAAATTAAGAAAATAACCCATAGTGTGTTTTGCACAGTCCAGTTTTGCTGATACCATCAGCAAAATCTTTAGAATAGTAATTAAAATTCCAAATGCTTCAAACAACTGAACATATCTTGGTTTAATTATTTTCTAATTATGAATGTAACAAGTGTAAGATAATTGAAAGATGACCCTTAGGTTTAGCTTGAATACAGTATTTCTCAGGGGACTTGATAGATTTTTTAATGCTTCAATGAAACTGATGACCCCTATATAATGAAAAGGGAAAACTGATCAATACCAAGAGTAAAGTCTTTCAACTTACATCCTAAATGGGCATTAAACACTTCCAAAGACTGGCTGGCAACCAAGAATAGAATGACTAGAGTAGTTTGAACTTTCCCAGTCTGTAATGTAAGTCTGCCCACTCTTGTGAGGTATCATCCTGATGAGTACTACTGTCAAACGAATTTCCTTGACTCTTGCAAAATACTGAGCATAATCTTCAGTAAACTGAGCATTCTGGTTTGGTGACTCAATTTGCATTTCACTAAGGAATAACTGGAAAAAATATATATGTTTATGTCCCCTTATGTGCTTCCCTCATGATGCTCAGCAAAAGAATACTTTGATTAAAATAATACATCTCAAAAAGACTCTTTATAATTGAGTGAGTCTAAGAGGCCGAGATTAACTCTTTAATAATTTCAACAAAAATCACCTGGGAAATGTTTTCTTCCTGGTGTATCTGGACTCTCCAATACTTAAGGTATTAAGCATTATTAGTGCAAAAGAAAATGACAATAGTTATAAACATACAGTTTATACATATACACTGTTTGATTTTTTCAAGTATTATTCTTAAACACTAGGTGGATTTTCCTGTATAATTATACTATTATCCTCATTTTATGGTGAGAAGGCAGATTATCATAGTAGAAAAAGTGTGCGTAGTCAATCAGGCTATGGTTCATATTTAATGCTTACTAACTGGGTGAATTTGGGCAAGAAAAATTAATCTTTCAGAGATTATGTTTCTTCATTTATGAAACAGGATTTGTATGTGAAAAATATATTCAATCATGGAAACAATGATAATAACCATATTAATTACATGACTCCACTACACCAATCACTGTGCCTAGACAATTTGGGATATAATGTATTAATTGAGAGAATAGTATTTGGAGTTAGATCTGACTTCAATTCCTAATTCTACTACCTGCTAGATGTGTAATACTGGGCATATTACTTGTCTTCGCTGAGCTGCAATTTCCTCAGCAACAATATGAGAACACAAATACTTATCTCATAAGGAGGTTGTTTTTATGATCAAATAGAGTGCTTAAATTGTAATCTTTCACGTTCCTATCACTGTTTATCCTCTCAACCTGCTTTTACTTTTTCTTCATAGCATTTGTCATTATTTGATGTTATATCACATATTTTCTTATTTGTTCATTTTATGTTCTCCCACTAGCATATAAGCTTTGGGAAGAAAGGGACTTGTTCTGTATCACCATTTCAACAGCATCATGGTTTAGCTCATGAAAGGTATTCAAATATTTATCATATGAATAAATTCAGAGGTTTGGTACCCATATATCAAGAAATAAGAATTCAATAACTGTTCAATGTTTTATATACATGAAGAAGGTAAGTGTCTTGTGTAAGGATGCACATATCCTCAGTGACTGAAATAGATTAGGACCAAGATTTATCTACTTCTGGTCCTTCTTTATACTATTCCAGGGGTTCTTCAAGTACATTTCCTGGGCAATCAGCATCACTATCACCTTGGAACTGTGTTTAGCAACAAAATTCTCAGGATCTAACTGATACCTATTGAATTAGAAATACTTAGGTCTGGGTCAAACAATCTTTGTTTTAGTAAGCACTCTTAATAATTCTGACTCATGCTAAAGTTTGATAACCACTGTATGTATAAACTCCGACACTTTCCAACACCCTGACTGCTTTCTAATAACAAACCTTCTTCAATGCCAAATGGAAAAAGTGATTATCATTAAGTTTAGAGCAAAGATTTATTACTTGTTATAAATGTTAATTTATTTAACTTTAAATAATTTTTTCTATTGGCACCAAACAAAAAGAGGTCTAATTTTAGCTAATCCTTGGTTTCAGCAAAGCCAGAGAGTAAACTTCTGCAAGACTACCCCACATAGATTTGGCCTTTAAAGTTGATTTAGAAGTCCTTCCACAATTCAAGATAAATACCATACATCATGAGAATCAATTTATTTTTAGATCCTACTTAATCAGATATTCCATCTGGATTCAATATTTTTAAAGACCTTCTCATGTAAATAATTTACAAGAACTACCTTGGTTTAGCTTCTCTGCTCAATGATTCCTAGATTTTGGGTTGGTTTTGTTTCATCTTGTTTTTTCTTTAAAGATAAAAAAGCAGCCTGAGGATCTTAAAATGTCAAAAGGTAAGAAAAAACACACTTACTGATTGATTGTCAGCTCTGATTCTATGGGGGAAAATAAATATTTTACTATATCTTATTCTTCAATTAGTTGATTGCGCTGTAAAAATTGGTTGTGCTATATTATTCTTGAAAATATTAAATAACAAGAAAGCAAGGTAAAATTTAGAATATTTTCTCTTTCTGAAGATAATTCAAGCCTTCATTTATTAGGCTTTTTATCCTTTTTCCTTCATAAATCTTTATCTTACATTGACATCATAGCGTGTTGCAGAAATTCAACAATGAATTTTCCACTTTCTTGCAATTAAGAATACCATGATGTTGGAGAGCATAGTTTTTATTCTAGAGACCAAAAAAAGAGAATAATATTTTTGTCTATGTAGTTAACGCTTTCAATAATGGAAAGTTCCAATTTTCTCCTTGAACAACAAAGTGTATTTATTTTTATTGGAACAATTGCCTTTCATGTAAAGGCTGAATCAGTTTGTTCTTTGGGACGTGTAAAGCAGATTATAAAAATTACGTGAAGAAAGTCAGATAATTCAGGTTCTCAACCTAGAGATCAATAGAAGAAAATATCTTAATTAAATCTGAATTAATACCTCTTCATTCTTGATGGGCATGGTGGCTCATACCTGTAATCTCAGCAAATTGGGAGGTTGAAGTGGAAGGATCACTCGAGGCCAGAAATTTCACACCACTCGAGGCAACATAGTAAGACCCTGTCTCTACAAAAATTTTAAAACTTAGTTGGGTGTGGTGGTGCACACCTATAGTTCTTGCTACTTGGGAGACTGAGGTGAACTAGATGGCAGGAGTTCAAGGCTGCAGTAAGCTTTGATTGTGCAACTGCACTAGGGCCCAGGCAACAGAGCAAGACCATGTCACTAAAGAAATTAATAATAAATAAATAATAAAATACCTCTTCATTCATGATAATGGGACACTCCAACATAGTATATTATAGATTTCTGTGTTCACGCAACCTCAAGTATCAGTGTCAACTCTGCATTTGCTAGGTCAAGGTAAATGTGGCCTATTTTAAGTACAGAAGATTTCCAGAGATGATGATAATCCAAGCAGCTTGTTAGCATGAATGATTTGGTAATAGTAAGAATTTACCATTCCAGGTTTCTTGCACAAGCAATTAATTATCTTTGTATGCTAATCCACAATAAATCCTACCCCCTATAAACAATGAAAATATTTCTTCAACATGGTTGGCAACAGAGAAAATCATGTAAATTTAAGACATTTATATCACTGAGGACCTTATTTTAAATTAAAAGCATCACTGAGAGGGGTAAGACATTAGGCTGGAGCAGTCACTCAGGAATACCCTAGTGAATGTTAGCCTTCTATGAGTATTACCTTTCCAGTGAGCTAGAAAAGAGGTGAAAAGGAAGAACTAGTGATAGCAGTAAGATTGCTTGGTAAATTTAAATCGATAGTAGTTGTTTGTGATGAAATATCAAATATGAGTTATGAAATTGCCATAATGTTGAGAAAATAAGGAGTACCTAGGGAAAAGTGGGCTTTGAATATTTCCATACATGAACAGTAGTAGTCCTCAGGAGACAGTTATTGCATAATATGCATATAGATAAGTGCCTGGGCTGACAGGAATTCTTGCCTAAATGCCATTGTGCTTTGGGAGCTTGGGAGAAATACCATAGAGGAGTTAGAAATAAATAATATCGCCTCTGCCCTCATTTAATGCTTTGTTTCCAGATGGAGAAGGGACAATCAGCTCATTGCTGTAGTTGGCCAAACAAGATCACTTAAATGTCATCTGGTTTACACCAGATCGATGCTATCATGGTGACCTCTGCTGTGGGAAATGTTAAAAAAAAAAAAAAGTGAATCCAAATTTCAATCCCTGCACTTTACCCTTTTAGTTATCTCAGATCAATAACCATTCATTGGCTACTGTGATTCTCACATGGAGGAGGGAGCTGCACATTTTTCTTAATGACAGCAACCATTAAAATTTAGCTGTAAACAAGTTAGTGTGATGGAAAAAGAACATTACAGCACCACGAAACATTTCAACATTGTATTATATGTCTTTGTGACACTACTATATTAAAACTTGCTTACATTTTATGATAAGAACAGTGGTAATAACATGTTGCAAGATGTTTTTCTAAAAAGGAGAAATAAATATGCATTTTATTTTTTAAATCTCTTTGTCCTATGACAAGTCTCAAATTCAGAAAGTGAAGAAATTGGTATTCCAACACCGGTACTGTCCTCTAATAGTTATTCAGTTGCATTTTGTTTAGTAGGTAAAATCAGAAGGAATGGAAGAGGGAATATCTTGTCCTTTTAAATCATTAAATACCTGGCTTTATGTCTTTCCTAATTCTATTAATATATTCCTAGGTGGTTTGGAAAAACGACTTGCAAAACAAAATTTAAATGGTTCATTTTTTACTAAATAAGGAGAGGAAGGTATAAAAGGAGATTGAGTAACATAGTGGTATACATACATGCTCTCTATTCAGACTTAACCTCTGATGTCTCAGAAACTCAGAATACCTGAATTTACACTTACTTTACTAGCTAATTCAATGTCCAATTGTGTATATGGAGCAACTGATTTCTCAACTTCTACATATTTGCATGTAGTTCTTACAGCAAACAAAAACTAGATGATCAGTACTATTTTTTTCTTTTCCATGACACAAAATTCTAATATGGCGATTTAGTTATTGTACAATGAGAACAGAGAAGATGTATCAAGTTATTTTTGTACAGGGTTCTCCAATTATTATATTCACTTCTGGTGGTGTGGTGTGATGTGTAGTGGTATATAATAGAGTGGTGAGTTTATTGGTCCATTTTGTTTGAGTAAAAGAATAGTTTTAAAAGATCTAGCAAGAGGTATAAACTAAACATGGTTGACAAATGAAATGGTAATAAATGAGACTGATCTAGTAAACAAAGAATTAAGTCATGAGGGAGGTGAAATTAAAGAAAGATAATTTAGAGGAGTGAGATGATTCATGTTATTGGATGACAAGTAGGGCATCATTATAATGTAGTGGAGAAAGCACAGGGGATTTGAAATGAAAGGGATCTGTGTTTGAATCCTGACTTTTTTCATTTTACTAGCTGTGTCAATGACAATATACATAACTTCTACTGCTTCAATTACAAAGTGGCGAGAATAATCATTACCATGGATGATTGTTGTGATATTGATGGCTGTTATATACAAAGTGACTTATTCATAGGAGATTTTCAGTAAATGGTAGCAACTATTGCTGTTATGTGACAAAATTTGGAGCAAAATTTCCAAATGGGTGAGTGCTTAGCATAAATCATGGATGTTTCCTTGTTGTCAAGGAAAAGGCAACCCTCAGGATGTGTGGTTAGAAACCTTAGGTTAAATAATTATATTATATAAATTGGGCATCATTATTTTGAATTTTCTGATAGAAAATGGATAGTTATGCAAAATGCCACATTATTCTGGCAGATCTGTGGAAGATAAACTTATAATAATCTTGTAAGGAATTTGAAGCAATTAAAAAAAATCTTGGTTTTGCAGATGCTGGCCAGGTTGCGGAGAAAAAGGAAGGCTTATATACTGTTGGTGGGTGTGTAAATTAGTTAAAGCATGGTAGAAATCAGTGTGGCAATTCTTTAAAACCAAAAAAAAATCATTGGACCCAGCAATCCCATTACTGGGTATATACCCAAAGGAATAAAAATTATTTTATTATAAAGACACACACACGTATGTTTATTGCAGCACCAGTCACAGTAGCAAAGACATGGAATCAACCTAAATGCCCATCAATAGTAGACTGAATAAAGAAATTGTGGTACACATAAACAATGAAACATTATGCAAACATACCAAAGAATGAGATCATGTCCTTTGCAGCACCATGGATGGAGCTGGAGGCCATTATCCTTAGCAAACTAGTGTAGGAAAAGAAAACCAAATACCACATGTTCTCACTTATAAGTGGGAGCTAAATGGTGAGAACACATAGACACACAGAGGGGAACAACACACATTGAGGCCTTTCTAGGGTGGAGGGTGGGAGGAGGGAATGGATAAGGAAAAATAACTAATGGATACTAGGCTTAACACTGGGTGATGAAATATTTTGTACAACAAACCCCCATGACACAAGTTTACTTATATAACAAACTTTCTTTTTTTTTATCATTATTATTATACTTTAAGTTTTAGGGTACATGTGCACAATGTGCAGGTTAGTTACATATGTATACATGTGCCATGCTGGTGTGCCGCACCTATTAACTCGTCATTTAGCATTAGGTATATCTCCTAATGCTACCCCTCCCCCCTCCCCCCACCCCACAACAGTCCCCAGAGTGTGATGTTCCCCTTCCTGTGTCCATGTGTTCTCATTGTTCAATCATTCTCAGTAAACTATCGCAAAGACAAAAAAACCAAACACTGCATGTTCTCACTCATAGATGGGAATTGAACAATGAGAACAAACTTTCATATGTATCCCTGAACCTAAAAGTTAAAAAATGACACTTGGTTTTGGAGACCAGGGAGATGGGTTTGTATTCAACATTTACAAGCTTAATTGTTAAGTCTCTGTAAGCCTCAAATACTCCATTTTAAAAGTGGCAATATGGTACTTGTAAAGAATCAATGAAATAGCATAATAAATAAAGCACCCAATAGAATGTCTGATATATAGCATATTCACAATAACTGTTGATTTCTACTCTCACGCCCTAACATCATCACATTTCTACAAAATCACAATGTATGCCCAGGAACTATGTATTAAATATAGCTAATTTTAACGTACCTTGATAATTGAAATATCCATGACCAACAGAAACTCCTGAGACTAGAATAGGAGACATATTTAAGAGTCCAACAATAGCATCAGAACTACTAATGGGGAAAATAATTTGTTTCTGTTGTGTAGAACACAGAAAATCCATCAAGTTATCTTCGTGTTTCTGACTATTTATTTATTTATTTATTTTTATTTTGAGATGGGGTCTCACTCTTTCGCCCAGGCTGGAGTGCAGTGGCGAGATCTGGGCTCATTGCAACCTCTTCCTCCCGGGTTCAAGCGATTCTTCTGCCTCAGCCTACTGAGTAGCTGGGACTACAGGCACGTGCCACCGCGCCTGGCTAATTTTTGTATTCTTAGTAGAGACAGGGTTTCACCATATTGGCCAGGCTGGTCTCAAACTCCTGACCTAGTGATCCACCTGCCTCGGCCTCCCAGTGACTTTTTATATAAAGGGTAAAATGACATGACAGTGTTTAAAAAATTGGATTCTGGATATCTAATACAGTAGATATTAGCTGAAAAGTAACAAAGGCTGGAAAGCTAAAATAAAAGAGTGTGGCACCCTAAGATAATTTGAGAAGGTTTCTTTACTTGGCAAGAAAAAAAGTGTGTTAGTTCATTTTCATACTGCTATGAAGAAATACCCAAGACTAGGTAATTTATAAACAAAAAAGGTTTAATTGGCTCACACTTCCACATGGCTGGGTTGGTCTCAGGAAATCTACAATCATGGTGGAAGATACCTCCTCACAGGGAGGCAGGAGAGAGAATGAGTGCAAGCAGGGGAAATGCCAGATGTTTATAAAACCATGAGATCTTGTGAGACTCACTCATTATCACAAGAACAGCATGGGGTAAACTGCCCACATCATTCAATTACCTCCACCTGGTCCTGCCCTTGACATGTGGGGATTATGTGGATTGCAATTCAAGCTGAAATTTGGGTAAGGACACGGAGCCAAACTATATCAAGAAGGAAGACTTTCTACAAAAGTAGAACTCTAGAAAGGCAGAATATCCAACTGAATGCCATAGAAAGAGAGTCATGGAAACAGAACTTTTACATTAGTGTCCTTTTGTTCTCACTACAGGTTCAAATCTGAAGGCAAATTTTATTTGATTTTTAAATTTTATTTTCAAATTGTATTCCTAAGAATGGATGACAACAAGCTATAATCATTCAGAGAAAAACAATGTCAGCCTACAAACATACTTTCTCTCCTAGGTTATGTTATTTGTGTAAAATAATTTGCCGAGCACAAAAAATTGAACCATTTATTTATCACTTCGTGTATCTTCAGTTTTAGGTTTCAGAAAATCAAATTCAAACTGGTTTAGGGTTTAGATGGAAATTTATAACACTAAATTCCTTTTTAGAACAGTAGAAAGGGAGAAAAGGAGGAACAAGATGGCAGAATAGAAAACTCCACAGATCACCCTCCACGCAACCCCTGGCAAGGACACAAAGTTTACAACTAACTGTACAGAAAAAAATACCTTCATAAGAACCAAAAGTCCAGTGAGCATCCACTGTACCTGGTTTTAACTTCATATCACTTAAAGAGGCACTGAAGAGATAGAAAAAACAGTCCTGAATCTCTGATGCCACCCCTCCTCTCCCCTCACCTGTGGCAGAGTAGTGCAGAGAACATCTCTGGGTGCTGAGGGAGGGAAAGCATAGCAATTGTGATACATTGAACTCGCTGCTCTTTTGTTAAAGCAGAGAGAAAAACTGGACAAAACTCAGCTGACACTCATCCTTGGAGGAAGCATTTAAACCAGCCCTAGTCAGAGGGGAATCACCAATCTTAGTGGTCAGAACTTGAGTGCCTGCAAACCTTGCCACAGAGGACTACAGTACTCTATATCTTCAAATAAATTTGAAAAGCAGTCTAGACCATAAGGACTGCAACTCTTAGGCAAGTCCTAGGGCTGAACTAAGCCCAGAGACAGTGGACAGGGGAGACACGCAACCTACTAAGAAACCAGTTGAGACAGCCAAGGGAGTGCTGGAATTGCCCCTCCACACTGCAGACTGCACAGCCCGCTGCTCCAAAAAAAGACAATTTCTTTCCACTTGAAGAGAGGAGAAGGAAGAGTGGGGTGGACTTTGTCTATTATATTAAATACTAGCTTATCCACAGCATGATAGGATACCAGTCAGAGTAGTGAGACCCCTGTCCCAGGTCTTAGCTCCCAGATGACATTTGTAGACACATCCTGGACCAGAGGGGAAACTGCTGCCTTGAAGGAAAGGTCCCAGTCATGGCAGCATTCATCGCCTGCTAACGAAAGACCCCTTGGACCCTGAATAATCAGCAGTGATACCTAGGTACTACATTGATGCCCTTGGCTGAGCCTCTGAGACTTGCTGGCTTTAGGTGAGACTCTGTACATTACCAGCTGTGCTGGCTGCATGAAGAAACTCCATCTGCTTGAGAAAAGTAGAGGGAAAAGTAAAGGTGACTTTGTCTTGCACCTTAGGTACAAGCATGGCCACAGAAGGGTAGAGCATCAAAAGAATACTTGGAGTTCCTGATTCCAGGACTTGATACTTGGATGGCATTTCGGGACCTTCCCTAGGCCAGAGGGGAGCCAGCCGCCCTGAAGGGTGAGTCCCAGGCCAGGCAGCATTTATTACAAGCTGACTTAAGAGACCTTAGGCCTTAAGGGAACATTGGCTAGTAGTCTGGCAGTATTCCTCATGAACTGGAGTGGCAGTGGTTATAGGGTGAGGCTCCTCTCCTTTTGGAGAGGACAGAAGAGTGGTAAGGGATGCCTCTTAGGTTTGAGTGTCAGCTCTGCCTCAATACAATAGAATATCATATAGACTTCTATGGGTTTTGAATCTAGTCCCTGACTCCCAGACAGTACCTCTGGACTCACCTAGGGCATGGGAAACCTTGCCATCCTGAAGGGAAGGACACAGGCCTGACTGGCTCTGCCACATGCTGATTGTAAAGTCACAGGGCCTTGAGTGAACATTGGCAATAGCCTGTGAGTGGTTATAATAAGCTTTGGGTGAGACCCAGTGCTGTGCTGGCTTCAGATCTGATCCAGTGGTGTCATAGTGGTGGTGGCCACAGGGGTGCTTGTGTAACTCCACTCCCAGCTTGAGGGGGGAGAAAGTAAGGGAAGAAAACAAGACTCTCTGCCTGGTAATCCAGATAATTCTCCCAGACTGTATTCAAGACCATCAAGGCAATACCTCTGCAAGTCTGCAAGAAACAAAGCATTATTGGGATTGAGGTGCCCCCTAAAGCAGATGCAGCTTAGATCACCACAACCAAGTCCTTTCAAATATCTGGAAAGCCTTCCCAAGTAGGGTGGGTAAAAACAAGCTCAGACAGTGAAGACTACAATAAATACCAAACTCTTCAATGCCCAGACTCAAACAAACATCAAGATAAGCCAGGAAAACATGACCTCATCAAATGAACTAAATAAGCCACCAGAGACGAATCCTGGAGAAATGGAGACATGTTACCTTTTAAACAGAGATTTCAAAATAGCTGTGTAGAGGAAATTCAAAGAAATTCACGATAACAAAGAGAAGGAATTTGTAATTCTATCAGATACATTTAACAAAGAGATTAAAATAATTAAAAAGAATCAACAGAAATTTTGGAGCTGAAAAATGCAGTAGGTGTACTAAAGAATGAATCAGAGTCTTTTTATAGAAGAATGGATCAAGCAGAAGAAAACATTAGTGAGCTTGAAAATAGGCTACTTAAAAACATAGAGTCGGAGAAGGCAAAATAAAAACTAAAAAACAATAAAGCACTGGCTCATGCCTGTAATCCCAACACTTTGGGAGGCTGAGGTGGGCAGATCACGAAGTCAGGAGATTGAGGCCATCCTAGCCAACATGGTGAAACCGCGTCTCTACTAAAAATACAAAAAAATTAGCTGGGCATGGTGGCACATGCCTGTATTCCCAGCTACTCGAGAGGCTGAGGCAGGACAATCTCTTGAACCCAGGAGGCAGAGGTTGCAGTGAGCCGAGATTGTGCCACTGCACAGCAGTCTGGGCGACAGAGCAAGACTCCGTCTCAAAAAATAAATAAATAAATAAATAAATAAATAAATAAATAAAGCATACAAAAAAGTGTCTAGAAAATAGTGTCAAAGGGGCAGATCTAAAAGTTATTGGCCTTAAAGAGGTGGTAGAGAAAGAGATAGGGGTAGAAAATTTATTTCAAAGGGATAATGACAGCGAACTTCCCAAACTTAGAGAAAGATATCAATTTCCAAGTACAAGAAGGCTTTTGAACACTAAGCAGATTTAACCAAAAGAAGACTACATTAAAGAATTTAATAATCAAAATTTCAAAAGTCAAGGATAAAGAAAGAATTCTAAGAGCAGCAAGAGAAAGGAAACAAATAACTTAAAATGGAACTCCAATACATCTGGCAGCAGATTTTTCAGCAGAAACTTTATAGGCCAAAAGAGAGGGGCATGACATATTAAAGTGCCAAAAGAAAAAACTTTTACCCTAGAACAGGATATCTGGTGAAAATATTGTTCAAACGTGAAAGAGAATTCCCAGACAAACAAAAGCTGAGGGATTTCATCAACACCAGACCTGTCCTACCAGAAATGCTAAATGGAGAACTTCAATCAGACAGAAAAGGACATTAATGAGCAATAAATAATCACCTGAATGTACAAAACTCACTGGTAATAGTAAGTACACAGAAAAACACAGAATATTATAACACTGTAACTGTGGTATGTAAACTACTCTTATCCTAATTAGAAAGACTACATAATTAACCAATCATAAAGAATAACAACAACAACTCTTCTCAAGACAAAGACAGTACAATAAGAAAAAAGTATCAACAATAAAATTCAAAAAGGAAATGAAGCTAAGGCATAGAGATTTTATTAGTTTTCATTTTGCTTGTTTGCTTCTTTATACAGTGTTAAGTTATCAGGTTAAAATTGTGGGTTATAAGATAGTTATTTGCAATCTTCATTGAAACTTCAAACCAAAAAACATACAATCGCTACACAAACATTAAAAAGCAACAAATTAAATCACATAACCAGAGAAAATAATCTTCACTAGAGTAAGATGGAAACAAAAGAAAGAAGGAAGAGAAGACTACAAAACCACCAGAAAACAAACAACAAAATGACAGGAGTAAGTCCTTATCAATATTAACATTGAATGTAACTGAAGCAAACTCTCCAATCAAAAGACATAGACTGGCTGAAAGGATGAAAAAACAAGACCCACCGATCTGTTGTCTACAAAAAAACACACTTTACCTACAAAGACACATATAGACTGAAAATAAAGAGATTAAAAAAAAAACCACTGCAGCTTCACGGAGGTATCTTCCCTTCTCTCTCCCAATTTACTTCAATCCACAAATGACTGAATATGTATTTGTTGAGCACCTGGCCTGATGTGTACTCTACATTCCATGCCAGTGAAAACCAAAAAGGAGCAGAAGTCACTGTACTTTTATCAGACAAAATATATTTTAAGAAAAAATCTATAGAAGAGACAAAGAAGTTCACTATATAATGACAAAGGGGTCAATTCAGAAAGAAAATACAACAATTTTAAATATGAATGCACTCAACACTGGAGCACCACTATATAAAGCAAGTATTATTAGAGCTAAAGAGAGAGTTAGGCCCCAATACAATAATAGCTGGAGACATCAACACCCCCCTTTCAACATTGGAAAGATCTTCCAGATGGAAAATCAACATCAGACTTAATCTGTAATATAGCCCAACTAAATCTAATAGATATTAAAGAACAGTTACAATCTTTTCCTCAGAATACACATCCTTTTCCTCAGCACATAAATCCTCCTCAAGAATATACCATATGTTATGGTGTATTCACAAAACAAGTCTGAAAGCATTCAAAAAAATGATATAATATCAGGCATCTTTCCTGATCATTATGAAATAAAAATAGAAATTAGTAACAAGAGAAATATTGGAAACTATACAAATACAGGGAAATTAAATTATATTCTCCTGAATGACCAGTGGGTTAATAAAGAAATTAAGAAGGAAGTTGAAAATTCTCTTGAAACATATTATAATGGAAACACAACATACCAAAACCTATGGGATACAGCAAAAGCAGTAGTAAAAGATAAGTTTATAGCTATAATCACCTATATCAAAAACAGAAAAACTTCAAATGAACAGTTAAATGATGCATCTATAAAAACTGAAAAAAACAAGAGGAAACAAAACCCAAAATTAGTAGAAGAGAAATTATAAAGATCGGAGAACAAATAAATAAAGTTGAAATGCAGAAAACAAGACAAAAAATTAATAAAACCAAAAGTTTGTTTTTTGAAAAGTTAAAGAAAATTGATGAAATTTTAGCCCGATTAAGAAACAAGAGAGAAGATCCAAATAAAATTAGAAATGAAAAAGGAGATACTACAAGTGATACTGCAGAAATGAAGGGATTATTTGTGGCTACTATGAGCAAATACATGCCAATCATGTGGAAAATCTAGAAAAAAATTGACAAATTCCTAGACACATACAGCCTATCAAGATTGAGTCAGGAAGAGATCTCATACCTGTACAGGCCAATAACAAACATCAAGATCAAAGCCATAATAAAATGTGTTCAAGTAAAGAAAAGCCTGGGACCTGATGGCTTCACTGCTGAATTCTACCAAAGATGTAAAGAAGAACTTATACCAATCCTACAGAAACTATTTCAAAAAATAGAGGAGGAGGAAATACTTCCAAACTCATTCTACGCTGCCAGTATTACCATGACACCAAAAACAGACACATCAAAAAAAAAAAAAAAAAAAAAAAACTACAGGACAATATTTCTAATAAATATTGATGCAAAAATCCTCAACAAAATACCAGAAAACCAAATTCAACAACTCATTAGAAAGGTTATTCATCATTACCAAGTGGGATTTATCCCTGGGATGTGATGATGCTTCAACTCAATCTATGCAAATCAATTAATGTGATACATCATATCAACAAAATGAAGGATTAAAAACCATACGATCACTTCAATTGATGCAGTAAAAGCATTTCATAAAATTCAATATCCCTTCATGATATAAACTCTCAAAAAACTGGGTTTAGGAGAAATATACCTCAACATAATAAAAGCCATATACAACAGACCCACAGCTAGTATTATACTGAATGGATAAAAACCAAAAGCCTTTGCTCTAAGATCTGGAACACAACAAGGATGCCCACTATTACCACTGTTACTCAACATAGTACTAGAGGTACTAGCTAGAGCAATCAGAAAAAAACAAAGATAGAAGGGGCATTTAAATTTGAAAGGAAGAAGTCAAATTATCCTTGTTTGCAGATGGTATAATCTGATATTTAGAAAAACTTAAGGGCTCCATGAGTAAACTATTAGAACTAATAAACAATCTCAGTAAATTTGCAGAATATAAAAACAACATAAAAATTTGTATATACCAACAGTGAACAATGTGAAAAAATAAAAATTAATCCCATTTACAGTAGCCACACATGAAATTAAATACCTAGAAATTAACCAAGGAAGTGAAAGATCTCTGTAATGAAAACTATAAAACACTGATGAAATAAATTTAATGGGACACAAAATATGGAAAAATATTCTATGTTCGTGAATTGGAAGAATCAATATTGGTAAAATGTCCATACTACCTATAGAAATCTACTGACTCAATGCAATCCTTACCAAAATACCAATGAAATTCTTTACATAAATAGAAAAAACAATCCTAAAATATATTTGGAACTACAAAAGACCCAGAATAGCCAAAGCTGTCCTAAGCAAAAAGAACAAAACTGAAGGAATCACATTACCTGACTTCAAATTATACTACAGCGCTATAGTTGCCAAAACAGCATGGTACGGGCACAAAAACACATAGATGAATGGAACAGAATAAGGAACCCAGAAACAAATCCACACATGTACAGTGAATTTGTTTCTGAGAAAGGTGCTAAGAACATACACTGGAAAAAAGATGGTCTCTTCAATAAATGATGCTGGGAAAACTGGATGTTCATATGCAGAAGAATGAAATTAGACCCCTATCTTTTGACATCTACAAACATTAAATTCAAATGGATTAAGGACTTAAATCTAAGACCTCAAACTATGAAACTATTACAATAAAACATTGAGAAAAGTCTCCAGGCCATTGGTCTGCGCAAAAATTTCTTGAGCGATACCACAAACTCAGGCAACCAAAAAAAATTTAATGTGACAAAAGAGGTCACATAAAGTTTAAAAACTTAGGCACAACAAAGAATACAATCAAAGACATGAAGAAACAACCCACAGAATGGGAGAAAATATTTGCAAACTATCCAGCTGAAAAGTAATTCATAATGAGATTATATAAGGAGTTCAAATAACTGTAGGAAAAACATCTAATGATTTGATCAAAACATGGGCAAAATATTTGAATAGACTTTTTTTAAAAGAAGACATACAAATGTCAAACAGGCATATGAAAATGTGCTCAAGATAATGGATCATCAGAAAAATGCAAGTCAGAGCTATAATGAGATATCATCTCATCGCAGTTAAAATGACTTATATCCAAAAGACAAGCAATAATAAATACTGGTGAGGATGTGTAGAAAAGGGAACTCTTGTACACTGTTGATGGAAATGTAAATTAGTACACCCATTATGGAAAACAGTTTAGAGTTTCTTCATTAACCAAAAGTTGAGCTACCTTAGGATCTAGCACTTCCACTGATGGGTATATACCCAAAAGAAAGGAATTCAATATATGAAAGTGATATCTGCCCTCCCATGTTTGTTGCAGCACTGTTTACAATGGCTAAGATTTGGAAGCAACCTAAGTACCCATCAACAGATGAATGGTTGAAGAAAATGAAATACATATACATATTGGAGTACTAGTCAGCCATAAAAAAGAATGAGATCCTGTCATTTGCAACAACATGAATAAAACTGGAGATTATTATGTTAAGTAAAATGAGCCAGGCACAGAAAGACAAACACCATATTTCTTTCACTTATTTGTGAGTTCTAAAAGTAAAAACAAATGAACTCATGGGCATGGATGGTAGAAGCATGGTTACCAGAGGCTGGGAAAGGTAGTCAGGGGCTGGGGAGGGGGAGGTGGGGATGGTTAAGGGATAAAATAAATAGTTAAAAATAATAAATAAAATGCACTATTTGATAGCACAATAGGATAGCTATAGTGGATAATAACTGAATAATACATTTAAAAATAAAGAGTATAATTGGATTGTTTTTAACTCAAATGATAAATACTTGAGGGGGTGAATACCCCATTCTCTATGATGTGCTTATTTCACATTGCATTCCTGTATCAAAACATCTCATTTACCCCATAAATATATATAACCACTATGTACCCACAAAAATTAAAAATTAACAAAAAAAAGAAAATAAAAAAATAGTAGAAAAATTGCAAACTAAAGACTTCACCTTCTACTTTAGAAAACTAGAAAAAGAAGAGGAAATTAAACCCAAAATAAAGCAAGGAAGAAAATAGTAAAGATCAAAACAGGAAGCAACAAAATAGATAGCAGAGAAAGATTTTTTAAAATCTGCATTTAGAAGACCAATAAAATTGATGAAAGTCAAGTTTAATATAACATGACCAAGTGGTATTTACCCCAGGAATGCAAGATTGGTTTAACATAAGAAAACCATATTACCATATTAAAGGAAGCAAAATCATATTATTACTTTAATAGAATCAGAAAAAGCATTTGAAAATATCCAGTAACCACTACTGATTTTTTAAAAAAAGACTTTTCGGCCAATTGAGAATTTAAAAAAAAAAATGTCTTTAACATGATGAAGAAGGGCATCTTATAAAAACTTTGCAGCTAACATTGCATTTAATGGTTAAAGACTAAATCATTTCATTCTAAGACCAGGAATGAGACAAGATGTCTGCTATCCTCACTTCTATTCAACATTGTACTGGGTGTTCTTGTCAGAAAAAAATAAGGAAGAAAAAGAATTAAAAATAATACAATATTGGAAAAGAAGAAGCAAATCTATCTTTCTTTGAAGATGATATGAATGTCTCTGTAGAAAAGCTGGTGGCATTCACACAAAAGTAGCTACTAGAACTAGTCAATTAATTTAGTAAGGGCACAATGTGAAAAAATCTATTGTGATCAACTGCCAGACTGTTGGAGTGAGAAGTACAACATACTGTCTTACCAATAAACAATAATTTAACTGGAGAAAATGATTTTTGAATTATTTAATATTTCCAAAAATTGTCCTAAGAGCATACAGATGGAGAAACATGCATTCAAGAAAATCTACTAGATATTAGTAAAATAGTGAGAATTTTTGCAGTTTAGCCATGGACAATTCATTGCCATACACACTGTTCCCCATGCTTTTGTAGCCAAGAAGATGGGGCTTACTCTCCCCCTATTCCAAGGTCTAAGGCTACATTTTCTCTTAGGAGGGTGTAGGTCATCGGCATTTCCCATCTTCTGGTTCCATGTTGCAGAAGCCCTATTCCAGGCAAACCCAAACAAGAAGTCTGAGGGTCTCTTCTGCAGAAACTTCACTTGGAAGGTGAGAAGCTCTGCCTCAAGGCACAGCAGACAGACAGGACTGGACTTTAATCACCCCAACCCCAGATCTCTGACAAAGTAGAGGTTATATGCTGGGAGAGTCAAGACAAGAAGACCAAGGTTTATCACAATCCCCAGCATCTGATCAAAGAGCAGGGCGACACTTTAGTAGAAGCAGGTTTCTGTCCCCACCCCCAGCTCTTGTTCAGTGGTGCAGAGATTCTTCCTAGGAGGAAAAATAGGCCATAAGGGAAAAAGAACTCTGCAGTTATGCCTGAGAGGACTGACTTTATATGGAACTGAGGAGGGAGAACTTCATGCTTAGTGGCATTGTAAAAAACAATGCAGATCTTAGTGGAGAGCAGTTACAAGGGCAATCCTATCTCCGTTATACTAGTAGCAACAAGTCAAATACCATGTGAACAAGAAGTTTAACAGAGGGAATCATAAAGACAGCCAAGAAAAGCCTTCCTGGGACCACAGGCAATGCTGGGAGTCAGGAAGTCTGTGCGCAAGTGATAGCTAGGCTATGCCCACTCGGGGCCAATAGAAAAATTATGTGGGCAGACTTGAAAATATTTCCCAAGTCACACATAGATCAATCAACGAAGGTTGAAAAATCTCCCTGGCACTAGGCACTTAAGCCACAATCATTTATCAAACAGTGCCTGAACAATAAGCTCCTTGAATTCAGAAGCAACTTCAAGAAAGCCAAATAAAAATATGGAATCAGATGCATCCCTGGCTGTTTTGAAAACTGTGTGATGCCTGAAGTTGCACCCTTTCATGAAAAAATAATTTACTGGCCTATTACTGAACATGGGGCAAAAACCATAAACACCCTGAATAGCATTCTCCAACCCACTCACATATCCAATAGTAAAGGACAAAAATATAACCAGAAAGGAAGCTTAAGCAGAACCTTTGACCAATAAGAGGCTTATGGTGACACAGTGCTTAGGTAACCAGGATAAAATATAAAAACAAGAAAAAATATTTTGAACATGGTTGTCAGAGGCCACACACTGTGAAGTAAATTGATTTCACAAAATTAGTTAAGCCAAGTCATTAAACAAATAAATAAATATCCAATCTCACAATAACAACACTCCCCAGTGGGGAATGAGAGGGACCAGTATTCAAGTTACTAAAATATCCAGTATTCAACAAAAAAGTATGAGGCATGAAAAAGAAACAGTAAAGTATGGCCCATACAGAAGAAAAAGAAAAAAAGTTAATAGAAATTGCCCAATGAAGAAGTCTAGATGTTGGGCTTAGAAGATAAAGACAGCTATCAGGTGTCATAAATATATTAAATGAACTACAGGAAACTATGTCTAAAGAAGTACAGTTTGAGAACAACGGCTTAGCAAATACAGAATATAGAGACAGAGATAATGCAAAACAATCAAATAGAAACTCTGCAGTTTAAAAACTAAATGAAAATTCACCAGAGGAGCTCAACAGCAGATATAATTATACAGAAGAATCAATAAACTGCAGCCTGGGAAACATGACAATGAACTGCAGCCTGGGAAACATGATAAGACCCCTTCTCTACAAAGAAAATTGAAAAATATTAGACGAGTGTAGTGGCATATGCCTGTGGTCCCAGCTACTAGGAGGATGAGGCAGGAGAATCACTTGAGCCCCAGAGGTCAAGGCTGCAGTGATCTGTGTTCATCGCTCTGTACTCTGCCTGTGTGACAGAGTGAGACCCTGTGTAAAAAAAAAAAAAAAAAAAAAAAAAATCCATGAACTAGGTAGATCAATTGATATGTTAAAACAGAAGAAGAAATGTAATGAAAAGTGAAGAAAAGATATTATTGTCAAACTTTTGAAAACCATTATGTACAGTGTTAAACAAAATTATATGAGGTCATTGTTTTGGACCGAGCTCATGTATTAGGCCAAAACAGACCAGATCACATCAAAATAGAGTCACTCATGCTAAATGTGACATAATCAAACTGAAACTTTAAGGAAGCAGCTAGATCCTAAAACAGACCAGGTTTTGTTTTTCTCCTGTAAACAGGAGATTCTGACACAAGGAGGTCCTCTAACTCTTATTAAAGATTTATCTAATGTCCTTGTTCTCACCTCATAAAAATCCATTGTTCTGCTATTTTCCAATGGAATTTGAAACAAAATAAGTACATTTACAATGGTGACAGGCTGACAGAGTGACATCAATGCCTAAACATTTGGTCAATATATCTAAATTGAGAGGATGACCAAAAGGGGACAACTAGTAAATTAAGTTTAGCCTAAAGCTGCCTCCTTACATATTCTAAGATCAGCCTAAAGGTTTCTTTGTACATTGAGGAGGGTAACCTAACTGTATGTGTAAACAGACTGTAACTTACTCCTGTGTTAAGCACTGAGTTTTGCCAATCAAAGGCAGCCAGTTGTTCAAATCATGTTCAAATAAGGCAAGCAGCAGTCTGAAACCAGTCCCGCTGTTTCTGTATGTTACTTCCATTTCCTGTACGTCACTTTGCTTTTCCTGTCCATACATCTTCCATCACGTGGCTACACTGGAGTTTCTCTGAGCCTACTCTGGTTAAGGAGACCACCTGATTCATGAATTGCTCCTTGCTCAATTAAACTGTGTTATATTTAATTTGCATAAGGCTTTCCTTTTAACAGATTTCACATGGAGAAACACATTGGGTATTGTAGTGATTCATTTGTGGGAGAATTAATGAACAGTCTCCTTGGTTAAAGCAAGCATATCTATCTCATTCTTTGATATATTTTATTTTAGTTGTTTTGGATCATGGGAAGCCGGGCTAAGGAGCATACTTCAAACTCTCGGTATTATCCTCCTGATAGTCATAATAATAGTCTCCCTGGTGCACTGTACTCTCTCTAAAGTTTTGAATGTCTGCATGCAATCATCTAGAATGTCAAATGGACTCTCTTCAACTGTAATGACAAAACTCAAAGAAATGCATGACCATGAGAACACCATAACCAGTGAATTACCTGCTGAGACCAGAAACTCAAAATGAGGGTAAACTGAGAGTGGTGCGAAGGCTCTAAGTTTGGTCACACTCTCACCTAAGTAAGAACTGGAACAGGAGGGGGAAATTGTTAAACAAAATTAAGAGAGGCCATTGTTTTGGATGGAGCTCATGCACTAGGCCCCAACAGATCAGATCCAACTGAAATGGAGTCACTCATGCTAAATAGGACACAATCAAACTGAAACTCTGAGGAAGCAGATAGGTCCTAAAACTGACCAGGTTTTGTTTTTCTCCAATTTAGATATGTAGCACTGATAAAATTTGACTTGAGCCATGAAGTTTATTCAAATTGAGTATCTAAACAATTTCAGTACTGGATGATTTAGCATGAAAATCTGGCAAAGTATTTTGTTGAAGTTTAAATACTTTGCCAAATTTTCATCTGGCTTTGCAGTTTTATAAACCAGTCAGTCTCTTCATAAGAGTTCCAGGAATCCTTACCCAGTCCAATTAATATGATCCTAAAGTTATCAGAAACCTGTGTTTCAGAGTGCTTGTCAGGGTCCTTTTCATCCTTTTCATGAACCTCCTTGAAGACACAATAATCTAGCATTTTGCTTCCTTGTGAAGTTTTCAGAAATGGCATCAGAATAACCAATTAATAAGCAATTAACTGTGGAAATAAAATAGTCATAAAGGTACAATTGACAAGGAAATTTGGTTATTTCTGTGGCCTACAATAATTTAGCATAGCCATGATTCTGAGTGACAGCATATACCCAGGCACATCAGAATTTTTAGGAATCTTATATAACATTGGAACATATATTAATAACATATTCATTAAAATATAACTCAAAGAAGGTTTAACATTTTTATTTGACAGTGTTTCCCATGAAATCTAACATATTAAATAATCCTGTTTATCTATCTTTTGAATGCTCCACGGCCCTCTGTAGCATTCCAAATTTAAAGGTCAAAAAATGACTTAATTTTGAAGTCGAAATTTCATTTTGGGAAGCCTGTCAAATATGTTAAAGGTTTAAAACACTTAACCAAAATAGGATTGTAGGTCACCAAGAAACAATAGACATTCATTTAGCTAAACTGAAAATAAGATTTTTAAGAGTAAAAACCTTTACTCTTGGATCGAGGAGACACAGGTTTCCAAACAATCAAAGCACCTGAGAAAGACAGCATAAGACAGAAATTGTCTCTTTTTCTCTCCACTCACTTTTTTATTTCATTTTGTAATTTACTCAAAAGGTAAACAAAACATTTTACTTTCTTATTACAAATGCATGAAATCTTTGTTCAAAAGATAAAACCAAATTTTACTTTTGTATGAGTATAGTATCAATACTAAGGCTAATTTTAATAAAACCTTATAAATAAATCTATCAAATCTGTCATCTTTTGACTCCATAAGATTTCCATAAATCTTATATACTCTCATAAATTTTTAAAACTCTCCTTTTAACTTTATATATTTTAGTTTTATCTATATCATTTTTATTCATTTGATTTGAAATAATCTTTAAGTAACTTCAAACTAGACAAAATTTTTTAACAAACACCCATTTTCATGACTTTATAATTTCCCTCACCAAAAGCATTTCTTGCTTTTGTTTATACACTATGCAGAATTTTCTTACGTCTAGCAGTTTTAATTAAATATATTAACTACATTAACTCTTAGTAACCATAATTTCTAGTGAAATTTCTAGGAAGTAATTTTGAACTGTTTTATATCAGTATTTGTAGAGAAAAAGCATTTCGAAACTTATTTGAAATTTATTTTTGGAAAGTTTTGTTAACAGATCTAAATATAATTAGCTTTTACATACAATAATAACCTTGCAAGGTATATAAACAAGCTCATATTTAATAAGTAATATTTCAGTATTTTAACTTACAAATGACTCAGACATTTTATGATTATCTGTTACTTAATTTAACATATCATGACTTTAATATTTTAAATTACTGAAAAGAATCCTGAAAAATATGACGCAGGTATCCTCCCTAATGTCTTCCCCAGTCATCCTTGGTCTTAAGTAGCCATATGGCATCCAAAATGGTTAGGAATGGCAGGACCTCTCTTAGTCGTGAATTTATACATCTGGTATACAGCTGACAACAGGAGACAGAGCTGTGAAACTGATACCTGGAAGATCAAACCCCTCTCAGAATAGCCAGGAGGCAAAGCTGGGGCAGGCAAGAAGGAGCCATATTGGGCTTGATTCTGATTTGTAACTGCTGGTTTAGACACTGAGAACGTGTCTCCAGACCTCACTATAGCCACCTATACAGGCCCCTGAATCCAGAGGCTCAAAACCAAAAACTCACAGTCATGTCAAGAAAGTATCAGATTATATTTAATTGATAATTTAAAGCCATTTTACTTTACCAACAACTTAAAAAACTAGCTTTATATACCAAATATTATCATATACACATAACGTATATAGACATGCAAACACACAAACTGAAGCAGATCTTATAGCTTTCATAAAGGATTCTTGTTTTCCCACTTTTGAATAGTTTTTCACCTCATTCAATCAATATTCCAATTACATGTTTCATTGCTCTAAACAATAGTTAGCTAAGCAATCCTAAATTTGCATTTCCAAAGAGACCATTCTTAGGTGAAAAAAGGTAGACAATTTATATCTCAAAAGCATGGAGCTAAGACCTCAGGCCTAAATATTGTACCATCATTTGCTCAAAACAACTAGAAAATGGTGTAAGTAAAATTTTAGTTAAGACAAGATGGCCAGAAAATCACCTTAAACAATGTTATGACTTGATATGTAAATTTAAAACAATGATAAGAGTTAGAATTCTAATACCTTTACCATTAAGGGTATTAGAAACTCTTATGGGTAAGGGTATAAGAAATATAGGAATTTACATCTATAAAGGAAATCTCCCCTTGTCGAATACTCTTACAAGTGGAAATTTCCTTTATAGATGTAAATTTCTTTTTCAAAAGGGCTTAAAGATAGCCAGTTAAATAGCAGAGAGGTGTATTTTTGTTTGATAGGTGGTCTTTCTAACTTTGCTAGTCATTCTTAGCTACAATTACTGAGTTCAGAATGGAGCCCATTAAAGAATAGGGCAAATAAAGCATTCTCTATGCCAGGATGTAACATGGATAGATTTGAAAAAGAAGCAAGCTTACTTTATCTGAGGACCTATCTTTTATAAGCACTTTATCTAGGATAGCTTTCTTTTCATCTTTGGGGAGGGATAGTAACTAAGCCAAAAGATTAGCATTTAATTTTTCTTCTCAATTAGTCACTTAAGCTTTTTACTTGCCTTTTATAAAGTACTTTTTAAAGCAGTAAAAATATTGAAATCTTTTTAGAAGCTTTTGCACATGAATAGGCATCCCTGAATGAGATTAATTCAGGAGCCCTTATTTTCAAATGCACTTTTTAAAGTGCAGTGTTGTTCACATGAAGTGCTCCAGTATAATGTTAAATTACATTTAGTAAGATTTTGCCTTTTATGTAAGTATTTACTGCTTCCAGGGACTAATACTTACACATGTGTAAGCCAGAAGATAGAGTACTCAGTTCTTTAAAAATTAAGGACCTCATTTTTATTTGAATATTGACTTTGGCTCTCAGATCTCTTCAATCAACTTAGCTAATATTTTTTTCCCAACTCAAGCATGTAAGAAAAAGAAACAAGGGGGTAAAACACAAAAGTCTCTGTGAATTTCCAAAAGGTAAAGTTTATACACCCTGCAGGATTACTATTTACTACACGTTTCTGTCTGACCCTGTCAGATATTTGAAGCCTCTAACTGGATTCAAGCTAGTTAATTACTGGATCAAATTCTATCCTGGACCCAGTCCAGTTTCTGTTGTAACTTTTAAACCCAGTTTGGAAAAGAAATTTGCTCAGACAAACTCAGATATCTCAAAGACAAATTGGTGGAGCTTCAGAATCTAAAATAATTTATCCACAATCCCCCATTGCTACAAAAAAGTAAGGAACATACTGGGCCTGGCAGGTATCTCATTTGATCACCCCATGCTCCTAGTGATTGCTATAATCTTTACTTCAGATCCCACTTCTGATACCATCTGTTAAAAGAAAAACCTTAAGTCAATCAAATTTAACAGAGTTTAATTGAGCAAAGAATAATTCATGAATCAAGCAGCCTCCCAAATCAGAGTAGGCTCATTAGAGACTCCAGTGTGCCACATGATAGAAGAAGATTTTATGGACAGAAAAAGGAAAGTGTTGCACAGAAAATGGAAATGAGATAAAGAAAAAGCAGAATTGGTTACAGCCTGGGGTTGCCTTATTTAAAGATGATTTGAGCAGTTAACTGCCTTTGATTGGCCAAAACTTGGTGATTGGCACACGAATAGGTTACAGTCTGTTTACACATCTACTTAAGTTACAGTTCACTATGTACAGAGAAACCATTAGGTATAACTTAGAATATGTAAGGAGGCAGCTTTAGGCTAGAATTAATCTAACAAAAGTAAACTTATAAGAGCAACAGCTGGTCTCTCCTTAAAAACAATAGAGATCAGAGTGAGTTGGACAACATATTGAAAGTGCTGGAAACAAACCAAGAATAGTATATCCAGAAAAATTATCTCTCCAAAATAAAGGCAAAATAAAGACATTCCTAGAGTAATAACAGCAAGAAAATTTGTTGCCAGCAGATCTAGCTTTAAAAAATTAGTAAGGGAAGATTTCAGGCTTAATGCAAGTGATGCCAAACATTTATTCAAATCCACACAAAAACCAAAATGCACCAGCAAAGGCAATTAAACAAGATGCTATAATTGCATATTTATTCTCCTGTCTTAACTGATTTAAAAGAGTAACTTCATAAACAATAGGTACTAAATTGTATTAAAAAGCTAAAAACATATAAAAATATATATTTGACAATAAAATAAGAAGTAGGTAGCAGAACAGCTGTATTGAAAGTAAAAAAATAAAGCAGTAACTCCAATCTACAGAACTAGAAAGGTTAAATAAGAAGGTTAATATAAAAAAATCTATAAATTTATATTTGTTTTCCTTTCTTCATTAAACTTATTCAAATTACATACAGAGAAATTATGTAAAGTAATAATAAGATATTATTGGGTTTGTAACATATATAATTATATATAGATAGCAATAATAACATGAAAAGGGAAGTGAATAGAGCTATATGCTATTAAAGTTTTATTATTTCATTGGAATTGTTAGTATAAATATGAAGTAGATTTTGATAAGTTAACTTGTAAGTTCTAGAGCAATTACTAGGAATTAATTTTAAAATAAAATGTTACACTAAAATATTCATTTAATATCAAAGAAAGCAGTAAAGAAGGAAGAGAAGAATAAAAAGTGACATTCAATATATAGGGAAAAAATGATAGATATAAATCTGTGGGGAAAGTCCCTTGAAACAAAAGCCTCTCCAGAGGCTAAGGCATTAGGATGGCTACTAAGAAGAGGAGAAGGACAAAGGAACTCTCCAAGGGAAAGAGTATCAGAGAAGGACTTATGTGTTTATGTGTTTTAACTAAGCCGCATAGCAGGAGTCTCTGTGTCAGAGAGCTCTGAAGGGCAACAGCCTCTTTCGAGTTTTCATGTCCTGGGGCTTATCTTATCTGCTGCTAGCAAATGTTGGGTGCAGTTTTGTGGGCTATACAGAGCAGACAGTCTCTAAAGGGCTAAAAATGTGTTTATTTAGACTGCGTTTGAAAATCACTGGATTTGTAAAAATTTGTTTGGTGCCAGTGGCCTTTTGAGCTAAAAGCTAACATGTCTCAGCCTGCAGTGAAGAAATAAACAACCTAGGGGCCAATGCACAGAAACCACCTTTGTTTCACTTATATAACAATAATTTATTCAAAAGTCAGGAATTAATCAGAATGGATTTTTTTAAAAGACAAGATTCAACTATATATTATTTAGAGGAGACATTATTTAGATTCAGACATACAAATACTTTGAGAATAAAAGTGAGTAAAAATATATTTTATGCAAACAGCAATCATAAGAGAGCTAGAGTGATTATAATATAAGACAATAGAGCCTTTAAGACAAAAATTATTACTAGAGATGATAAGAGAATCAACCCGTCCACAGAAAAAAGAATGATAAACATATATTCACCTAACAACAGGGCCCCAAAATACCTGAAGCAAAAATGAACAGAATTGATGGGAGAAATAGACAATGCAGCAACTCCAGCTAGAGTTTGAGACTTTATTCCCCCACTTTCAGTAATGGGTAAAACAACTAAATGGAAAATCAGCAAGAAAATAGAAGACTTGAATGAATGCCACCGTAAATCAAGTAGATCTAGCAGATATTTATAGAACACTGCACCCAATAACAGCAGAATACATATTCTTCTCAAGTGGAAATGACTATATGTTAGATCAGAAAATAAGCCTCAGTGAATTTAAAATAATTGAAATCAATAACAGAAAGAAAATTTGGAAAATTCATAAATATGTGGAGGTTAAACAACATACTCTTAAATGGCCAATGAGTCAAAAGAAATCACAAAAAATTACAAAATACTTTGAGATTAATGGAAATGAAAACACAACATAACAAAACTTCCAGGGTGCATCTGAAGCAGAGCTTATAGGAAAATTTTTAGCTGAAAGTGCCTATATTAAAATAGAATAAAGATATCAAATCTATAACTTAACTTTCAAGCTTGACAAACCAGCAAATGAAGAACAAACTAAACCCAATACAATCAAAAGGAAAAAGAAAATATACTAGTGCAGAAAAAAAGAGAATATAAATAGAGAAAAATCAAGAAAACCAAAGTAAGTTTTGAAAAAATCAACAAAATTGACAAACCCCTAAAATATTGCTGAACTTCAAAAATATTATGCCAAGAGAAAGAAGACAGATACAAAAATAGCATGTCGCATGATTCCATTTATGTAAAATATTCAGATCAGGTAAATGTAAAAATAGAAAACATAATAGTACTTGCTTGGGGGTAAAGGGAGAGAGGAGTGGAGAGTGGGGTTTTATTTTGGAGTGATGAAAATATTTTGGAACTACATAGAAGAGGTAGTTGTACAACATTGTGAATGTACTCAATGCCAGTGAATTGATCACTTTAAAATGGTTTATTTTATATGAATTTCATCTCACATTTTTTAAAAAATAAAGAAAAACCAAAAACCTTTAGATAGATTGACAAGAAGAAAAAACAATATTAAATTCATACAAATCAGAAATGAAAGAGGGAATATCACTACCAGCCTTATAGAAATTATAAAAGATTATAAGGAAACATTAATACTATGAACAACAAAATATATGCTAACAAATTAGTTAAATTGAATGGACAAATTCCTAAAAAGACAAACTACTGAAGGAATAGAACATCTATATAAACCTATAATAAGTAGAGAGATGAGCTTTGTAATTTTTAAAAACATCTTAGAAATAAAACACAAACCTAGATATATTTACTGGTTACATCTACCAAACGTTTAAAGAAGAATTAATACCAAACTTTCACAAACTCTTTCAAAAAATAGAAGAGGAAAGAATGCTTCTCAAATCATTTTATGAAGCCATTATTACCCCAATACCAGAAGCAGGTAAAGATATAACAAGAAAATAAAACTAAAGACCAATATGCCTTATGAATATCAACACAAAGCATTCAACGAAATACTAAGAAAAGTAATTGAACAACATTATCAATATGATTATACACCATGACCAAGAGAAACATACAAATTTCCAGATTTCAAGAGGTACTAAACAGCTGCAATATTTAAGAGAGTGTGGTACTGGCATATTGATAGACATATAGATAAATAAAATAGAACCGAGAGTCCAAAAATAATATTAATGTGTCTATCTACGATCAGCTGATCTGTCTATTATCAACAAAGTTGCTAAAACAATTTAATGGAGAAAATAGTGAAAACAGTCTTTTCAACAAATGATGCTGGGGCCACTAGATACCAACGCGCAAAAGAATGAGCTTGAACCTTTTCTTTATGCCATCCATTAAAAATTAATTTAAAATGTATCATACACCTAATGTGAAAGTTAAAACTATAAAACTCGTAGAAGAAAACATAAAAGTAAATCTTCACAACTTTGGATTAGGTAATGGTTTATTAGATACAACACCAAAAGCACATACACACAAAAAGAGATAAATTGAGCTACATAATAATTATTGATAAAAAGTTTAGCACTGAAAATTATTGATAACATTAAGAAAGTGAAATGACAGCATACAAAATGACATGAAATATTTGCCAATCACATACCTGATAAGAAGCTAATATTCAGTATATAAAGTATTCTTAGAACTCAAAAATAAAACTATAACAAATAGATTAAAAAAATGGTTACCAGAGGCTGGGAAGGGTAATAGGGGATGGTGGAATAAGGAGAGTTAAGCAGAAAAAATAAATAGAAAGAATGACTAAGTCCTATTATTTTATAGCACAATAGGGTGACTATAGTCAATAATAACCTAATTGTATATTTTAAAATAAAAAATATAATTGGATTATTTGTAACTCAAAGGATAAATGCTTGAGGAAGTGGATAACCGTTATCCATGATGTGCTTATTTTACATTGCATGCCTATATCAAAACATCTCATATACCCAATAAATATATACACCTACTAGGTACCCACAAAAATTTAAAAAATAATTAAAAAATGGTCTAATGTTCTAAATATACATTTCTCTAAAAAAGATATATTAATAGCAAATAAGCACATGAAAATTTGCTTAACATCATTAGCCATTTGAGAAATGCAAATTAAATCCACAATGAGATGCCACTCTACACCCACTAAGATGGCTTTAATGAAAAAAGACAGAAAATAACATTTTGCTATGATGTGGAGAAATTGGAGCCCTCATACATTCCTGGTGATATTGTAAAAAGGTGTATCCAATGTGGAAAACTATTTTACAATTACTGAAGAAATTAAGTGTAGAGTTACTCTATGACCCAGCAATTTCACTCTTAGGTTTATACCCAAGAGAATTTAAAACATATGTCCATGTAAAAACATGTACACTTTCATATAAATGATCATAATAGCCAAAAGTGGAAACAACACAAATATGAATCAATTGATTAGTGGAAAAATAAAATGTGGTGAATCTACACAATTGAATATTATTCAGCCATAAAAGTAAATGAAGTACTGATACATGTGAAAACATGAATGTACCTTGTAAACATTATGCTAAGTGAAAAGTAGCCACTCACAAAAGACAATATATTATATGATTCCCTATACATGAAATGTCCACAATAGGTAAATCCATAAAGAAAGAAAAATTAGTGGTTGCCAGGAGTTGGAGGGAGATGAGAATGGGGATGACTGCTAAGGAGTAAAGGATTTCTTCTTAGGGCAATAAAAATATACATAAATAAATTATTAGCATAAATTTCACTATTCATCTTTATATGTGTCACTGCCTATTTGAAATGCAAATTGAAGAATATTTAAGTGATGTTCAACATTACTGAACTAAAACAATTCACATTTTGTAGCATGTACATTCATATGTATTTTGTTCTTACCATAACAGTAGAAATGCTGCACAAAACTGACTCAACTCTTTGTATTTCATGTATTAATATACACAGTTTTCCCAAACACTCTCCACCTTTAGCATACTGATTAATAAAGGGGACTAAAAAGAAAATAAACTACGAATTTTCCAATCTTATTTTTTCTTCTATGTAATCATCTTCAGAATGGTTGGCTAATACAGAGAAATAACATGAATGTGAAAGAATATAATAGGATTCCTTGGTCTTTAGTGTTTCTTAAAATTGCATTGCCCTCTTCTTGTGTTAGAAGGAATTTCTGGGCCTGGCACAGTGGCTCATGCCTGCAATTCCAACACTTTGAGAGGCTGAATGGGGAGAATTGCTTGAGGCCAGGAGGTTAAGACCAGCTTAGACAATGCAGCAAGACCCTGTCTCTACATTTTTTTTATTTAAATAAGTAATTTCAGTATCAGAAAACATGGCTTATAGGAGCTGTCTGTGCTGTCACTTTGTCACTCATAGATGTAAACATGCATACTTTCTCAATCTCAGCAAGGGTTCTCCAGAGAAACAGAACCAGTAGGAACTAACAGAACTCAGGTAGGAGTTAGTGCTTCAGACTTGAGGGAGATTTTCTTTTTTTTTTTTTTTAATTTTTTTAACTTTTTTTTAATGTTTTTTTTATTATTATTATACTTTAAGTTTTAGGGTACATGTGCACAATGTGCAGGTTAGTTACGTATGTATACATGTGCCATGCTGGTGTGCTGCACCCACTAACTCGTCATCTAGCATTAGGTATATCTCCCAGTGCTATCCCTCCCCGCTCCCCCCACCCCACAACAGTCCCCAGAGTGTGTTGTTCCCCTTCCTGTGTCCATGTGTTCTCATTGTTCAGATCCCACCTATGAGTGAGAATATGTGGTGTTTGGTTTTTCGTTCTTGCGATAGTTTACTGAGAATGATGATTTCCAATTTCATCCATGTCCCTACAAAGGACATGAACTCATCATTTTTTATGGCTGCATAGTATCCCATGGTGTATATGTGCCACATTTTCTTAATCCAGTCTATCATTGTTGGACATTTGGGTTGGTTCCAAGTCTTTGCTATTGTGAATAATGCCGCAGTAAACATACGTTGCATGTATCTTTATAGCAGCATGATTTATAGTCCTTTGGGTATATACCCAGTAATGGGATGGCTGGGTCAAATGGTATTTCTAGTTCTAGATCCCTGAGGAATCGCCACACTGACTTCCACAATGGTTGAACTAGTTTACAGTCCCACCAACAGTGTAAAAGTGTTCCTATTTCTCCACATCCTCTCCAGCACCTGTTGTTTCCTGACATTTTAATGATTGCCATTCTAACTGGTGTGAGATGGTATCTCATTGTGGTTTTGATTTGCATTTCTCTGATGGCCAGTGATGGTGAGCATTTTTTCATGTGTTTTTTGGCTGCATAAATGTCTTCTTTTGAGGAGTGTCTGTTCATATCCTTCGCCCACTTTTTGATGGGGTTGTTTTTTTATTGTAAATTTGTTTGAATTCATTGTAGATTCTGGATATTAGCCCTTTGTCAGATGAGTAGGTTGCAAAAATTTTCTCCCATTTTGTAGGTTGCCTGTTCACTCTGATGGTAGTTTCTTTTGCTGTGCAGAAGCTCTTTAGTTTAATTAGATCCCATTTGTCAATTTTGGCTTTTGTTGCCATTGCTTTTGGTGTTTTAGACATGAAGTCCTTGCACATGCCTATGTCCTGAATGGTAATGCCTAGGCTTTCTTCTAGCGTTTTTATGGTTTTAGGTCTAACCTTTAAGTCTTTAATCCATCTTGAATTGATTTTTGTATAAGGTGTAAGGAAGGGATCCAGTTTCAGCTTTCTACATATGGCTAGCCAGTTTTCCCAGCACCATTTATTAAATAGGGAATCCTTTCCCCATTGCTTGTTTTTCTCAGGGTTGTCAAAGATCAGATAGTTGTAGATAGGCGGCGTTATTTCTGAGGGCTCTGTTCTGTTCCATTGATCTATATCTCTGTTTTGGTACCAGTACCATGCTGTTTTGGTTACTGTAGCCTTGTAGTATAGTTTGAAGTCAGGTAGTGTGATGCCTCCAGCTTTATTCTTTTGGCTGAGGATTGACTTGGCGATGCGGGCTCTTTTTTGGTTCCATATGAACTTGAAAGTAGTTTTTTCCAATTCTGTGAAGAAAGTCATTGGTAGCTTGATGGGGATGGCATTGAATCTGTAAATTATCTTGGGCAGTATGGCCATTTTCACGATATTGATTCTTCCTACCCATGAGCATGGAATGTTCTTCCATTTGTTTGTATCCTCTTTTATTTCATTGAGCAGTGGTTTGTAGTTCTCCTTGAAGAGGTCCTTCACATCCCTTGTAAGTTGGATTCCTAGGTATTTTATTCTCTTTGAAGCAATTGTGAATGGGAGTTCACTCCTGATTTGGCTCTCTGTTTGTCTGTTGTTGGTGTATAAGAATGCTTGTGATTTTTGTACATTGATTTTGTATGCTGAGACTTTGCTGAAGTTGCTTATCAGCTTAAGGAGATTTTGGGCTGAGACAATGGGGTTTTCTAGATATACAATCATGTCGTCTGCAAACAGGGACAATTTGACTTCCTCTTTTCCTAATTGAATACCCTTTATTTCCTTCTCCTGCCTAATTGCCCTGGCCAGAACTTCCAACACTATGTTGAATAGGAGTGGTGAGAGAGGGCATCCCTGTCTTGTGCCAGTTTTCAAAGGGAATGCTTCCAGTTTTTGCCCATTCCATATGATATTGGCCGTGGGTTTGTCATAGATAGCTCTTATTATTTTGAGATATGTGCCATCAATACCTAATTTATTGAGAGTTTTTAGCATGAAGGGTTGTTGAATTTTGTCAAAGGCCTTTTCTGCATCTATTGAGATAATCATGTGGTTTTTGTCTTTGGTTCTGTTTATATGCTGGATTACATTTATTAATTTGCATATATTGAACCAGCCTTGCATCCCAGGGATGAAGCCCACTTGATCATGGTGCAAAAGGTTTTTGATGTGCTGCTGGATTCTGTTTGGCAGTATTTTATTGAGGATTTTTGCATCAATGTTCATCAAGGATATTGGTCTAAAATTCTCTTTTTCGGTTGTGTCTCTGCCTGGCTTTGGTATCAGGATGATGCTGGCTTCATAAAATGAGTTAGGGAGGATTCCCTCTTTTTCTGTTGATTGGAATAGTTTCAGAAGGAATGGTACCAGCTCCTCCTTGTACCTCTGGTAGAATTCGGCTGTGAATCCATCTGGTCCTGGACTCTTTTTGGTTGGTAAGCTATTGATTATTGCCACAATTTCAGATCCTGTTATTGGTCTATTCAGAGATTCAACTTCTTCCTGGTTTAGTCTTGGGAGAGTGTATGTGTCAAGGAATTTATCCATTTCTTCTAGATTTTCTAGTTTATTTGCATAGAGGTGTTTGTAGTATTCTCTGATGGTAGTTTGTATTTCTGTGGGATCAGTGGTGATATCCCCTTTATCATTTTTTATTGCGTCTATTTGAATCTTCTCTCTTTTTTTCTTTGTTAGTCTTGCTAGCGGTCTATCAATTTTGTTGATCCTTTCAAAAAACCAGCTCCTGGATTCATTAATTTTTTGAATGGTTTTTTGTGTCTCTATTTCCTTCAGTTCTGCTCTGATTTTAGTTATTTCTTGCCTTCTGCTAGCTTTTGAATGTGTTTGCTCTTGCTTTTCTAGTTCTTTTAATTGTGATGTTAGGGTGTCAATTTTGGATCTTTCCTGCTTTCTCTTGTGGGCATTTAGTGCTATAAATTTCCCTCTACACACTGCTTTGAATGCATCCCAGAGATTCTGGTATGTTGTGTCTTTGTTCTCGTTGGTTTCAAAGAATGAAGGTTTCTGCCTTCATTTCGTTATGTACCCAGTAGTCATTCAGGAGCAGGTTGTTCAGTTTCCATGTAGTTGAGCGGTTTTGAGTGAGATTCTTAATCCTGAGTTCTAGTTTGATTGCACTGTGGTCTGAGAGATAGTTTGTTATAATTTCTGTTTTTTACATTTGCTGAGGAGAGCTTTACTTCCAAGTATGTGGTCAATTTTGGAATAGGTGTGGTGTGGTGCTGAAAAAAATGTATATTCTGTTGATTTGGGGTGGAGAGTTCTGTAGATGTCTATTAGGTCCACTTGGTGCAGAGCTGAGTTCAATTCCTGGGTATCCTTGTTGACTTTCTGACTTGTTGATCTGTCTAACATTGACAGTGGGGTGTTAAAGTCTCCCATTATTAATGTGTGGGAGTCTTAAGTCTCTTTGTAGGTCACTCAGGACTTGCTTTATGAATCTTGGTGCTCCTGTATTGGGTGCATATATATTTAGGATAGTTAGCTCTTCTTGTTGAATTGATCCCTTTACCATTATGTAATGGCCTTCTTTGTCTCTTTTGACCTTTGTTGGTTTAAAGTCTGTTTTATCAGAGACTAGGATTGCAACCCCTGCCTTTTTTTGTTTTCCATTTGCTTGGTAGATCTTCCTCCATCCTTTTGACCCTATGTGTGTCTCTGCACATGAGATGGGTTTCCTGAATACAGCACACTGATGGGTCTTGACTCTTTATCCAATTTGCCAGTCTGTGTCTTTTAATTGGAGCATTTAGTCCATTTACATTTAAAGTTAATATTGTTATGTGTGAATTTGATCCTATCATTATGATGTTAGCTGGTTATTTTGCTCGTTAGTTGATGCAGTTTCTTCCTAGTCTCGATGGTCTTTACATTTTGGCATGATTTTGCAGCGGCTGGTACCGGTTGTTCCTTTCCACGTTTAGGGCTTCCTTCAGGAGCTCTTTTAGGGCAGGCCTGGTGGTGACAAAATCTCTCAGCATTTGCTTGTCTGTGAAGTATTTTATTTCTCCTTCACTTATGAAGCTTAGTTTGGCTGGATATGAAATTCTGGGTTAAAAATTCTTTTCTTTAAGAATGTTGAATATTGGCCCCCACTCTCTTCTGGCTTGTAGAGTTTCTGCCGAGAGATCTGCTGTTAGTCTGATGGGCTTCCCTTTGTGGGTAACCCGACCTTTCTCTCTGGCTGCCCTTAACATTTTTTCCTTCATTTCAACTTTGGTGAATCTGACAATTATGTGTCTTGGAGTTGCTCTTCTCGAGGAGTATCTTTGTCGCGTTCTCTGTATTTCCTGAATCTGAATATTGGCCTGCCTTGCTAGATTGGGGAAGTTCTCCTGGATAATATCCTGTAGAGTGTTTTCCAACTTGGTTCCATTCTCCCCGTCACTTTCAGGTACACCAATCAGACGTAGATTTGGCCTTTTCACATAGTCCCATATTTCTTGGAGGCTTTGCTTGTTTCTTTTTATTCTTTTTTCTCTAAACTTCCCTTCTTGCTTCATTTCATTCATTCCATCTTCCATCGCTGATACCCTTTCTTCCAGTTGATTGCATCGGCTCCTGAGGCTTCTGCATTCTTTACGTAGTTCTCGAGCCTTGGTTTTCAGCTCCATCAGCTCCTTTAAGCACTTCTCTGTATTGGTTATTCTAGTTATACATTCTTCTAAATTTTTTTCAAAGTTTTCAACTTCTTTGCCTTTGGTTTGAATGTCCTCCCATAGCTCGGAGTAATTTGATCGTCTGAAGTCTTCTTCTCTCAGCTCGTCAAAGTCATTCTCCGTCCACCTTTGTTCCGTTGCTGGTGAGGAACTGTGTTCCTTTGGAGGAGGAGAGGCGCTCTACTTTTTAGAGTTTCCAGTTTTTCTGCTCTGTTTTTTCCCCATCTTTGTGGTTTTATCTACTTTTGGTCTTTCATGATGGTGATGTACAGATGGGTTTTTGGTGTGGATGTCCCTTCTGTTTGTTAGTTTTCCTTCTAACAGACAGGACCCTCAGCTGCAGGTCTGTTGGAGTACCTGGCCGTGTGAGGTGTCAATCTGCCCCTGCTGGGGGTGCCTCCCAGTTAGGCTGCTTGGGGGTCAGGGGTCAGGGACCCACTTGAGGAGGCAGTCTGCCCGTTCTCAGATCTCCAGCTGCGTGCTGGGAGAACCACTGCTCTCTTCAAAGCTGTCAGACAGGGACATTTAAGTCTGCAGAGGTTACTGCTGTCTTTTTGTTTGTCTGCCCTGCTCCCAGAGGTGGAGCCTACAGAGGCAGGCAGGCCTCCTTGAGCTGTGATGGACTCCACCCAGTTCAAGCTTCCCGGCTGCTTTGTTTACCTAAACAAGCTGGGCAATGGTGGGCGCCCCTCCCCCAGCCTTGCTGCCGCCTTGCAGTTTGATCTCAGGCTGCTGTGCTAGCAATCAGCGAGACTCCGTGGGTGTAGGACCCTCCGAGCCAGGTGCGGGATATAATCTCCTGGTGCGCCGTTTTTTAAGCCCGTCGGGAAAGCGCAGTATTCGGGTGGGAGTGACCCGATTTTCCAGGTGCCATCTGTCACCCCTTTCTTTGACTAGGAAAGGGAACCCCCTGACCCGTTGTACTTCCCGAGTGAGGCAATGCCTCGCCCTGCTTTGGCTCACGCACGGTGCGCACACCCACTGACCTGTGCCCACTGTCTGGCACTCCCTAGTGAGATGAATCTGGTACCTCAGATGGAAATGCAGAAATCACCCATCTTCTGCGTGGCTCATGCTGGGAGCTGTAGACCGGAGCTGTTCCTATTCGGCCATCTGGGCTCCTCCTTGAGGGAGATTTTCTTCTTCTCCAGGAAACCTCAGATTTTGCTTTTAAGGCCTTCAAGTGATTGGATGAGGCCCACCCAAATTTTTCAGAATAGTTTGATTTGCTTAAAGTCAACTAATTGTGGGTGTTCACTATTTCTACAAAATATCTTTATAGAAACACCTAGAACAGTGTTTGACTAAATAACTGGGTACTCTCATTTGGCCAAGTTCACACAGAAAATTAACCATCAAGACCACCTATTATCAAGTTGGTGTTTATACTTCTATCTTTATACCATGCTTACTCTCCAAAAATATACAATGATAAAGTCATATTACCACTTAATCTGATACATCTATCCTGTGTACAACAGAAAATGCACTAATCCTTTCTCCAAAAAGAGGATTCAAAGTCTTTCAGTGATGTTCACTCTTCTCCCTTGATAACCTGTAATTTAAATATGATGGTGTAAAACTAACTATTGTTAATATACGTTGAGAAGACCAGGCCCCTTCTTCATTTAAGGGGTTCTGTATTGGTAAATAGGCTCACATCTTTGAATTGACTAAAGGGTCACAATTCTCTGCTTTTATGATTCAAGTGAGACTTTTACTCACTTGACCTAGGACTTTTCTGCTTATACAGATCATGTAAGAATTTAGTAGACTTCTCATCTGTTTCACTTCTAGGAAAACTATGAAAAGCTAATCAGTGTCATAGCACTCTACAAGTTAGATACTTTGATCACTGCTTTAATTCTACCATTCATTGGAATAACTGTGCCCACTTTGTTTTGGGTGATTAGGTGGGCAGCCTTTGGTCTTTGCATCACAAGATGTGTTTATCCCTGTGGCATTTAAGGTTCCCTGTTTGATGGCAAAGCTTCTTAGTGTAAATCCTGACGTATACAGAGGAGTGACTATAGAACACTTCAAAGCTGGTGGGGCTTCTCTCACAAATTTATTTCTCACAGTCATGGTAAAAAAAAATGTAAACTCTAGACACTCCAGGGTGACTTAGTAGGTCTTAAGGATAAATCTACTCTAACATTCCTGTCTCCTTATGCCTTTGTATACCCTCTTCTACACCATAGCAATGCAGTTCTGGCAATACAATTTTATTTCGTGTAGGCCATCTTTTGGTTGATGTTCCAGCCTACCAACTGTACAAACTGACCTTTCTATCCCTTCAAGCTACAACAATAAATTCAGAATTTGTGCTTATAGGTACCATATTTTAAAAATTGGCCTAATATCACTTTATGTTCCTTCCATCATTATCTCTAATATTCACCTTTTAATATTAATCCCTAAATTATTTCTAATATTCACCCTTTAATATTAATCCCTAAATATATTACCCAGATTTATGCCTGTATAATTTGGAAAAATCTTGCAGTTCTTTTGACATGTGACATACCTCCTCATGGGTCACACTTTGTACCTCACCCTGTGGGACCCACTGGAACTTGAGTCTAGTGATAGATTCAGAAACAAAGATGGGTGGCAAAAGTAGGCCCTTAAGAAAATTAATAGAGCCTTGCGGCCAGGTGCGGTGGCTCACTTCTGTAATCTCAGAACTTTGGGAGGCTGAGGCGGGCAGATCACGAGGTCAAGAGATCGAGACCATCCTGGTGAACATGGTGAAACCCCGTCTCTACTAAAAATACAAAAATTAGCTGGTCATGGTGGCGCATGCCTGTAGTCCCAGCTACTCAGGAGGCTGAGGCAGGAGAATCACTTGAACCCAGGAGGTGGAGGTTGCAGTGAGCCGAGATCGCGCCACTGCACTCCAGCTTTGCAACAGAGCGAGACTCCATCTCAAAAAAAAAAAAAAAGAAAGAAAAAGAAAAAAGTAAATTAATAGAGCCTTGCAAGGGGAAGTCATTACAGGTTTTTCAGGGAAAGCAGGGTTAATCTCCTCAGACAGGGGTGGAAAAGCTTCTTGTATTACTAATGAAGACTTAGCAGAATTTAGAGATTTCTTGTCCCCGGCTTTACTGAAACCATCCTATATATCCCCATTCCAAATTTCTGGATCATATTCTTTCTCAATCAATGCCCTTATTGTAAGAGAAGACACCTGTGATGTTGGGAATTCAATTTGCATTGTAATTTAGTCGCTTGCAAAATATTATCATGCATTTGGATTTCAGAATTTTTAGACTTGCAGCTACATGATATAAGGGTTTTCTTTTGGGACATAGAATATTTCACATCATTTTTGTGGCACTTTATCAGGTAATTTGAAGCCATGAGTTCAAATTTAAAAGGCTTTCCTTCCCACAGTGTCTTTATTGCAGTTAGGAACAACCAGCCAATCTTACTATAATCCTTAGTTTGGTTAAAATATTCTAAGGTATGAAATCATCATCATCCAGAATCTTACTTTTTGTAAGTATTTGATTCAAAGTATCTCATAGTAATATTTTTATATCCCTATTGTCATACCAGACCATGGACTACCAGTGTCCTCTTTACCACTGCAGATAGTGAAGGCAGCTTTCAGCGCCTTCAAATCTAATCAGATTACAGAACCAACTCCAAAAAAGTTATTAAAAAATTTGAAATTCATCCTTAAGATTCTATCCTCTAGAACCACTCTCAGTACCAAAATCTGTATCAGCCAGGGTTCTCCAGAGAAAGAAACCCAATAGTATATATATATATACACATATTTATATACATATCCCCCCGAACACACACACACAAACACACAAACACACACAAAGAGACTAATTTTTAAGGAATTGCCCCATGTGTGCGATTATGTAGGCTTCCAAGTCCAAAATCTGTAGGGCAGGGCAGCAAGCTTAAAACTCAGGCAGGAATTGATGCTGCAGTCCTGAGACAGAATTTCTTCTCCAAGAAACCTCAATTTTTGCTCTTAAGGCTTTCAACTAACTAGATGAAGGCAACCTAAATTATTGAGAGTAATTTCCATTACTTAAATTTAACCACATCTACACAACTTAAATGCAAAACTTAGTGTTTTATTAAATTATTGGTACTATAGCCTAGATAAATTGACACATAAAATGTGTCATATACCATGACACATAACTTGTACTCTCTTTGGTTCTTGTTGATCCCCCCAACATTGTGAATCAACCGTAATAAAATGAATATTGGGTATCCTGAATGATCTATCCAAACAGAGCAACAAAGAATGGCAAAACATATATTGCATTTATCTCATGCTCTATTGTCTCGTCAGACTTCATTTACAAAATATAATTTCAAACAATAAATTATTAAGAGTTTCAATACAGTGACAAACCAAGCATGAGGCTTTTCTGGCACAGAGCTTTGTGCAACAGCACAGTTTGTATTTCCATGAAGCTGATGCAGTTCAGGCAAGCTCTGAAATCAGGGCTTAGCCTGGGAGGGTTCTTGGCTTGGCCCAGGAAATAATTCAAGGGTGAGCCAGTGGTATTACACAGCAACTTTTATTAAAGTGGCAGTGTGCAGCAGCAGCAGAGGTACTGTTTCTTGCTGAGCAGGGCTACCCCATAGGCAGTGTACCCAGAGTATCAGCAGTTCTGCAGTCATATTTATAGCCACATTTAATTATATGCAAATTATTTGTATATGATGCAGAAATTTCTAGAGAAATGGTGGTGACTTTCAGGTAGTCAGGTCATTGCCATGGAAAGAAACAGTAACTTCCAGGTCTTGCCATGGCAATGGTAAACTGACATGACACACTAGTGGGCATGTCATGGAATGTAGCTTCTGCTTCATCCCTGTTTTAGCTAGTCCTCAATTTGTTCCAGTGTCTGAGACCTACCTCCAGAATCAGGTCCCACCTCCTACCTCATTTTCTGCTCAGAGATGAGATACTCCTCCTTAATCTTAAGGGTGCTGCAGAAGTATAGGAGTCCATCTTCTGTAATTGTTTCCTGCTGATTTTATGTGCTTATACCCTGCCTAGCACCAGAAGGATAAAAATCTCTGGATGCCTGATCTAAGGGGCCCAGAGGCAGGATGCTTTCATTCTTCAGGTCAGTAGGTGGGATGAATTAGGAGCCTTGTGCCAGGATTGTCTTTACCCAGAATCACTGTAATCTGGAATACACAAACTTTATTAAGAGGTTAAAAAACAAGGAACAAAGATTAATATTAACAAGACAGAGATCAATCATCCTAAGAGAGATAAAAAGCAAGTAAGACTTGGGAATGCACTTTTGATAGTTGACCAGATATAGTTGAGACCCTGGTTGTGTCTGTGTAACCAGGTAGCTTGCTCATAGATATTTTGAACGTTAATCTCAAACTGTCCAGAGTTGTTAATATATGTACAGCAGGTTTTATTAATAACTACATAGATTCTACCTCATACAGCTAGTAAACAATCCAACATTAGTCTGTTATTGAGAACTACATTTGCCAAGAGTCTCTGGACTCAAATTCCCTATGCCTGACCTGTGTTGGTGGCTAAGAATTCTAGGGTTTGAGTCAAGTTCTTTAGGGTTGATTCATGGAAAGCAAAGCTGCCCCAGATTGCTACTGCTGCCAACCACAATTAATTCTATTGCTCACTTACTTCTGGTGTTGTTGGGTCTTATTGGGTTATAGACTGTGACCCCTGGAGGGGCAAAGGTAGCTGATGTACATTCACTTCCTGTTACGAGTTTTTGATATACAAGAGAAAGCTTTTCTTTCTCCTGAAAGAAAAGGTAACTCCATGGGGAGTTGGGAGTGGTTATGGGGTGTGATTTCTTTTCAGTGATGGCAACAAACAAAAATGAGCATAGTTGAGGCACAGAGAGAGGATCTAAGGGATATGATTCTTTCTTTCTTTCTTTCTTTTTTGAGATGGAGTTTTGCTCTTGTTGCCCAGGCTGGAGTGCATTGGTGTGATCTCAGCTCACTGCAACCTCTGCCTCCTGGGTTCAAGCAATTCTCCTGCCTCAGCCTCCCGAGTAGCTGGGACTACAGGTGCCCGGCCCAGCTAATTTACTGCCAAGTTGGGTCTATAGAGGTAATTTTCCCCTATTCTAATGGTAGTGGTTGAATAATCTTTGTTTTCCAAAAGGAGGTGATACTCCCACCTTCCCAGACTAGGCAGTTGTTTTTCCTCTGTATGTTCTGAACAAGGAAAAGTCACTATATATGGCTTACATGTGGAATCCTACTTACCACACTGCAGTCTTTGGAACTTGGCAACTAAAGTTTATCAGAGCATCACAGGGAAACTTCCAATTTTGTGTCATTAACACAACAAAGAGTGCAAAAAGTGGAATGACCAGTGCATTGGAGGTATAGATACCCAACTTCCTAGGTCCAGGTAATAGTGGTGGGGGTGTTCACATGGTATCTGTTAAGTGGGGGAACATTCTACTTAACAAGTAGGAGTTTGGGTGCTTTAGGATTACCATGGTTAGTTAGGGTGTTTGTGGACACGGCCACAAGATTTTCTGGATAGGCGAGAAGATGGAACTCTGTATCCTGGGGACGTCGATGACAAATCTAGCAACTATGAAGATAATTCTCTGATTCTATAATTTTTGAAATATTTACTATAAAGTTTTCGTCCCACTCAGACTGGATAAGGGTAATTGAGAGAGCAAACAAGATCAACAGTGGTAGCATAGTGTCTGGTTGGGCCTTAGAGTGGCCTTCACACCCAACAAGGACAAAAGAGATGTTTCCCAGGAGGAGGTGACTAGCTAAAGCAACAGAAAACAAGTATTACAGTCAGGAAGAAAAGAAAAATTAATGCTCCTATTTTCACCCACAGCATCATGTTACCACTTCTGGCTGACTGTTGACTATTTTAAATAGGTAGCAGAGGTCCTCTGAAGGTTTACAAATGTAGGTCATAGTGTCCTCCCTTTGTACCTGTGACTTATAAGAATCAGGTTTAATCCTTGATAAGTGTACCCAAGTAGTGATTTCCTGAAGATTAACAGCAGTGGCAGTGCTTAACAATACCTGATAAAGGCCCTCCCGTTTTGGTTGTAATTAATCCTCAGAGGATTCTTCTTTTTACATTTTTTAGTAAGACTAAGTCTCCTGGTAGAATAAGGAAGCTATTTTTTTTTCCATTGTGGAGAAGGGCAATATTTTATTTTTATATTGGAGGGCCTTTTGCACCTGGCCTAAATTCTAAAGGGGAGAGGAAAGATTTATATAGCTAATTACTACAGACCAAGACCAGAGCATCTGAACACACAGAATCCATAAAGTTAATTTTATAACTTTGTTTCTTGGCTCCTAGTCTTTGGGTCCCACGCTGTTCAAAAGGTGTTCAAGGGCCAAGGGGTGCCACCCACCTCCACTCTATTCAAGCCCAGTATATCCAAGTGGCTACATGTTCCCTGACTACAAGTCCCCAGGGCACAGGGACACAGTGGACTCGGGACTTGCAGAACACCACCCCAGCATTGGCACAGGACAAATTAAAAGCTTAAGCATCAACTCTGCCTTCTGAAGAAAATGCAGAAATACAAACAAAAATATCAAAATCTATAGCCCCCAACAGACTGAATGAATGTCCCCACTCCTGGCCAAAGGGAATAGAGTTGGGCAAGCATGCACCAGCCCCCAAAACTCTTCTAAGTGATAGAAGAGTCAAAAACTAAAAGATAAAATAAGGTTGCAAATCAAAAAAATAGCAAGAGCATAGAATTAGGCTATACTGGAGAAAAACACTGCTCCTACAGACCTCTAAGACAAAACACTCTAGCATCAGAACACAACATTCAGAATCAAAGGAGAAAAACTCACAGAAGCTGACAAAAGTGCTAAAGGAGAGAGTTACATGAATCTGAGGTTTCAAAAGAAATAGATTACAGAATTGAAAAGCAAAATTTCTGATAATTTAGTAAACTAATACCTTACAAAATATCGTTTTAACATGTACACCATTCTTTAGAAAAATCTGTTATAAACAATTTCCTTTTAATTACAGCTAGCTTAATCACACACAAAATTCCTTTCAAAATTCCCCTTTACAAACCTTATCACCAGTTACACTGATCATCTACAACATGCTTGAACTTTGTAACTCATCCTATACTACCTCTTTCTTAAATAGCAAACCATTCTACTATAGAAGAATTTACTATACAAGATCCCTTATTACACAAAATTACTCTTTCTTTATATCCTTCCTTGCAAAAATATATTTTCTATCCATAACTCCTCATGGTTTCCCTCACATTTTGAACTTGCCTTTTAATAATTTCCAAATATGACAAAAATATTTTTCCCAGTAAAGAATACCTTTTTTGGTAACTTTTATACAAACCTAGGATGCAAGAAATCCTGAACTGCCTACCAGACAGTGGCATTCTATATGTGAGAACCATTCTACCATTTTAAGGTTTTAAACTACACAGAAAGCTCACTATTTAAGCATTTATTCCATTCACATGTATTTAACTTTTTAAAATTTGAACAGTTTTATCTGGTTCACCTCCAAGAACCAAGATACTATGCAAAGCTAGTTCCCATTTAAAGCCATTTTAACCATTTTAAAGTCTATGAACATCACTGATTTACCTAGATAAAAATCTTACAATTAAACTTTAGAAGACAGAATATTCTCTTCAAACTAATAAGCTTAGATTAGTCTTGTTTATGAATGCTCTTTTATTTATAATCTAGTTTGACAGCAAGCTAGACATGATATATATCACAATACCTGTATATACAACTAAACAAACGCATTAAATAAAATGACTTTTATGTGCCAAATGGATTCAAGTTATTTACAAAATTAGGAATCATCTACCTGGCCAAATTTTGTTTGCTCCAATAGGTATGGAAGACAGGAAGAGGCAGGGAAGGGGATCCCATAACATCAAATAAAGGAACAGGCAAACTGTGCTGCTCAAGGGGAGACCTCAGAGTCCCTGAGCCACCAGAAAGCTCATACAGCAGTGGAGACACTGAAGAAAAATGTTCTAGTGGCTACTTGGCTGCCACTGTGGGAAGCTGTCTGCTGGGTAAAGGGTCTGAGACTCACAGTAAATGTACTTGAGCAATGCAGCTCATTGGAACTAGTGGAAGAAGGTTAGCTCCAGTATTGATGTGGAGCTTTCTCAATCTCTCTCTCTCTCTCTTTCTCTCTCTCTGTCTCCAGTTAAGACATTCTCATTGTCAATAGCCCTTTTGTGTATAGTAGACACACTGATTCTGACCCAGTGACCAGCAAGTCAGGGCTCTTGTCTGGGTATCCCAGATGCCAATCTAGCTACACCTTCTTGGAATGGGTAATTCTGAGGTGGGAGGGGACTGAAAGCAACTGTTAACAATTGCACTTTTTTGGCTATTTTTGGGAGTGTTTTTCACCTCTTTTTTTCTGTCCCTATTTTTTTTAAATATTAACTTTTATTCCCTGTTATACATGCTATTTTTATTATTATTATTATAGTTTAAGTTCTGGGGTACATGTGCAGAATGTGCAGGTTTGTTACATAGGTATACATGTGCCATGGTGGTTTGCTGCACCCATCAACCCATCACCTACATTAGGTATTTCTCCTAATGCTATCCCTCCCCTAGTCCCCCAACCCCCAACAGGCCCCAGCGTGTGGTGTTCCCCTCCCTGTTCCATGTGTTCTCCTTGTTCAACTCCCACTTATGAGTGAGAATATGTGGTGTTTGGTTTTCTGTTCTTGTGATAGTTTGTTGAGAATAATGGTTTCCACCTTCATCCATGTCCCTGCAGAGGACATTAACTCATCCTTTTTTATGGCTGCATAGTATTCCATGGTGTATATGTGCCACATTTTCCTTATCCAGTCTATCACTGATGGACATTTGGGTTGGTTCCAAGTCTTTGCTATTGTGAATAGTGCTGCAATAAACATATGCGTGCATGTGTCTTTATAGTAGAACGATTTCTAATCCTTTGGGTATATACCCAGTAATGGGATTGCTGGGTCAAATGGTATTTCTAGTTCTAGATCCTTGAGGAATTGCCACACTGTCTTCCACAATGGTTGAATTAATTTACACTCCCAACAGTGTAAAAGTGTTCCTATTTCTCCACATCCTCTCCAGCACCTGTTGTTTCCTGACTTTTTAATGATAGCCATTCTAACTGGCGTGAGAGGGTATCTCATTGTGGTTTTGATTTGCATTTCTCTAGTGACCAGTGATGATGAGCATTTTTTTATAAATTTGTTGACTGCATAAATGTAACTTTAAAGGCATTTTTAAGAGTTGACTCACAATGTTTTGAGGTCCCATTGCTGCTTTTTGTAGCTTCCTCCTAATTTCAGGGGCACATTGAGTAATAAAATATATACCCTAGAGGGTCTGTCCTTCTGGGAAGTTTGGGTTTGCATTAGTCTATTTATTGAATGCCTCAACTAAATGCTCCTGAAACAGAGTGGGATTTTTTTTTTACCTTTTTTCCTGAGTTATTTCTCTAACCTTGTCATAATTATCTGGCTTAACTACACACTTTCTCCTCCACATTTTTTCCCATGGAACAGCAAGCAGATGACAATACTTGTAAGTCGTGATAAGTTAAATCAAAGAACATAATTAATGTAACAAATTCCTGTATAGGCTTTTCTGAATTCTCTGAAAACTGGCCATGTTTTTCCTCATACAAAGCCAAATTAGACATAGAAAATGACACATGTACTATGAATGTTCCCCTGTTTCCATTAGCTACCTCCTGCAATGGACACAGGTTTTCCTTTAGGGGCTGATGTGGGGACCCACCTCTGGTGGTATTGATTGGACTTACTTTTGTGGGGAGTGGAGGGTATATGCTGGGGATAGTTGGATAAGGGGGAGGGGTGCCCGATGACCCTGGGATGGAATTCTCCATCAGAGGACTGGTGGAACCCCCCACTCAGAATTAGGGGACTGAGGAGAATCCAGGGAAGAGGCAGGCCTTCTGGGGCGGGGGGCAGCTGGGAGAGAATCCCTTAGGCATGTCTTTCTGGTGCCTAGAAGTAACATGAGCCAGTAAAGTGCCATGAAAACCTGTACATAAGGGACTTCTTGCCATTTTCCTTCTTTTTTACATGACAAGTCCAATTGTAAAATACTATTATAATGTACAGACCATGTTTAGGCCATATCTGTTGGTTTACTAACTTATGTTGAACCCAAATGGTGTTGCAATAGAAAATGAGTTTATTTTTTCTTTCAGCCAAATTTGAATTTGCTACAATCGCCTATAAAACATCCTAGTGGTGAGTCTCTGGTATGCTTATCACTGTCCCCATGATAAACAAGGATATTTTTCTGGACACAGAAGTCTTTTTAAGTACAGTGAGAGGGACATAAACTGAGCACGTGTTTTGTTTTGTTTTTTTCCTTTTATGTTGCCACTTCCTGCAGAGAAGTTGTACGTATAGGGAGCAAGGCATTACAAAAGTGGATTATGAGCTACAAATGAGTACTAGCATATTAATACTAAATTCCACAGAAAGCAGCAGTTGGGCAGAGAGAGGGGCTAAAAAATGGTGACTGTGGAAGGGAAGGGGGCAAACAGCATTGCCCAAAGGGAGATCTCAGAGGGCCCTGACTTGCCAGTAGTGGAAACACCAAAAAAAAATGTTTAGGTGGCCGCTTTTCTACCTGGTCATCTGTCAGGCCAGGGGCCTGGGAACCCCCAGGTTCTTCACCCAAGGGGGATTGAGCAAGGCAGTTTTATGTCAGCACACAGGGATGGGTCTGCAACTGGAAAATAATGACTTCTATCTTTAGGGCAGAAAAAGATGAGACCAATATTCTCCTAGCTGGAGGGGCTATAACTCACAATCCTAGAGGAACTGTCAATGCTGAAAATCCCAGATCATCTGGGGGTGGCCAAAAATACCAACGTTGAAAACCTAGAATGCCTGAGTTTCAGCCAATGGGGGTCCCCTCACAGAATGCCAAAATCCCTGGGGCACCCAGTGGGCAGCCAACAGTGAACCCAAGACCATGTTGGCATCACAGAACAATGTGACTCTTGTGTCCCTGAGTCAACACAATGGGAGACCTCTCACAATTAAGTGTCCTGCCTTAAACAATTGTCTAAACATAGAACACAGTTAACAGAAACTCAAAAGCAAACATAATACTAAAAATGAAACATACATTTTGTGACTAAAATTAAAACTACTGATTGGTAGAAAAATAAAATGGAGTCAGAGGAGAAAGGACTGGGAGAAGGGGTGACAAGGTGCTTCAGGACACCCAAATGACAGGGGAATTTTAACTGACCACTTAGCCAAAGGCTTTTATTTTATTTTCTAGTTCTCCCAATATTAAAAAGGAAGCAGAGAAAACACTCACCCATCCACAGGAACCAAAATGGCACCAACCAATCTTTCATGTGTGACCCAAGTGAAGATCTCTCTAAGTTCCCTCAGCTTGGGTGGGGTTGGCTATTGTGCAGTGGGGGCAGCACAGAGACTGGTAATCCACTGGTCTGCTGGTTGGAGCAGTGGGTCTTACATGAGGCAGTGGTACTATGGCCACTTGCCCATCTGCTCGGCTCCGTCACCTGACAGAGAAAATGATGGCTCTGAAAAGAGCCTTTGGTTAGCATTACAGCTCTGTATTGTTAGCAGCTCTTTATTGTTAACAGCCTTAGTGTTACAGTTCTTGCAGCCTCTATCACAGACTGCTTTGCCATCTCTCTGCTCTTCATCTCACTGAACTCCCACTGTGTGGCCTACTGCCATCTCTTGTCATCTTTCACCAATTGCCACCTCTCCAGTGATAATTGATTGCTACCATCTCTGCTGTCTTGCCTCTCTGCTGATCATTGCTATCTCTGCTGTCTTTGTCCCTTTGTTAGTTGCCAGATGATACAGGGCAGGAGAGCCCTGATATTGGGACTTAGCCCAGGAGGGTTCCTTGCTTGACCCAGGAAAAATTCAAGGACAAGCCAGTGGTGTTAGACTGAAACTTTTATTTAATCAGCAGTGTATAGCAACAATGTACTGCTCCTTGCAGTGCAGGGCAACCCCATAGTTAGTGTGCCCAGAGTAGCAGCTCAGAGGCAGTTCTATAGTCATATTTGAACCCATATTTAATTATATGCAAATTAAGGGGCAGCCTATGCAGAAATTTCTAGGAAAAGTATGGTAAATTCCACTTTGTCAGGTCATTTCCATGAAAAGGGGTTGTAACTTTTGGGTCTCGCCATGGTAATGGTAAACTGACATGGCACACTGGTGCGTGTGTTTTATGGAAAGTTGCTTCTGCCCTGTCCCTGTTTTTGCTAGTACTCAATTTGGTCTGGGGTCCAAGCCCTGCCTCTGAAATCAAGTCCCACCTCCTACCTCAAAGCCAACGCTGGCTAGACATCGTTGAGTTTGAGAATGTGTTTCCCTAGAACTACACAGCTTTGTAGTTCAGTTCTTCAGGCTTCATTTTGATGTTTTCCTTTCATCTTAGTCTCTAACTTGTGATAATTTAAAACAATAGCCTTGGGTGGACAAGTGCCAATAATTAGCTACATGCTTGTGGTTGCATCTCAGGTACCTCTTCAGTATAAGTCAGAGGTCCCCAACCCCTTGACCATGGACTGGTACTGGTCTGTGGCTTCTTAGGAAATTTGCTTCACAGCAGGTGAGCAGCAGGTGAGTGAGCAAAGTTTCATCTGTATTTACAGCTGCTCCTAATCACTTGCATTACTGTCTGATCTCTGCCTCCTGTCACATCAGCAGCAGGATTAGATTCTCATAGGACCATAAACCCTAACGTGAACTGCATATGTGAGCGATCTAGGTTGCATGCACCTTATGAAAATCTAATGCCTGATGATCTATCAGTGTTTCCTATCACATCCAGGTGGGACTGTCTAGCTTCAAGAAAACAAACTCAGGGTTACCACTGATTCTGGTGAGTTATATAATTATTTCATTATATATTACAAAGTAATTATAATACAAATAAAGTACTCAATAAATGTAATGCACTTGAATTATCCCAAAATCATCCCCCTCCTTGGTTCCATAGAAAAATTGTCTTCCAGCCAGGCACGGTGGCTCATGCCTGTAACCCCAGCACTTTGGGAGGCTGAGGCAGGCGGATCACTTGAGGTTGGGAGTTGGAGACCAGCCTGGTCAGCATGGTGAAACCCCATCTCTACTAAAAATACAAAAATTAGCCAGGCATGGTGGCAGGTGCCTGTAATCCCAGCTACTTGGGAAGCTGAGGCAGGAGATTCGCTTGAACCCAGGAGGTGGAGGTTGAAGTGGGCCGAGATCATATTGTTGTACTCTAGCCTGGGCAACAGAGTGAGATTCTATCTTAAAAAAAAAAGAAAAGAAAAATTTTCTTCCAAAATACAGGTTTCTGATGCCAAAATGGTTCGGCACCACTGCTATAAGTGATTAAGTTTTCTCCATATTTTTTCATGGCTTAGTAGTGCATTTCTTTTTAGTGCTAAAAAATGTTCCATTTTTAGGATATACCATACTTTATCCACTGATTTACTCAATTACATCTTGCTTGCTTCCAAATTTGGGCAAATATTAATTAGGCTTCTATAAACACCTGTATGCAGCTTTTTGTGTGGATATAAGTTTTCAATTAATTTGGATAAATACCAAGGAGAAACGCTGCCAGATCATATAGTACAAGTATGTTTAGTTTTGTAAGAAACTCCCAAACTGTTGTCCAAGGTGGCTATAACATTTTACATATCCATGAGCAATGAATGAAAATTCTTGTAGATCTGCCTCCTCATGAAAATTTGGTATTGTTAGTTTTGTATATTTGCCATTCTAATAGATGTGTAGTAAAATATCATTGCTGTTTTAATTTACAATCCCATAATGACATATGATGTGGGGCATCATTTCATATGCTCACTTGGCATCTGTATATCTTCTTTCATGAGGTATCTATTCAAGACTTTTGCTCATTTTTTAACCCAGTTGTTCATTTTCTTATTGTTAAGTTTTAGGAGTTCTTCATATATTTTGGGTAGGTCCTTTATCAAATATTTCTTTTGCAAATATGTTATCCAAGACTATACCCTGTCTTCTCAATATTTTGACAGTGCTTTTCACAGAGAAGAAATTTTTAATTTCAATGAAGTCTGACTTATCATGGAGAATGCCTTTAGTGTGGAATCTAAAAAGTCATCATTACACACAAGGTCATCTGGATTTTCTCCTATGTTGTATTCAAGGAGTTTTATACTCTGTGTTTTACATTTAGGTCTATAATTCATTTTAAGTTAATTTTCTGCAAGATGTAATGTCTTTGTTTAGATTCACTTTTTTGTACATGGATGTCCAGTTGTTCCAGCACCATTATTGAAAAGGCTGTTCTTGCTCCATCATAGTCTTTGCTCCATTGTCATGATCAGTTGATTATGTTTATGTGAGTTTATTTCTTGGTTCCTTATTCCTTTCTGTTGGTCTATTTGTATATTCTTTTAACACTATCACACTGTCTTGATTACTGTAGCTTTATAGTAAGTCTTGAAGTAGAGTAGTATCAGTCCTTTGATTTTGTTTTTCTTGAGTATTGAGTTGACCCTTCTGGGTCTTTTTTCTCTATATATTAACTTTAGAAACATTTTGTTGATATTCACAAAATAACTTGCTGGAATTTTGACTGAGATTGCATGGAATCTATAGATTAAGTAGGGAAAAACTGACATCTTGACAATATTGAGTCTTCCTAATCATAAACATGAAATGTCTCTTAATTTAGTTCTTCTGTGATATTTTTATCTGAATTTTTGTGTTGTCTTTATACATACATTGTATGTATTTTGTTACATTTATACCCATTTCTTTTTAGAGGCTGTTCATGAAAATGGTAAAGTTCTTTTAGTTTGAAATTCCACATATTTTCAGTTATTTTGGAAAGAAATTGATGTTTGCATATAAACTATGTATCTTGAAAGCTTGCTATAATAATTTATTTTATTAGATCCAGAAAGTTTTTTGTTCTTACAGATTTTCTACATATATGATAGTATCATCTGAAAAAGGGCCATTTTATTTCTTTCTTTCCAATTTGTGTGGGTTTTATTTCATATTCTAGTCTTATGGCATTAATTAAATTTCCAGTGTGATGGTGAAAGTGTGATGAAAAACTTTAAGAAGATCCAAAGAAGGTCATCATATAATAATAAAGGGGGCCAGGCACGGTGGGTCATGCCTGTAATCCCAGCACTTTGGGAGGCTGACGCCAGTGGATCACGAGGTCAGGAAATTGAGACCCTTCTGGCTAACAAGATGAAACCCTGTCTCTACTAAAAATACAAAAAAATTAGCCAGGCGTGGTGGCGGGTGCCTATAATCCCAGCTACTCCGGAGACTGAGGCAGGAGAATGGTGTGAACCCAGGAGGCGAAGCTTGCAGTGAGCCGAGATTGTTCCACTGCACTCCAGCCTGGGTGACAGAGCTAGACTTCATCTCAAAAAAATAAATAAATAAAAGTAAATAAATAAATAAAGGGGTCAATTCAACAAGAGGATGTAACAATTGTAAATACACATGCACCCAATGCTGGAACACACACACACACACACACACACACACACACACACGAAATATTATTAGAGCTAAAGAGATAGACCTCAATAAAATAATAGCTAGATATATCAGCACCCCACTTTCAGCACTGGACAGATATAACAGACAGAAAATCTGCAAAGAAACATTGGACTTAATCTACACTATAGAACAAAGGGACCTAATCAATATTTATAGAACATTTTTTTCAATGGCTGGAGAATACACATTCTTTTCCTCAGCACATGGATTATTCTCAAAGATACACCATATGATAGGTCACAAAACAAGTCTGAACACATTTTTTAAAATTGAAATAATACCAAGTACCTTACCTGACCACAATCGAATACAACTAGAAGTCAGTTACAAGAGTAATTTTTGAAACTATACAAACAAGTGGAAATTAAATGATATGCTCCTGAATAATCAGTGGGTCAGTGAATAAATTAAGGAGAAATTTGACAAATTTTTTGAAACAAATGATAATGAAAATGTAGCATACCAAAACCTATGGGATACAGTGAAAGCAGTACTAAAGGCAAAATTTATAGCTATAAATGCCTACATCAAAAAAGAAAAAAAATTCTAATAAGTATCCTAATGATGCATGTTAAAGAACTAGAAAAGCAAGAGCAGACTAATCCCCAAACTCGTAGAAGAAAAGAAATGATAGAGATCAGAGCAAAAATGAATAAAATTGAAATAAAAAATACAATAGATCAATAAAAAGGAAAATTGCATTTTTGAAAAGATAAATAAAATTGAGAGACCTTTAGCCAGACTAAGAAAAAAAGGGAGAAGATACAAATAAAATCAGAAGTGAAAAAAGAGACATTATAAATGATACTGCAGACATTTAAAGATCATTAGTGGCTACTATGAGCAACTATATGCCAATAAATTGGAAAATCTAGAGAAAATGAATAAATTCCTAGAATAAATGAATAAATTCCTTGTAAACCTATCAAGATTGAACAATGACAAAATCCAAAACCTGAACAGAACAATAACAAGTAATGAGATCAAAGCTGTAATAAAAAATGTCCCAGTAAGAAAAAGTCCTGGACATGATGGATTCATGGATGAATTCAAGCAAACATTTAAAGAAGAACTAATACCAATCCTACTCAACTATTCCAGATAAATAAAGAAGGAGAAAATGCTTCCAAACTCTTTCTCCTTTTTTGACAGTATTACCCTGATACCAAAAACAGACAAAGACACATCAAAGAAAAAAACAAATAAAAAGTCAGGCCAATATCTCTCATGAATATTGATACAAACATCCTCAGGAAAATACTGGCAAACAGAATTCAGCAATACATTGAAAAGACCATTGCTTGTGACCAAGTGAGATTTATCCCAGTGATGCAAGGATGATCTAACATTCATAAATCAATCAATGTGATACATCATATCAACAGTATAAAGAATAAAGTCATAAGATTTTTTCAATTGATGCTGAAAAAGCATTTGATATAATTCAACATCCCTTAATGGTAAAAACTCTGAAAAAACTTGGTTTAAAATAAACATAGCTCAGCCAGGTGGGGTGGCTCACGCCTGTAATCCCAATACTTTGGGAGATTGAGGCAGGTGGATCATGAGGTCAGGAGATCTTGACCATCCTGGCCAACATGGTGAAACCCCGTCTCTACTAAAATACAAAAAAATAACCAGGCATGGTGGCACGTGCCTGTAATCCCAGCTACTTGGGAGGCTGAGGCAGAGGAATCGCTTGAACCTGGGAGGCGGAGGTTGCAGTGAGCCGAGATCGCCACTGCACTCCAGCCTGGTGAGAGGGCAAGACTCCGTCTCAAAAAATAAAAAAAGGATAAATAAATAAATAAATATAAAAAAATTAAAAATAAACATACCTCAACATAATAAAACCCATAAATGACAGACTCACAGCTAGTATCATAATGAATGGAGGAAAACTAAAAGCTTTTCCTCTAAGATCTGGAACACAACAAGGATGCCCACTTATACCACTGTTATTCAGCATAGTACTGAAAGTCCTAGATAGAGTAATCAAAGAAGAAAAGGAAATAAACAGCATTCTGGTCGGGCATGGTGGTTCATGCCTGTAATCCCAGCACTTTGGGAGGCTGAGGCAGGCAGATCACCTGAGGTCAGGAGTTCGTGACCAGCCTGGCCAACGTGGCAAGACCCCATCTCTACTAAAAATACCAAAATAATAACAATAACAAAAAATAGCCTGGTATGGTGGCACTCACCTGTGGTCCCACCTACTTGGGAGGCTAAGGCAGGAGGATCGCTTGAACCTGGGAGGCGGAGGTTGCAATGAGCTGAGATCCACTGCACTCCAGCCTGGGCGACAGAGCAAGGCTCCGTTTCAAAAAAATAAAAGAAAGAAAGAGCATTGAAATTGGAAAGGAAGAAATCATAGTATCCTTGTTTGCAGGTGACTTGTTCTTATATTTGTAAAGACCTAAAGTTAATACCAAAAAATTATTAGAACTGATAAATTCAGTAAAGTTGCGGAATACAAAATTGTCTGTCATACAAAAACAGTAGCATTTCTATATGCCAACAGTGAACAATGCAAAAAATAAATTTAAAAAGCAATCTCATTTGTAATATCTGCACATAAAATTAAAATTAAATACCTAGGAACTAACCAAAGAAGTTAAAGACCTCTACAATGAAAACTACAAAATATTGATAAAAGAAATTGAAACTGGCACCAAAAATGCAAAAATATTCCATGTTTATGGGTTGAAAGAGTCAACATTGTTAAAATGTCCATGCTCCCTGAAGCAATCTACAGATTCAATGCAATCCTTATCAAAATATCAATGACATACTTCACAGACTTTTTTTTTAATCCTAAAATTATATGAAACACAAAAGACCCAGAATAGCCAAAGTTATCCTGAGCCAAAAGAACAAAACTGGAAGAATGACATTAGCTGACTTCAAATTGTATTACGCAGAAATAGTAACAAAAACAGCCTATCAGCATAAAAACAGACACATATAACAATGAAACAAAATAGAGAACCCAGAAACAAATCCACACACCTACAATGAACTCGTTTTTAACAAAGGTGCCAAGACCATACATTGGGGAAAAGCCAGTCTCTTCTATAAATGATGCTGGAAAAACTGGATATCCATATGAAGAACAATAAAAGTAGACCTCTATCTCTTACCATATACAAAAATCAAATCAAAATGGTTTAAAGACTTAAATCTAAGACCTCAAACTATGAAACTACTGCAAGAAAACATAAGGGAAAATCTCCAGGACATTGATATGGGCAAAATTTTTTGGGTAATACGCACAAGCACAGGCTACCAAAGCAAAAGTGGACAAATGGGATCGTATCAAATTAAAAAGCTTCTGCACAGAAAAGAAGACAATAAACCAAGTAAAGAGACAACCCTCAGAATGAGAGAAAATCCTTGCAAACTACTCTTCTGAGAAGGAATTAATAACAAGAGGCTCAAAAAACTCTATAGAAAAAGAATCTAATTATCCAACTAAAAATGGGCAAAATATCTGAATAGACATTTCTCTAAAGAAGACATAGAAATGGCAAACAGGAATATGAAAAGGTGCTCAATATCATGGATAATCAAAGAAATGCAAAACAAACTGCAATATGATATTATCTACCCAATTAAAATGGCTTATATCCAAAAATCAGGCAATAAAAAATACTGGTAAAAATGTGGAGAAAAGGGAACATTTGTACACTTGTTGGTGGGAATGTAAATTGGTACAACCATTATGAAGAACAGTTTGGATGTTCCTCAAAGAACTAAAAATAGAGCAACCACAGGATCCAGCAATCCCTCTGCTGGATATATACCAAAAAAAAAAAAAGGAAAATAAGTTTATCAAAAAGATATCTGCACTCCCATATTTGTTGCAGCACTATTCACAATAGCCAATATTTGGAAACAACCTAAGTGTCTAACAGAAGTTTGAATAAAGAAAATGTGGTACTTATACACAATGGAGTACTACTCAGCCATAAAAAGAATGAGTTCCTATTATTTGCAACAATATGGATGGAACTGGAGTTCACTATGTTAAGCGAAACAAGCCAGGCATAGAAAGACAAATGTTGCATGTTTTCCTGTATTTGTGGGATCTAAAAATTAAAATAGTTGAAATAATGGAGATAGAAGAAGGATGGATATTGTAGGCTGGGAAGGGTAGTGGGGTGATTTGTGGTGGAAGTGGGATTCTAATAGGTGCAAAAAGGTAGTTAGAAAAAATGTAAGATATAAAATTTGCTAGCGGAACAGGGTGACTATAGTCAATAATAACTTAATTCTACATTTTAAAATAACTAAAAGCATAATTTAATTGTTTATAACACAAAGGATAAATGCCTGAGGGCATGGACACTCCATTTACCACCATTTTTTTCCCATCAACTTTTAAGTTCCTGGATACATGCGCAAGATGTGCTGGTTTGTTACATAGGTAAACGTATGCCTTGGTGGCTTGCTGCAAATATCAACCCATTACCCAGGTAGTAAGCCCAGCATCCGTTAGTTATGCTTTCGATTTCCCCGCTCTCCCCGGCAGGCCCCAATATGTGTTGTTCCCCGCTATGTGTCCATGTGTTCTCATCATTCAGCTCCATTTACCATAATAAATAATCAAATGATTATTATGTATTGCATGCCTGTATGCAAAATTTCTTAATTCCTCACAAGCACAGGCAATCAAAGCAAAAATGGATAAATGGGATCACATCAAGTTAACTATGGTATGAAAGTATCTCATTTACCCTATAAATATATACACCTAGCATGTAATCACACAAATTTAAAAGAGAAAAAGTATGATGAAAAGAGACATCTTTTTATTATTCCTGAACTTTGCAGGAAACCTTCATGTTTTTCTTCATTAAGTATGATGTTATCTGTTAGTTTTTTGTCAATGTTCTTTATCAAATTGAGGAAGTTCCCCTTCCTATTCCTAGTTTGCTTAATTTTTAAAAATCATATATAAGTGTTGATTTTGTCAAATGTTTTTACTGAATTTATTGATATGATCATGTGATTATTTTTCTTTAGGCTGTTGATGTAATTGATTACCTTAATTGACTTTTGGATGTTGAACTAGACTTGCATACCTGGGATAAATCTCACTTGTTGGTCAGGTATAATACTTCTTATACATTGTTGTATTCAATTTGCTAATTTTTAAGGATTTTTGCATTTATCTTTATGACAGATATTGCTGTGTATGTTTTTCTTGTAATTTTTTTGGTATTAGGGCAATACTAGCCTCATAATATGAGTTAAGAGGTATTATCTCGGCTTCTACTGTCTGGAAGAGAGAATAGAGTATTTGGTATAATTTCTTTCCTAAATATTTGGTAGAATTCACCAGTGGACCCATCTATATGGCTCACTGCTTAATGTTTTGGAGGGCTAATAATTATTGAGCCAATTTCCTTAAATGGAACAGGCCTTATTCAAGTTGTCTATTTCTTTTTGTGTGAATTTGGGAAGGTCGTGTCTATCAAGGAATTGGTCCAGTTTATCTAGGTTATCAAATCTTTGGATATATAAATGTTCGTAATAGTTTTTGATTACTCTTTTAATGTGCATGTGCATGGGATCTGAAGTGATGAGCCACTTTTTTATTTCTGATATTAATAAGTTATGTCTTCTCCTTATGTTCTTAGCGTGGCTACAGGTTTATCAATTTTATTGATCTTTTCAAAGAAACTGCTTTTGCATGTGTTGCTTTTTCTACTGATTTTCTATTTTCAGTTTTTGACTTCCAATCAAATGTTTATTATTTGCTTTTTCTGCTTACTTTGAACTTAATTTGCACTTATTTTCCTACCTTGGAAGCTTGAATGATTGATTTTAGATCTTTCTTGATTTCTAATATGTGCATTAAATGATGTAAATTTCCTACTAAGCACTGCTTTTGCTGTATCTCACATATTTTAGGAAGTTCCATTTGAATTTAATTCAGATTGAGTTTTAATTTCTTTTGAGGTTTCTTCTTTGACTTATGTGTTATTTAGAAGTGTGTTGTTTAATTTCCAAATATTTGGGAGTTTTACAGCTATTTTTCTATTAATAATTTCTAGTTTACTTTCATTGTAGCATGAGAACATTTATCTTCTTTTTAATTTGTAAGAGTGTGTTTTATGGCCCAGGATTTGATTTATATTGTGTATATTCCATGTGAGTTGGAGAATAATGTACAATTTAATGGTTTTCGCTAAAATAGTGTATAGATTGCGATTATATCGAAATGATTGATGGTGCTATCGTGTTCAACTTTGTTCTGATTAATTTCCTGCCCATTGAATCTGTTCATCTCTGATAAAGAGATGTTAAGATTTCCAAATATAATAGTATATTCATCTGTATCTTCTTACAGTTTTGTCAGTTATTGCATCATGTATTTTGATTATTTATTGTTATGTGTATACACTTTAGGAATTGTTGTGTCTTCGTAGAGACTTACCCTTTTCATTGTTATTTAATGCCCTTCTTTATCCTTGATAGCTTTCTTTGCTCTACATTCTGCCCTGCCTAAAATTAATATCACTGTTTCAGCTTTCTTTTGATTAGTGTTAGCATAGTATATCTTTCTCCATCTCTTTACTTTTAATCTGTATGTGTTTTTATGTTTAAAGTGGGTTTCTCGTAGGCAACAATATAGCTGAGTCTTGTTTTTAATTCATTCTGATAAGGTCTGTCTTTTAATTGGGAGATCATTGGAGTTAAAGGTGATTATTAGTATATTTAGAATATTATCTACCATATTTATTACTATTTTCTATTTTATCTCCTGTTCTTTGTTTCAATATTTTATTTCATACTTTTTCTGCCTTTGATAGTTTTAAGTGAGCATTGTATATGACCTCATTTCTTAACATACCAATTACATTTTTACTTTTATTATTGTTGTTATATATTTTTTACTATCATTTACAACTAATCCAAATCCACTTTATTTATTTATTTATTTATTTATTTATTTATCTATTTATATTTTTGTAGAGATGGGGTCTCTCTATGTTGCCCAGGCTGGTTTTGAACTTCTGGCCTCATGTGATCCTCTGCCTCAGGCTCTCAAAATGCTAGGATTACAGGCATAAGCCACTGCACCTGGCCAAGTCCACTTTCAAATAACCCTACTCCACTACACAGGTAGGTTAATTACCTTATAATGACAAAATATTTCTCATTCTTTTATTTCTTATAACATTACCCTCATTTATTTATACACATGCATACATAAGCACATATATATATATATATATATATATATATATATATATATATATATTTGCTTTGCTTTGTTTTACCCCTTTTAGTATGCCTTGTAATCTTTTGTTGAAAGCAAGACATTATACACTGGGTAAGAGGAACTATTAGTAAATAAGCCATTCATAATGTATGGAAAGATGTGGCAGGGCAAAAGTGATATCGATTGAATGTTGTCTCCTCTAAATCGCCTGTTGAATTGTAATCTTCAGTGTTCGATATGGGGCCTGATGTATGGTGATTGAACCATGGGGCAGTTCCCTCATGAATGGCTTCATGCCATCCCCTTGGTGATGAATGAGTTTACATGAGATCTGGTTGTTTAAAATGTGTGGCACCTCCCCCTTCTCTCTTTTTTCTCCCACTCTTGTCATGTAATATGCCCACTCCCTTTTCACCTTCCACCATAATTATAAGCACCCTTGGGCCTTTCCAGAAGCCAAGCTGATGTCAGCACTATGCTTCCTGTACAGCCAGCAGAACCATGAGCCAATCAAACATGTTTTCTTCATAAGCTACCCAGTCTCAGGTATTTCTTTACAGTAATACAAAAACAGCCTAATACAGAAAATTGGTACCAGGAGTTGCTGTTTAAACAAAAATACCTTAGAATGAGGAAGAGCTTTGGATCTGGGTAATAGGTCATGGTTTGAAGAGTCTGGAGGGCTCAGAAGAAGACAAAAAGATAAAGGGAAATGTGGAACTTCTTAAAGACTGATTAATTCATTATGACCAAAAGGTTGATAGTGATATAGACAGTGAAGTCCAGGCTGACGAGGTCTCAGATGGAAATAAGGAACTTATTGGAAACTGGAGCAAAGGTCATCTTTGTTATGCATTAGTAAAGTACTTGGCTATATTGTGTTCATGCCCTAGGAGTCTATGGAAGTTTAAACTTAAAAGTGATGACTTACGGTATCTGGTGGAAGAAATTTCTAAGGAGCAAAGCATTTAAGATTTTGCCTGGCTGCTTCTAACAACCTACTCTCAGATGCAGGAGCAAATAAATGACTTAAAGTTGGAAGTTCTATTTAAAATGGAAGCAGAGCATAAAACCTTAGGAAATTTGCAGCCTGACCATATGGCAGAGAAAGGAAACACCTTTGCATTGGGGGAGAATCCAAACAGGCTGCAGAGAAACCACTTACAGAGATATTAGTATGACTAAAACAGAGCCAAGTGCTAATAGCCAATAGAATGCAAAAAAGTCCTTGAAGGCATTTCAGAGATCTTTGAGGCAGTCCCTTCTCTTATCACAGGCCCAGAGACCTAGGAGTAAAAAATAGTTTCGTGGGCCAGGCTCAGGCCTCTGCTGTTCTGTTCACCCTTGGGACACTGCTCCCAGCATCCAAGCCATTTGTGCTCCAGCCTCAGCTGAAAGGGTCCCAGATAAAGCTTGGGCTGCTGCTTCAGAGGGTGAGGGTGCAAGCTGTAAGACTTAGTGGCCTTCCTGTGATGTTAAGCCCGCAGGCTCACTGAATAAAAGAGTGAAGGGCCGGGCGCAGTGGCTCACGCCTGTAATCCCAGCACTTTGGGAGGCCGAGGTGGGCGGATCACGAGGTCAGGAGATCAAGACCATCCCGGCTAAAACGGTGAAACCCCGTCTCTACTAAAAATACAAAAAATTAGCCGGGCGTAGTGGCGGGTGCCTGTAGTCCCAGCTACTTGGGAGGCTGAGGCAGGAGAATGGCGTGAACCCGGGAGGCGGAGCTTGCAATGAGCCGAGATCCCGCCACTGCACTCCAGCTTGGGTGACAGAGCGAGACTCCATCTCAAAAAAAAAAAAAAAAAAGAGTGAAGGAGGCTTGGCAGACTCCACCTATCTATCAGAGGATGTATGAGAAAGCCTGGATGCCCAGGCAGAAGACTCCTGCAGGGAAGGAACCCTCACAGAGAACCTCTACTAGGGCAGTGCAGAGGGGAAAGATGGTGTCAAAGGCCCCACACAGAGTCCCCAGTGGGGCACTGCTTTCTGGAGCTGTGAGAAGGAAGTCACAGCCTTCGGTATCCCAGAATGGTAGATGCACCAGCAGCTTGGGCTCTGCCTGTGGAAAAGCCACAGGCACTCAACTCCAATCTGTGGGAGCAGCCATGGTGGCCATATCCTGCAAAGCCTCACAGGCAGAGCTCCCCAAGTACTTGAGAGCCAACCCCTTGCTGCTGTGTGCCCTGGATGTGGAACACAGAGTCAAATAAAATTATTTTGGAGATTTAAGATTCAATGACTGCACTGTGGGGTTTCAGACTTGCATGGGGCTTGGTGCCTCTTTCTTTTGACCCATTTCTCCCTTTTGAAATGGGCATGTTTAACCAATGCCTATACCTCTTTGTATCTTCGAAGTAAGTAAGTTGCTTTTGATTTTACAAACTCATAGGTGGAAGGGTATTGCCTTGTCTCAGATAAGACTTTGGTCTGTGAACTTATGTGTTAATGCTGGGAATAGTTGAGACTTTTGGGGGCCTATTGACAGAGGATGATTGTATTTGGCATTGTGAGGAGAACGTGAGATTTGAGGGGCCAGGGGAAACATGATATAGTTTGGATGCTGTTCCCTCACAATCTCATATTGAATTGTAATCCCCATTGTTGGAGGTTAGGCCTGATAAGAGTTAATTGGGTCATAAGAATGGATCCTTCATGAATGACTTAGTGTCGTCCCCTTGGTGATGAGTAATTTTACATGAGATATGGTCGTTTAAAAATATGTGGCACCTCTCCCTTTGCTCCCATTTTTGCTGTGGAACACTGGCTCCCCCTTCACCTTCTGCCATGATTGCAAGTTTCCTGAAGTCTCACCAGAAGCTAAGAAGATGCCAGTGTAATGCTTCTTGTAGAGCCTGCACAACTGTGAGACAATTAAACCTGTTTTCTTCATAAATTACCCAGTTGCAGATATTTCTTTATAGCAATGCAAAAACGGCCTAAGACAGGAAGCATTCTACCATCCTATGATTAGGTTAAGTGAGCTTGTGCTCCTAGACTGAACTTTACAAGAGCTTCTCATCACTTCCATCACTCCTAGGTGGGACAGGATGTCTGGAGGGTGCTGGAATTGTGTATTTCTTTCCCCCATGTGGAAGGCAAGGACTAGTTGGAGTTGGGTCTGCCTTTTCCTCCAGGTTGGTTAGGCTATGATAAAACTCCAGCCAGTTAGGCTCTTGTAAAATGATTTTTCCTAAAGGGAAGCCATTTTAAGAACAGAATGGTCTGGCATATTTCAAAATTTTTCCCTTTTCTCCTGCTGAAAGCAACAGGGGATTTTTCTCTGATATCCTCTGTGGGGACCTGGTCAAACTCCTGGAGGTAAAACTCACATAAGTGTAGGGTCCCCCCCATGACTGGATCTTCATGGCATTTTTAACTCAGGGTTATTTATGCTGAGCCTCCAAAAATTTATCAATTACTGTTCAGGCTTTCCTACACCAGCACTAGTTCCCTGGATGTATCTGTTCCAGTAACTGTGATTCTCCGTATCTGCCTGTCTCTCCATTCATAAAGAAAGTATTTTGCCCTGCGACTGCACCTCTTTAACAAATCTAAGAAAAGTTAGTGTTTTTTTTTTCTTTTTAAGTTTGCTCATCTTTTCACTTGTTAGGATGAAGTGGTGACTTCTAAGCTCCTTACATGCTACACTGAAAATCAAAAGTCTGTAGATTTCTTTGGCATAAATTTTATATACAGAATACAAAAATTGTATATACATATAAGATTTTAGATGTACAGAAAAGTTGCTAAGTCATAACATAGGGTTCATGTATGCTTCAGACTCAATATTACCTGTTGTTAACATCTTACATTACCATTGTAGATTATCACAACTAGTGAAACATTATTGATGGACTATTATTATATAACGTTTGAGCTTTGTACAAGTGCCCTTTACTTTTACCTAGCGTCCTTTTTATGTTCCTGACTCATGCAAGGGACCACATTACATTTAGTAATCATGTCTTCTTAGGCTTCTTTCTTGCTGGGGAAGTTTATCAGGCTTTCCTCTTTTTTTTTATGACAGCATTAGGGTGTATTTATCACTGATTTTTGTAGAAAGTCCCTCAATTGGGGTTTGTCTAATGTTTTTCTCAATGTATTTTTGGGAAGAATAACACAGAGGTAAAGTGCTATTCTCATCAAATTATATCAAGGATGCGTGATATCAGCATGACTTACCACTGACGTTAACCATGATCCCCTCTCTCATGTATTGTTCTTCAAATTTATTGTTAAAAAGTTACTTCCCCTGCAACCCTTTTTTATATTCTATTCTCTGGAAGCAAGACCACATGCAATGGAGGATCGGAGGTTAAGCCCCACCTCTGGAAAGGAGAGTATCTGCATAAATTATTTGGAATGTTACTGCTAGGAAGGTTTGCCTATTCTCCCACATTTATTTATTTATTCATTCATTTATCTACATCAGTATAAACACATAAAGATTTATTCTTTGTGTTACAACCCAATACTATATTACTTATTTTGTGGTAAAAATTGTTACAACTTTGATTATTGGAAGATCTTTCAGGTTAGCTCCTGTGTCCCTTTATAATGCCTCCATCTTTTTATTTTCTGAGTACTACTTTTCTTTCTGACCCTAAAAGATGTTTCAGGCTTATCTTGCTTATTTTATACCACAGCTGTAATATCAATGATTTCTTCTAAGATTTCTTAATTTTTTAATTGGGAAATGGTACCTAGAAGCCTAGATATGTGTACTGGAGTGATTAATACTACTAGAGTCATTGCTTTCAAGTCCTCTCAGTTGACACAGTTAGAAATATATATGTAAGGATACTAACCCACGTATACACACATATCTACCTTTATTTCCATATTTGTCCATCTGTATCTATTTAAGCTATACACGTTTACACTGATTCTCTTACCATATTGAAGTTTCATATGGTTTTTTCTAGCCTTAACCCTTCGCTTTTCTGGAACTTCTGTCTTCAACCTTGAGAAGTTTAGCTCCCACCATCTATTTCTTATTTACTTACAAGTTCAATCCCAGTACTTATGTAAAGCAATTACAGAATTGTTAAACTATAATTCTGCCAGAAACAACTTTACCAACCAGCCAATAGTGTTTTTGTAAAGTTATTTTTGTATTTAGCCCTAAAGTTTGCAGTCAAATCACCATTTTTCAGCATTACTCCATTACATATGTCAACTTTTTGTTCCCTCCAACCCCTTCAGTGAGGTCATATTGTTACAATATAGATTTTGTATTTCATCCTTAGATTCCAAATCTACTGGTTGATTTTTTTAAATTTTGCATACATTGATGTTCAGTCTTTGTTATGTAAAGTTCTGTTCTGTATTTAGACAAATGCATAGCATTATGTACTTACCACTTCAGTGTCACACAGAATAGTTACATTACCCTGACAATTATCCTGTGCATCCCTTTGTTGTCAACCCTGCCCTATGAAAAAAGGGGGGAAACAAAATGTTTTTTCTGACCTCATATTTTTGTCTTTTCTAGAATGTCATATAAATGAAATCATTCAATATGTAGATTTTTAGTCTGTTTTTTTTTAATTTAGCAAAATGCATTTACATTTCATTCACATTGTTGCATAAATTAATACTTGGTTCATTTTTATCACGAAATAATATGTTGTTTTATGGATGTAACACAGTTTGCTTTTCCACTCACCTATTAGAAGACCCTTTGTTGGTTCTAATTTTAGGTGATCATGAGTAAAAGTGTTATAAACACTTTCATACAGGTTTTTGTGTGAACACGAGTTTTCAGTTCACTGGGGTAAATATCTAGGGCTGTTATTAACGGGCCCTTTAATAATTCTGTTTGTTTGTTTTTACTTTATAAGTAACTACCAAACTGTCTTCAAAGAGGCTGTATTATTTTGCATTCCCATCCATGAATGAAGTATCCTGTTATTTCACAAACTTGCAAGCATTTGGTGTTGTCAGTTTTATTTTTTAATTTGCATTTGCCTAATAACACATGATGTTGAGTGTCTTTTCATATGCTTATCTTCTATCAGTGTATCTTTAGTGAAGTGTATGTTTGGGTTTTTTATCCATCATTTTATTTTTTCCCCTAATTGTTGAGTTTTAAGTGTTCCTTGTATATTCTGGATAAAACTTTGTTTATATCTGATATGTGATTTGAAAACATTTTCTCTTAATCTGTCTTATCTTGTCATTCTTTTAGCAATGTATTTTGCAAAGCAAAAGATTTTAGGTTTGATAAAGTTTAATGTGTTTTTTTTCAGGGATCATGCTTTTGATATTATGTCTAAAAGCTCATTGTCAAACACAAGGTCACGTAGAATTGGTCTTATAATTTCTTCTAAAGGTATTAGACTTTTTCATTTTGACAATTGGGTTAATGATCCATTTTGAGTTAATTCTTATGTAAAGTGTGAGATATAGGTATAGAATTTTTTCATATGGTCATCAGAAAATGTTAGCACATTTGGTAAAAAGGCTATCTTTTTTTATTAAATTTTTAACACTTTTCAAAAATCAGTTCATTGTACGAGTCTATTTCTGGGATCTTTGTTCTCTTCTACTGATTTATGTATATTATTTCACCAATACCACACTGTTTTAATTATTGTGCTTTATAGTAAGTCTTAAAATTGGATAATGTAAGTGATCAAACTTTTTTCTTATTTTTTTTACAATCTTTTTACTAGCCTGCTGCCTTTGAATTCTCATGAAAAGTTTAGGATTACTTTGTCAATATCTACAAAAAAAACATGCTAATATTTTGTTAGAAATGTGTGAAATCTGGCTGGGCACAGTGGCTCATGCTTGTAATCCCAGCACTTTGGGAGGCCAAGGTGGGTGGATCACCTGAGGCCAGGAGCTCAAGACCAGCTGGGCAACATGGTGAAACACCGTTTCTACTAAAAATACAAAAATTAGCCAGGCAGGGTGGTGAACATGTAATCCCAGCTACTCAGGAGGCTGAGGCATGAGAATCCTTTGAACCCAGGAGGTGGAGGTTGCAGAGAGCCAAGATCACACCACTGCACTCCAGCCTGGGCGATAGAGTGAGACTTCATCAAAAAAAAAAAAAAAAAAAAAAAAAAAAGAAAAGAAAAGTGTGCAATCTGCAAAGAAATTGGGGAGAATTGACTTCTTAACCATATAGTTGACAGTCAACTGATCTTTGACAAAGGAGCCAAGAACACACAATGGGAGAAAGAGTCTTTTCTATAAATAGTTTTGGGACAACTGGATGTGACCTGCAGAAAAATGAACTTGAACCATCATCTCACACCATATACAAATATCAACTCAAAATGAATTAAAGACTTAAACATAAGACCAGAAAGTATAAAACTACTGGAAGAAAACATAGAAAAAATTCTCTTTGCATTGCTCTGGGCAATGACTTTTTGGATATGCCACCAAAAGCACAGACAACAAAAGCAAAAATAGACAAAATAGATTGCATCAAACTAAAAAGCTTCTTTCTAGCAAAGGAAACAGTCCACAGGGTGAAAAAACAACCTACATAATGGAAGAAAATATTAACAAACCACACAGGTGATAAGGAAATAATATTCAAAATGAATCCCCTATATGGCAACTCAAACAACTCAATAGCAAGAAAACAAATATTCCAATTAAAAACTAGGTGAGAAAACCTAAATAGACATTTCTCAAAAGAATTACATACAAATGGCTAACAGGTGTAAAAGAAGAATAAATATTGTGACCCCCAAATCACTAATCCAAATAGAAAAGTCAATCTGGGAACTGGGTCAGACAAAACTAACTCCCATTTCTTTCCTAAGTAAGATAGCTACAAAGATTAAAATGTTACATACTTACCTCACAATTTGCCCACAGGAAAATTCCTTGTGGGCCTCAAGATCTTTACCTTAAAACAGTTCTGTTGAATTTCACCCTCGCAATGTAAATTGATAGCTTATCTTCACAGCTGCAGGACAAAGGACAGAACTCAAAGTCATCCCTCTGCTCACCTGAGAAAAATGCATATCTCATTGCCTTCTCTGCCCTATTGTTTATGTAAAATGCAGTTACACTGAGCCACACTAAGGCATAAGTGACTATTCCTCTACCTCCCTCTCACATAAATTGTGTATTCAGTGAAAGGCTGATCAAAGACTCTAAAGAATGCAACAGTTTTTCTATCTACCTATGACCTGGAAGCCTCCACTTCGAGTTGTTCTACCTTTCCTGATCAAACCAATGTACATCCTATACATATTAACTAATGTCTCATGTCTCTCTAAAATGTATAAAAGCAAGTTGTACCACAACCACTTTAGGCAATTGTCATCAGCACCTCCTGAAGCTGTGTCATGTATATATCCTTAACCTTGGAAAAATAAACTTTCTAAATTGATAAAGTATGTCTCAGATGCTTTTGGTTTACACAGGTATATGAAAAAATGCTTAATGTCACTACTCACTAGGGAAATGCAAAACATTGAAAAAAAACACAGTGTGGTATCACCTAACACCTGTTAGAGTGGCTCTTATTAAAAAGACAAAACATAAATATTATCAAGGGTATGTAGAAAGGGGAACACTTTTACCCTTGGTTGGAATGCAAATTGCTACAACCATTAAGAAAAACAGTATGGAGGTTTCTCAAAAAAAAAAAAAAGAGAGAGAAAAGAGAGAGAGAGAACTACCCTACAGTATAGCAATTTCACTCCTCTGGATACATATATCCAAAGGAAGTGAAATCAGTCTGTTGAAGAGATATTTGCACTCTCGTGTTTATTACAGCATTAGTCACAGTAGCCAAAATGTAGAATCAACTTAAGTGTCCATAAATGGATGAAAGGATAAAGAAAATGTGATATACATACATATATATATATATGCACATGTATTATATATAATATATATAAGCACATGAGCATATATATATTATATATATATATATACACACACACACACACACACACGAGCATATATATATATACAATGGAATATTATTTAGCCTTTGAAAAGAAGGAAATTCTGTCGTTGGTGACAATGTGGATGAACCTGGAGAATACTAGGCTAAGTCACATGAGCCAGGCACAGAAAGACAAATACTGTGTCATCTCACTTATATGTGGAATCTCAAAAAGTTGAACTCGTAGAACCAGACAGCACATTGATGGTTGCCAGGAGCTGGGGATGGCGGGTAAGGGTGGTTGGGAGATGTTTGTCAAAGGACACAAAGTTTCAGTTAAACAGGAGGAAGAAATTCTGAGATCTGATATATAGCAGAACGACTATAGTTGATAATAATGTATTGCATACTTGAAAATTCCTAAGACAGTAGGTCTTAAATGTTCACATCACAAAACAATGATAACTATGTAAGGCATAGGTATGTTAATTAGCTTGATTTAATCATTTCCCATTGGGTATAGATATCAAAACATCATGTTGTACACCATTTTAAAAAGAAATTCTGATTATAAGAGACAGTGTGGTCTACAGCCATACCACCCTGAATGTGCCCAATCTTGTCTGATCTTGGAAGTGAAGCAGGGTTGGGCCTGGTTATTACTTGAATGGGAGAGTGTGTTCACATGCTAACGTATAAAAAAGACCTACATGCCAAGAACACAGGAGAATTCACTGGCTAGACTGTGGGGAGTGTGAGAACCAAGGCAGCTTCACAGTTATGGCTACATTCTCTCCTCTGCCCTCCTATACTCTCCTTTCTTGCCCTCCTCTTTCCTTCCCATCCCTTTTTCTCCTCTGGCTTTCTTGTTAACTTTCTTCCCTCCGATTGGCTTTTTGTGCATATCCCACCTTCTTTCCCTCATTTTTTGTTTGCATTTGCATATGCTTCATCTTCACCCTGGATTGTTAACCCTCCTCTTCTTAGCTTGGATAGATTCTGTCTGCTTTTTTTAGAGTCTTCTCAGGTGCAGCCTTTTCCAGGTAGTTTCTTTTGATCCTCCAAGGCTGAGAGAAGTGACCAACCTGTGAGGTCTCATGATAGCTAGTTCTAACTATTCCATCTTAAGTCTTTTCACTCTGTGTTATAATTGCCTGGCTATTTGTCTCTTTTCTCCACTGCACTGTGAGCCCCTTAAAGGCAGGGATTCTTCCTTGTACCTCCAGTGCTTTACACAGAGCATGGAAAAAAATGGAAAAAATATAGACTTTTCCATTCCATCAACATGGTATATTTTCTATTTCTTTACATTTTTAAAATGATTTTCCTTCAGTGTTTTTTTACTTTTTCACATACAGATCCTGCACATTTATGTTAGGTATATGTGTAAGTACTTTTTAAACTTTTTTTCAATGCTATTGAAGATGATGTGTCTTCTTTCATTATTTTGGATTCAAATTTTTCATGGTTAGCATATAGGAAATCAATTGACTTTTAAAATATTGACCTTGCTTCCTACAACCATGTTAATCTCTTTTTAAAAGTTATTTCCAGGAGTGTTTTATAGATAATTTAAAAGTTTCCACATAAATCATGTTGTCTATGAATGAAGGAAGTTCTATTTCTTCTTTGCCAATCTGTATGCCTGCTAGATATTTTTTCTCTTATTTATCTAGATTGGACTTCCAGTACAAGATTGAGTAGTAGTGGTGAGATAAAGCATCCCTGCCTCAGTCTCTCACTCATCTTTTATTAGATTAAGGAAGCTCCCATGTATCCCTAGTTTTTGGAAAAGTAAGTTTTCTTGTTGTTGTTGTTGTTTATTTTGTTTTGTTTTATTTTTCCTTAAAAGGAATGTGTATTCACTCATCCAGTATTATAACTATGTTTTTTTTTAATTAAGCTACTTTCAATAGATATATTGAGAAGGGTTTAGGATATTTAAAACTTTCTTAAATTTATTCTTAAAAGTGCTTTTAGAATTTCACAAAAACTTTTGTAGTTCCCTAGTTATTATATATGCCAAAAATTTGCTTTTTAATATTCTATTTAAAAAATTCAATTAATAAAAATGAATAAGCTTGTTCTTTCAAGCAATTTTCTTCCGGTAACATACTTAGGTGCTTATTTTATGTCTCCTATAAAAGAAGTTGTGATAGCAGTTGAAAGCACGTTATGCCAAATATATATTTTTGAGGGCTACTATTTTATACATGTTATAAAGCTATTCTCTTTGAGCACAAATAAACGAAGTGAGTAGCGTAAGTATTCAGATTCAATCTATTTTACTAGTCAAGAATTGTAACAGCTGCCTCACACAAATGTGACTAGATTACTTGTTTTCCTTCAGAAATGAAGAATTTAAGTAGCTTTCATCAGAATAATGAAATAGAAACCCAAGAGCTAGTTCCCACAGATACTAGGGTTCATAGAATAAGAGTTAGCTTTACCTCCACAGTCTCCACAGGAATAACACAGAACAAAACTCACTACCATTCATTGGCTAACTGAATATTATTTTTAAAGTGAAATTTAATTAAACCTGTAACACATATATATGACCCTCATGCACTCAAAAATGTGTGTACAACTTTTGACTCTGTAAAAACTTAACTACTAATAGCGTATTATTGACCAGCAGCCTTAGAAATAATATAAACAGTTAATTAATATATATTTTGTATGTTATATGAATTAAATACTGTTATTCTTAAAGTAAGCTAGAGAGAGGAAAATGTTATTAAGAAAATCATAAGGGGCTTAAGATGGTAGCTCTGGATTGGGGTGGCTAGTGACTGGGGAGGCACTGAGGAGGCGTGGGACCATGGTGGCAGCCAAGAAGTGGAGTCCAGAGAATGGAGAAGAGGAGGAATTGAAGGCAGAGATGTTGATTCCAGTAGAATTGTCAGGATTTTCTCAAAATGTGAAAATAGATGCAAGATTTGGAGAATTTACAACGAGAGGCCCATTCTGCAAGTGGACAGCTATCTCTTTGCTGGGGAGTACAAAGACACTCTTGGGACCTATGCTATATTTGAAGAAAATGTTGAAAATGTAGATGCAGAAGGCAATAATAAAACAGTGCTAAAATATAAATGCCATACAATGAAGAAGCTCAGCATGGTAACTCTTCTGACAGAAAAGAAGGAAGGAGAAGAAAATATAGGTGGGATGGAATGACTGATAATCAGGAAAATGATTTCTCCTATAGACCCAAAATGATTTGTAGCCTTCTACATAAAAATGAAGATGAAGAAGTAGGTAGCTTCAACTCCAGATAAACTTTTGGAGGTGGAAGAGCAAGAGATTAAAGTGGAAGAGCAAGAGATTCAAATGGAAGTTAGTTCAAACCTGAGTTATGGACAGGAGAAACCACTGCACTTGGAAATAGAGGTTTCTGGTTATGTTGCTGACATCTCTTCTAAAACAGAAGGTTCTGTTTTTATGGAAACTTAAAATGCTGCCTTACAAACCACTCCTAGATAAAATGGTTCCCATAATAACTAGTCATGATATTTTTGAAGTTTTTATATAAAAATAATTGGCTTTGTAGCTTTCAATTGTTACTATTTTGTCATTTTTGTTGGCTAAACACACATTTCCAGTTATAGCACAACTTAATATACCAGAATCATTCAGGATCAGACATGAATTGAACTTTAAAAAATATAGTTTAAATGACTTTAGGGACCCTTCTTTGATAACTCCTTTAAATTTGAGGTTTTATTAAGGTAAATGTGTATATTTTCTATTGTAAATGTTACAAATTACCACAAAGTCAGTATCTTAAAACAGCACAAATATATTGTCTTAAAGTTTTATAGGTCAGAAATCTGACATGAGTCTCATCTGAGCTAAAATAAAAATATTGTCAGGACTGCTTTCCTTTTTGGAGGCTCTGGCGGTAGGGGTAGAAGGATGAATCCATTTTCTTGCTTATCAGTTGTTGGAAGAATTCAATTATTTGCAGTTGAAGGATCAAGGTCCCACTTCCTTGCTGTCTGTCAGCTGAGGGCCATTTCTAGTTTACAGAGGCGGTCCACATTTCTTGGCTCATGGCCCCCTTGTTTTCAGAGCCAGCAATAGTAGGTCAAGTCCCTCTCACATTTTGAATCTTTCCTGTTGCTTCATCCATCATCCATCTCTCTGACCTACCCCTGTCTTCCACTTCCACTTTTAAAGGTCCATTTGATTACATTGGGCCTACTCAGATAATCTCCCTATTTTAAGATCTGTAACCTTAATTCCATCTACAAAGTCCCTTTGGCATTTAACTTAACATACACAGGCATAAAACCAGGGATTAGGGCGTGGAAATATTGGGGTGCCATTTTTCAGTCTACCACAATAAGTATCTTATCTAGGAACAAAAAATAATTTTGAAGTGCTTAAGGATAAAGGTACAATTCCCAATATGTCCGTTGTGATTTCACTCCTTTCCCACTTAATGAAGATTATTGAAACTAAACTGTAATAGTTATTTTATTACGGCAGCAACCTAAATCTGTGCTAATTTGTATTTTTAAGTAAATTATTCACAAACTGTGATGCTTTGTAATAGATTAGGTTTATGAAATTTCCAATATGCAATTGTTTCTGACTAAGAAAACCAGCGATTTCATACAGTTTAACCTAGAACTAATAAGTTAAAATGCATCTCATATCAATTACATCTCATAATTGATGGCGATGTAAATGTTCTTGCAGGTTAGAGAACTAATGTTCTAGGATGATAATTTCTTATTTGAAAAGTTTTACTATTTAATTGGAAAATAACTTACCTTGATGAAAAGCACTTTCAAATCATAAGCACATGTATCTTCCCAGTTTTTATGACTTTTTTAGTCTCAGCTTTTTAATAAAAAGCTCATTTTTCCCACCATGTGTATGCGTAGGAGAGATTTCTAATTGAAGGACCCAATATCTGTTCTTCCTTTATCTCTTTGTAACAGAATCTGTGAATTTATTCAGGTCAGCACTATATACCCGACTTTTCTTGCAAGTACCTGTGACCATATGACTAAGTTCTGGCCACTGGCAGGGACTTAGAAGTGTTGAGTGATGCTTTTGGGAAGTTTTCTACACATTCTCTTTGTTCCTCATGGGACATGAATATGGTGGCTAGAGCTCTAGCAGGATTCTTGGGCTTTAAAGAAACCTTGGAAACAGAAGCCATGAGTGGCAGAGCAACAAGATAGAAGATTGGGTCCTGATACTGTGAGACAGCCCTGGACTGCTATTAGTAAAGGTACGATAATGAGGTATGATTGATATGCAAAAACTGCACATATTTATCATATACAACTTCATGTGTTTAGACATACAAACACCAGTAATAACCTCACCATAATCAAGGTAATAGACATATCTAACACCTCCCAAAATGTCCTCATGTACCTTTGTTTTTATTCTTTTTTATTTTTTGTTTGTCTTTTTTTGTGGTAAGAACATTTGACACGATATCTACCGTCTGAATACATTTAAGTTCTAGAAACCTGCCATGCAACATAATGTCTATATTAGCAATAAGATATTATGTACTGTATAAATTCTTCAAAGAGAATATCCAGACCAAAAGAGAATATCCAGACCCTTTCACTTTATCCCTGGTTAAAATGACCTTGAGTTTACCTTTCAGCACTATTTCTCTAGACTCCTGCTAGGCAAAATAATAATGAAATGTCAGCTGTGATACCAGGCAATATTGTTTATGATTGAAAATGACCCTTTCTTGGTAAACTGTATCTGGACCAGGAAGATTGTGACAAGTACTATAAATGCCTATTGGAAAACACGGACTTTGGAATTCCGTAAATTCCTTAAATATGAAGTTGCTTATTGCAAAGATCCCTAGAAGCTAAACTCATTGGCTGTTTCAAGAGATAGCTGTTCTCATACAGCATGAAGCTTCTAAACCAGGTGGTTTCTGCACCAACCCAGATGATCTGATTTACTTATACCTGAGCTGACGCTTGGAAAGGTGGAGTAAAGACTCCTGCTGAAACCACCTCAGGCTACCATGCTGTTGTGCTGTTTCTTGTTGGTATTCTGCAAAATTAAGTGA